>NC_000007.14:97961324-98264354 GCF_000001405.40 Homo sapiens | reverse complement strand
CACCATTGCACTCCAGCCTGGGCAATAAGAGCAAAACTCCGTCTCAAAAATAAATAAATAAATAAGATACAATAATTTTTTTAAAAAAGAAAATGTAATTCTGCTAAAACTTCTCTGTCTCTGCCTATCTCCACCAATGTAAGTTAAATCTTAACTTCTCCACTTCAGAATGCTGCCCTTCATTTTTTGGGAGTTGGTGTTCCTGGGTGGTCATCCTTAAGCTCTATACCTAACTGTATTTTCTCCATTACATTATTTAAGGTTGACAAGTATGCCAACTCCCCTCTGTTGCTTGGGAAATCTGGATGTCTTTGTAGGTGTGGTATAATAAGAAATATATTTGACTTTTGTCCCTAGTTCTTGGCTCAGAGCACCCCTTGACCTTGGAATTTCCTGAGTGATAGGCGCATCTTTTGTTATTAATCACACCTGAGTTTCTGCTAATACGGTGACTTTAGCCCCTTGATAGTGGCTGGCAGTCAGAAAGACCAAGTGATTAGAGTTGGAATTGTAAGCCCCACCCTTTGACCTCTGGAAACGGGGAGGAGGCTGGAGATTAATCTCTATAAGAACTTTTGGGCCAGGCACTGTGGCTCACACCTGTAATTCCAGCACTTTGGGAGGCCATGGTGAGAAGCTCACTTCAGCCCAGGAGTTCAAACCAGCCTGGGGAACATAGCAAGACCCCATCTCGACAAGAAATTTAAAAATTAGCCTAGGAAGACTATAGTCCCAACTACTCAGGAGGCTGAGGTGGGAGGATCGCTGGAGCCCAGGGAGGTCGAGGCTGCAGTGAACCATGATTGTGTCACTGTACTCCAGCCTGGGCAGCAGAGCAAGACCTTGTCTCAGAAAAAAACTTTTGGCCAGGCACAGTGGCTCACGCCTGTAATCCCAGCACTTTGGGAGGCTGAGGCGGGCGGATCACCTGCGGTCAGGAGTTCCAGACCAGCCTGGCCAGCATGGTGAGGTCCCGTCTCTGCAAGAATACAAAAATCAGCCAGGCATGATGGCAGTGCCTGTAATCCCAGCTACTTGGGAGCCTGAGGCAGGAGAATCACTTCAACCTGGGAGGCGGAGGTTGCAGTCAGCCGAGATTGCACCATTGTACTCTAGCTGGGTGACAAGAGCAAGACTCCATCTCAAAAAAAAAAAAAAGAACTTTTGAGTGAGATTTGATGAGGAAGGTGAAGTGCCCAGAGAGGGTGTAAAGCTCCATGCACCACTGTCTCTCCATACCTTGCCCCATGAACCTCTTCCATCTAGTTGTTCCTGACTTGTAACCTTTATAAGAACCTGGTCGGCCGGACACGGTGGCTCATGCCTGTAATCCCAGCACTTTGGGAGGCCAAGGCGGGCGGATCACAAGGTCAGGAGTTCGAGACCAGCCTGGCCAATATGGTGAAACCCCGTCTCTACTAAAAATACAAAAATTAGCCGGGCATGGTGGTGGGCGCCTGAAGTCCCAGCTACTCGGGAGGCTGAGGCAGGAGAATCGCTTGAACTTGGGAGGCAGAGGTTACAGTGAGCCGAGATCACACCACCGCACTCTAGCCTGGGGGACAGAGTGAGACTCCATCTCAAAAAAAAAAAAAAAAAAAATGAACCTGGTGAACATAAGTGATGTTTCCCTAAATCATTCTAGCAAATTTTTAAACCCAAGGATGGGGTTGTGGTGTTAATCTGGTTTGGATGTTTGTCCCCTGCAAATCTCATGCTGAAACGTGGCCCCCGGTGTTGAAGGCATGGCCCAGTGGGAGGTGTCTGGGTCATGGGGACAGATCCCTCGTGAATGGCTTGGTACCACCCTCATGGTAATGAATCAGTTCTTGCTCTAATAGTTCATGCAAGATCTGGTTTTTTTCTTTTTTCTTTTTAGCAGAGTCTCACTCTGTCACCCAGGCCAAGAAGGGTGGATCACCTGAGGTCAGGAGTGTGAGATCAGCCTGGCCAATATGGTGAAACCCCATCTCTACTAAAAATACAAAAATTAGTTGGGTGTGGTGGCGCACACCTGTAATCCCAGCTACTCGGGAGGCTGAGGCAGGAGAATCACTTGAATCTGGGAGGCGGAGGTTGCAGTAAGCTGAGACTGTGCCACTGCACTCCAGCCTGGGCAACAAGAGCAAAAGTCCATCTCAATAAATAAATAAGTAAATAAATAAATGGGAAGCAGAGCATAACAATTTGGAAATTTGCAGCCTGGTCATGTGGTAGGTAGAGAAGGAAAGAACATTTTCGGAGGTGGAATTCAAGGAGCTTGTGGAGCAATCATTTGGTAGAGAGATTTACATAACTAAAAGGGAGCCAAGTGCTAAGAGTCAAGAGATGGAAAACAGGCCTGGAAGCCATTTTGGAAGTCTTCAGGACAGCCCCTCCCATCACAGGCCCAGAGGCTTAGGAGGAAAGCATGGCTTCAGGGGCCAGGGCCAGGGCCAGGGCTCCACTGTCCTGTGCAGCCTCAGGACACTGCTTCCTATATTTTGGCTCTCCAGCTCCAGCCGCAGGCCAAAGGTCCCAGATCTAACTGAACTGCTATTCCTAAAGGCACAATCTGTAAGACTTGGCAGCTTCCACGTGGTGTTAAACCTGCAGGTGCACACAATGCAAGAGTGAAGGAGGCTTAACAGCTTCCACCTAGATGTCACAGGATGTATCAGAAAGCCCAGGTGCCCAGGCAGAAGCCTGCAGCAGAGATGGAGCCCCTGCAGAGAGACTCTACTAGGGGAGTGCTGAGGGGAAATGTGGGGTTGGATCCCACACATAGAGGCCCCACTGGGGCACTGCCTAGTGCAGCTGTGGGAAGGGGACCACTACTCTCCAGACCAGACCCAAGAAAGGTAGATCCACCAGCTGCTGGCATCCTCAGCCTGGAAAAGCCACAGGCAGCAGACTCTAACCTGGGAGAACAGTCATGGGGGCTCTCCCTTGACATGGAGTAAAGGGAGATTTAGCTTTAAGGCTTAATGTCTGCCCTGCTGGGTTTCAGACTTGCCTGGAGCCTGTTACCTCTTTCTGTTGGCCAATTTCTCCCTTTTGGAATGGGAATGTTTACCCATTGCTGGTACCACCATTGTATATTGGAAGTAACCAACTTGTTTTTTATCTTATAAGCTTTTATCTTACAGAGATTCTTCTGCCTCAGCCTCCCGAGTAGCTGGGATTACAGGCACTTGCCACCATGCCTGGCTAATTTTTGCATTTTTAGTAAAGATGGGGTTTCACCATGTTGAACAGGCTGGTCTCAAACTCCTGACTTCAAGTGATCCACCCACCTGCCCAGGCCTCCCAAAGTACTGGGATTACAAGGTCTTGCTATATTGCCCAGGTTGCAATGGCTATTCACCAGCAGAGTCCCACTACTGATCCGCACCTGGCTACTCAGGTGGCTGAGGCAGGAAGATTGCTTGAGCCCAGGAGTTTGAGGCTGTCATGTGCAATGATCACACCTGCACTTTGGCTTGGGCAATATAGTGAGACTGTGTCTCTAAAAACAAAAAAAGAAAAGCATTTACTAAAGATAATCTCTCTACAAAATGTGATTTGAAATATGTACATAATGGCTGGGTGCTGTGGCTCATGCCTGTAATCCCAACACTTTGGGAGGCTGTGGCGGGTGGATCACTTGAGGTCAGGAGTTTGAGACCAGCCTGGCCAACATGGCAAAACTCCGTCTCTACTAAAAATACAAAAATTAGCCAGGCATGGTGGTGAGCACCTGTAATCCCAGCTACCGTAGAGGCTGAGGCACGAGAATCACTTGAGGCAGAGGTCACAATGAGACGAGATCACGCCATTGCACTCCAGCCTGGGCGACAGCGAGACTGTATCTCCAAAAAAAAAAAAAAGAAAAAAGAAAAATGTAGGTAAAACCAAATTAATAAGTGTTATAAATAGACATGTATTATTTTCATTCTCAAGAAGTTGAGCCAACATTTATAAAATTATTTGAAGGAGTTTTGACCTATTTCATTTCCAGCCTATGATGGTTCATCCTTCCTCAGCAACCCAAGAATTCTGACTAGCTGTGTGAACTTAGGCAAGTTACTTTCTCTTTCCATTGACAGATGGGGCTGATAACAGCTACTGGGTCTGCCCTTACATGTGCTGAGCTCCAAGGAAGGCTCCCTCAAATAATCATGAGATCGCGCCACTGCACTCCAGCCTGGCGACAGAGTGAGACTCCGTCTCAAAAAAAAAAAAAAAAAAGTTAGTGGCTGGGTGCGGTGCCTCACGCCTGTAATCCCAGCACTTTGGGAGGCCGAGGCCGGCAGATCACAAGGTCAGGAGTTTGAGACCAGTCTGGCTCACATGGTGAAACCCTGTCTCTATTAAAAATACAAAAATTATCAAGGCGTGGTTGTGTGCGCCTGTAATCTCAGCTACTCGGGAGGCTGAAGCAGGAGAATCGCTTGAAACTGGAAGGCGGAGTTTGCAGTGAGCCAAGATCAGGCCACCACGCTCCAGGCTGGGCAACGAGAGCAAAACTCCATCTCAAAAAAAAAAAACAAAAAAATTAGCCAGGCATGGTGGTGCAGACCTATACTCCCAGCTACTCAAGAGGCTGGGATTAACCAGGCATAGTGGTGCAGACCTATACTCGCAGCTCCTCAAGAGGCTGGGGGTGGAGGATTGCTTGAGCCCAGGAGGTTGAGGCTACTGTGAACTATGATTATGCCACTGCACTCCAGCCTGGGTGACAGAGCGAGACCCCATCACACACACACACACACACACACACAAATCGTGTGATGCTGTCACTTGATAAGTTATCCCATTCATGTAAAATTAGGTGATTTGCTCCACCTCCCAGGCTCAAGTGATCCTCCCACCTCAGCCTCCCAAGTAGCTGGGACTACAGGCCCGCACCACCATGCCCAGCTAATTTTGTATTTTTTAGTAGAGACAGGTTTCACTATGTTGGCCAGGCTGGACCATATGTGCTTTGTAAAACCCTTCCTTAATTGTAAAACATAAGACACAGAGAAAAGCATATCAGACATAAATCTTGTGAATTATTGTAAAGCAAAACCTGACACCACCAAGGTCAAGCATGAGAATCTTGCCGGCCACGGCCAACCCTCTGTGTTCCTTTCCTGCCCCAAAGGCATCCACATCCTGGTTGTTGTAACATTATGCTAATCACCTCCTTGTCTTTATACATTTTTTTTTTTTGAGATGGAGTCTCGCTCTGTCGCCCAGGCTGGAGGGCAGTGGCGCCATCTCAGCTTACAGCAACCTCTGCCCCCTGGGTTTAAGCGATTCTTCTGCCTCAGCCTCCCAAATAGCTGGGATTACAGGCGCACACCACCACTCCCAGCTAATTTTTTGTATTTTTAGTAGAGATGGGATTTCACCATGTTGGCCAGGCTGGTCTCGAACTCCTGACCTTTTGATCCACCCACCTCGGCCTCCCAAAGTGCTAGGATTACAAGGGTGAGCCACCGCGCCTGGCCGTCTTTATACTTTTACTACCAAACATACACTCTCAAACACTATAATAAAGTTCTTGGCTGTTTTTGAAATTCACATGTCAATGGGATCACATATATTCTTTTGTGTTTGGTTTTTCTCTCCTTGGTGTATGTTCAAGACTCATTCATGTTGTTGCATTTAGTTGTACTTCATTGTTTTGTTACCAATAATATTACACTGTATTAGGTTGGTGCCAAAGAAATTGTGGTTTTTGTCATTACTTTTACTTATTTATTTATTTTAGAGGAGTCTTACTCTGTCACCCAGGCTGGGGTGCAGTGGTGTGGTGCGATCTTGGCTCACTGCAACCTCACCCCACCGTTGGGGTTCAAGTGATTCTCCTGCCTCAGCCTCCTGAGTAGCTGGGATTACAGGCATGCGCCACCATGCCCAATTAATTTTTGCATTTTCAGTAGAGATGAGGTTTTGCCATGTTGGCCAGGCTGGTCTCGAACTCCTGACTTCAGGTGATCCACCTGCCTCGGCCTCCCAAAGTGCTAGGATTACAGGCGTGAGCTACTATGCCTGGCCTTTTTTCTTTTTTTCTTTTTTCTTTTTTTTTGAGACGGAGTCTCACTCTGTTGCCCAGGCTGGAGTGTAGTTGCATGATCTCATCTCACTGCAACCTCCACCTCCTGGGTTCAAGCAATTTTCCTGCCTCAGCCTCCTGAGTAGATGGGATTACAGGTGTGTGCCACCATGCCCAGCTAATTTTTGTATTTTGAGCAGAGAGTTTTGCCATTTTGGCCAGGCTGGTCTCAAACTCCTGACCTCAAGTGATCTGCCCACCTCGGCCTCCCAAAGCGTTGGGATAACTGGTGTGAGCCATCGCACCCACCCTGTCATTACTTTTAATGGCCAAAACCACAAGTCCTTTTGCAGCAACCTAATGTGACTCCATCACACTGATCATGCATTCCACTACAGATGGACACCTGGGGCTGTTGTTACATAGAGAATGCTGGTAAGGTGTGTACGTACAGCACCTAAATCACTGCTGGGCCACAGCACAATCTTAGCTTCAGCTCTATGAGGTCATGTCACTGATTTCCCCAGTGATGGCACCAGCTCGTACTTCTACTCCCTTAGCCTGTCTGGCAGGCAACTCATTGTGGGTTTAATTTGCATTTTCCTGCTTATCGCTGTAGTTGAGCACTTCTTCATAAGTTTATTGACCATTTGTTTCTTTTTCTTCTTTCTTCTTTTTTCTTTCTTTTTTTTTTTTTTTTTGAGACAGAGTCTTGCCTTGTCACCCAGGCTGGAGTGCAGTGGCGCGATATCGGCTCACTGCAACCTCCGCTTCCCGGGTTCAAGCGATTCTCCTGTCTCGCCCTACCGAGTAGCTGGGACTACAGGCGCGTGCCACCACGCCCAGCTGATTTTTTTTATTTTTAGTAGAGACAGGGTTTCACCGTGTTGGCCAGGATGGTCTCAATCTCCTGACCTCGTGATCTGCCTGCCTCGGCCTCCCAAACTGCTGGGATTACAGGAGTGAGCCACCATGCCCGGCCCTTCTTTTTTCTTTTGAGACAGGGTCTTGCTCCATCACCTAGGCTGCAGTGCAGTGGTGCAATCACAGGTCGCTGCAGCTTCGACCTCCTAGGCTTAAGCGATCCTCTTGCCTCAGCCTCCCTAGTAACTGGGACTACAGACACGCACTACCACATCTGGCTAATTAAAAAAATGTTTTGTAGGGATAGAGGCTCACTTTGATGCCCAGGCTGGTCTCAAACTCCTGACCTGAAGTGATCCTCCCACCTCCGCTTTCCAAAACTCTGACGTTATAGGCATGAGCCATCATGCCGGGAGATTACTGGCTTTTATAGAGGCATAAGAGAATGTTGCGGAAGGTCACAACTGCTGCTCAGGTGCCATCAATCCTCAGGACCCTGTCTGCCTGGGATTTGCTATGGAAGGCTCAGCAGAGCAGAGACCAGGAGATGCTTCAGCTGTTCACAGGTCCTGCCTTTGGCGATGGTTAGCGGAATCTGTTTCTGTGCTGGAAAGAGAGCTGGCAAAGTTGGGGTGAGAAACATCACACTGGAATAGGTTAATTACATGAAATGAAACTCATTTGCGTAAATTATTATAAAACACAGCACAAGACATTTTAGGTACGATAATTGGTTTGACAAATTATATTTCTGGAGTCGAAATATACAGACATGTTCCTTGTGAAACATACAGGCGTAACACAGATTGTAGGTTGGTTTTGAACATACTGTGCAAGTTTACCATCACCAGAAGCTCCTCAAATTACTGTCAGGAGCAGTCATGTGGTGTTGTGCAGAGTAACGTACAAAGCGAGCTTCCAGCCGCTGGTAAATACAGAGACCATATGGATGCCTACTGGGACTTCCATTAAACATTAGGGACTTCAATTAAAGGGAGATAGCAAGTTTTATCTTGTTTGCTGGAGAGTAGATTCTGTTGAGCCAGGGACCTGGACTTTTCTTTGTCTACTCCTGATCCTTGTTATACTGCAAAGGGGCCTCGATCCAGACCCCAAGAGAGGGTTCTTGGACCTCACATAATAAAGAGTTTGGGGCAAGTCCATAAAGTGAAAGCAAGCTTATTAAGAAAGTAAATGAACAGGCTGGGTGCAGTGGTTTACACCTGTAATCCCAGCACTTTGGGAAGCCAAGGTGGGCGGATCACTTGAGGTCAAGAGTTCAAGAACATCCTGGCCAACATGGTGAAACCACGTCTCTACTAAAAATACAAAAATTAGCTGGGTGTGGTGGCGTGCACCTGTAATCCCAGCTACTCAGGAGGTTGAGGCAGGAGAATTGCTTGAATCCGGGAGGTAGAGGTTGCAGTGAGCTGAGATAGTGCCACTGCACTCCAGTCTGGGCAACAGAGCAAGATTCTATCTCAAAAATAATAATGATAATAAAGTAAAGGAATAAAAGACTACTCCAGGCCAGGCGTGGTGGCTCACGCCTGTAATCCCAGCACTTTGGGAGGCCGAGGTGAGCGGATCACCTGAGGTCAGGAGTTCGAGGCCAGCCTGGCCAACATGGTGAAACCCCATCTCTATTAAAAATATAAAAATCAGCCGGGCATGCTGGCATGCGCCTGTAATCCCAGCTACTCAGGAGGCTGAGGCAGGAGAATCACTTGAACCCAGGAGGCGGAGGTTGCAGTGAGCCAAGACCGCGCCACTGCACTCCAGCCTGGGCGACAGAGACTCCATCTCAAATAAGATAATAATAATAATAATAAATAAAAAATAAAAGAAAGTAAAGGAATAAAAGAATGACTACTCCACAGCCAGAGCAGCAGCATGAGCTGCTGGACTGAGTATACTTATAGTTATTTCTTGGTTCTATGGTAAACAAGGGGTGGATTATTCATGAGTTTTCCAGGAAAGCAGAGGGCAATTCCTGGAACTAAGGTTTCCCCTCCTTTTCAGACCATATAGGGTAACTTCCTGACGTTGCCATGGCATCTATAAACTGTCACAGCACCGGTAGGAGTGTCTTTTAGCATGCTAATGTATTATAATTAGAGTATAATGAGCGGTGAGGACAACCAGAAGTCACTTTCATCACCATCGTGGTTTTGGCTGGCTTCTTTACCGCATCCTCTTCTATCAGCAGGGGCTTTGTGACCTGTATCTTGTGATACCAAACCTGCTGACCTCCTATTTCATCCTGTGACCAAGAATGCCCAACCTCCTGGGGATGGAGCCCAGCAGTTCTCAGCCTCATTTTACCCAGCCCCTGTTCAAGATGGAGTCGCTCGGGTTCAAACACTTCTGACCCTTGTACTGTGGCACTGACCTGATCAATGTATCCTACTGTGAAAGGAAAATAAATCTCGGGACCCCAAGATCACTACGCCAAAGAGAAAAGTCAAGCTGAGGGTCGCATCAGACAAACCTGCCTCCCGTTTTATTCTTCAATAAGATAGCTAGAAAGTTCAAAAGAGCTACATACCCCCCTCACAATTTCTCCACAAGCAAATTCCTTTCGGGCCTCAAGATCTTTGCCCTAAAACAGTTCTGATGAATTTTCCCTGGCAATGTAAATTGATAGCTTATCTTCACAGGTACAATGCAGAAAGTCAGCCCTCCGCTCACTGAAGACAAATGCATATGTGATTTCTTCCTCTGTCCTATTGTTTATACAAAATGCAGATTCACTGAGCCAGACAGTGAGTAAGGCATATGTGACTATTCCTCTACCCACTCTCACATGTAAATTGTGTATTCAGTGAAAGGCTGATCACAGACTCAAAAGAAAGCAAACTTTTGGCCGGGCATGCTGGCTCACGCCTATAATCCCAGCACTTTGGGAGGCTGAGATGGGTGGATTACCTGAGGTCAGGAGTTCAAGACCAGCCTGGCCAACATGGTGAGATCCTGTCTCTACTAAAAATAAAAAAATTAGCCTGGCGTGGTGGCACACACCTGTAGTCCCAGCTACTCAGGAGGCTGAGAAAGGAGAATCGCTTGAACCTGGGAGGTGGAGGTTGCAGTGAGCTGAGATCTCACCACTGCACTGCAGCCTGGGTGACAGAGTGAGACTCCCTCTCAAAAAAAAAAAAAAAAAAAAAGAACTCGGGATAGGGGGACATGGGTCCCCAAGCCCCTGAATTCAGGAAAACTATATTGAACTTTGTCACCACACATGAAAACTGCAAGGGGCCACAGAAAGCTCCTAATTCAATGCCTCTTTTTCATTTTTTTTCAATGCCTCTTTTAATGTGGAAACTAAAGCTAAAGAGGAGATAAATGGCTACAGAGTGTCACAGGCAGGACAGAACCCAGGGCTCCCTACCTCTAGACTGTTTCTCCAGCAGTCTAGCGACCACTCATCCTCCTTTTTTTTTTTTTTTTTTTTTTTTGAGACAGAGTTTTGCTCTGTTGCCCAGGCTGGAGTGTAGTGGCACAATCTCAGCTCACTGCAAGCTCCGCCTCCTGGGTTCACCTCATTATCCTGCCTCAGCCTCCCGAGTAGCTGGGACTACAGGCGCCCGCCACCACGCCCGGCTAATTTTTTGTGTTTTTAGTAGAGACGGTGTTTCACCATGTTAGCCAGGATGGTCTCATCTCCTGACCTCATGATCCACCCGCCTCGGCCTCCCAAAGGGCTGGGATTACAGGCGTGAACCACTGCGCCCGGCCCACTCATCGTCCTTCTGCTAATAGCACCCTGATCTTCCTCTGAGGAGCCACCCCCTGTGCCTGGCTGAGCCCTTATGCTTGAGGGGGGCTCTGCCCACATCTCCAGACCAAGTCCACAAATGCCAGTCCCTCAGGCCCAAGCTAAAGTCAGGGTCAGACACAGGACTCCACAGAGCCATCCGGGGTGAACAAGAGGCTTCTGGGGGCGTTTTCTTCCACTGGAGCTGGCCTGTGTGGGGCTTCCCCAAACATGAAGGCCCAGGAAAAGCCTGTGTGCAACCCCAGAAATGAGACAGAACTAGAGGGGGAGCAGGAATAGGTCCCTAGGTCCAACCAGGTGACATTGGTTTAGCTCAATGTCGGGTAGTATCTAGCCTTCCATCAGATGCCCTTTTTTTTCTTTTTTGAGAAGGAGTTTTGCTCTTGTCGCCCAGGCTGTAGTGCGGTGGCACAGTGGCACGATCTCAGCTCACTGCAACCTCCACCTCCCCAGTTCAAGCGATTTTCCTGCCTCAGTCTCCCGAGTAGCTGAGATTACAGGCATGCGCCACCACCCCTGGCTAATTTTGCATTTTTACTAGAGACGGGGTTTCACCATCTTGGCCAGGCTGGTCTCAAACCCCTGACCTCAAGTGATCCGCCCGCCTTGGCCTCCCAAAGTGCTGGGATTACAGGTATGAACCGCCGCACCTGGCCGACATCTTTCTTTTTTCTCCTTTCTCCATCCTAACCTTGCCAGTTTTCTGCCAGGCGGGATACAGTGTTTTCAAATCCCAGTTCCATCGCTTACAACGTGAGTCGCTCCATCTCTGAGCCCGTGTTCGCATTTGTAAAATGGGAATGACGCCGCCAGCTCTTTGGGTTGCTGGGAGGATGAAATGAGAAGACCCAAGTAAAGCACTTACGTCAGTGCCCGCCACCCCGGGAGGACTCGCATATTACTATTAATATATTAGGCCAGCTTACACTGGGTTTTGTCACTGACAATAGAGTTTGAGCAATCCAGGGCCTGTTACTGACACCACACCATGCTATAGTCACAAAATCACATATGCTTCCAGGACTCCTCCTCGAAAGAGTAAAGCTTTAAGTGTAGTGTGTGCTCAAGGGCTACGTTTCAGTTCGATGGATACCAGGAAGACACCTGTTCCCTGCGTCCTCTCCACGCCCCAGGCCGGGCGCCCACACCCTGCTCCTCCTGACGCCGCACAGCCACGCACCCAGGTACCCTCTCCGCCACCCCTTCTCCTCGCCTGCAGGCGGTGTCCACACCGCCCTCTCCGCTCCTGCAGACCGGGTCCTGGAGGGCGGCCGGGCGGTCCACGGGCCGGTGTCGCGCCGCCAGAGAGAACGCGGCAACTCGCTTCAGCCGACTCTGGACTCCTGACCTGGCGCGACCCCGGAAGTGGGCGGGCGCGCGACCTCGAAGCCAGCACCGACGCGGCGCACCGCAGCCAATCGCACGTCCCAGGTCGCAGCGTCCTGGCGAGGCTGGCCAATGGGCACGGGGCCTGATGCCGCTTCCGGCCCACCCTCTTGCCCGGTCCCCGGGAGGGCCGGTCCGCTCCTCCCGGACGCCGAGGACCTACCACCGCGACTTCGCCCCGCCCGGCGCGGGCCCAGGTGAGTGCAGAGTGGCGCCCCAGCTGCAGCGGCGGCCAGGGCCGTGGGAAAGAATGGGGCGATGAAGGGCTGGGCACGCCGCCTTCCCCACCACCCCCAGGCTGTTTGCTCGCGGGGAGGGAGGAAGGAGGGACCGCACTTGTCATCTCGCCTGCACACCTGGAAGGTGCCGCCCCCGTCCCCTGCCCTGGAACGCCCACAGGCTAGCGAAGTTGCCTGGTGCAGGTGACGCCCCCATTCCAGCCTTTGGACTGGAGCCATAGGAGAAGCGGATCGCGGGATCCTGGTTGTTTTCGAGAATCACGCAGCAAGGGGCCTGCCTATCCCTCTCCCTGGGTATTGATGGGAGCAAATCTGCTTGTCGTAAGATTAGCTTTGGCAGATGGTCAGGGCCCAGAGCTCCGACATATGCTACTGGTGGCAGTGCAGGGGCCCCACCTGTCACCCAAGTGCACAGCACTGGGCTGAACGCCAGGCTGACTCAGGACACCTCCTGCCCGGTGGGGCTGGGCGGACCCTATTCTTCAGGAAAGAATCAACTACCATGCAAGTTCTGCTGCTTTTTCCCACCTTTTAGGACCCTGATGTCGCTTTTGAACAGCCCCTGCACCTGGCAGCCAGCGAGCTACTGTAGTAGGCATTGCCGACTGTTTGCATACCGGATGGGAGTGACAGTGTAATAGAAAAACAAGCAAGAAACCTTTTAGGTAGGACTCCTAAGGCTCAGAGGAAGTAAGTGCTTGCGGAGCGTTCTTTGTACTGTGTCTTTTCCTCTACCACATCTCTGTCCCCGCCTCTCTTGGGTGCTTTTTTTGGTCTCTGAAAGGATCTGTGAATAAACTGAGACAGAAAGGCAGATGGCTTTGAGGGTGGCGAGCAGACCTTCTTCGTGGAAAGACTGAAGGTTCAACTCAAATTCATCTTGTAGAAATTCTTGGTGAATTCGAGGCTGCTGATTTGGAAGATTTTCCTCCATCCCTCTAACCCTACAAAACAAACAAGTCCCAGGATCCCTGAATCATGGGGCTTCATGTTCCAACCCCCCTTTCAAGAGTCCTCTGACCCAGTGACCCTGTGTAAGTTGCCTGATCAGCTCACAGCCAGAAAGTGGCCCATGAGGAGCTAGGGGGAGCCTCTTGGCAGAGGCAGAAAGAAAGTGTGGCTGACCAAGGATGGTTACCGGATGTCAACTGTAGCTAGGAAGTGACGACAGGTGCCTGGGTCTCTACTCTGAAGGGAGTTTGTAAATACAGCAACCCCCCACCCCTCCCTTTCACTGTAGCAGAGTCTTCTCCCATTAACTGCCCAGAAGATTCAATGATGTCTATGAGGAAATTAGTGCTTAGTCATTTATTTGAAGGAAAGTCAAAATCTCCTTTCATTGAGCTCAACCTGCAGACTGAGTCTAGCTAAACTGCTTGCTTATCCAGTGAATTCTGAGCTATCTTTGTTTTGTTGTTGTTGTTGTTGTTGTTTGTTTTCCTTTTTGAGACAGGGTCTCGCTCTGCTGCCCAGGCTGGAGTGCAGTGGCACAATCATAGCTCACTGTAGCCTCAAACTCCTGGGCTCAAGTGATCCTCCTGCCTCAGCCTCCCAAGTAGCTAGGATCACAGGCATGTGCCACCACACCTGGCTAATTTTTTTTTTAACTTTTTATTTTTACAGAGATGGGGTCTCCCTGTGTTGCTTAGGCTGGTTTTGAACTCCTCGGCTCAAGCGATCCTCCCACCTCAGCCCCGGAAAGGGCTGGGATTACAGGCATGAGCTACTGCACCTGGCCTCTGAGCTATCTTTGAAGGCTAACTTATATTTAACACTATAGAAAGTGACAATTAAAAAAAAAAACCTTCGTCTTCCCCTAGCATTTTATTGAGGATTTTCCCACATACAGCCAAGTTGAAAGAATTATACAGTCAGCATCCCCATCCCCACCAACTAGATTCTACTATTGACACTTTACTTGCTTTATCACATATCTGTCCACCAATTATGACCTTACTTTTCAAGTTATTTGTGGCATTTGTTTTCCCTGGAGAAGTATTTCTGTCTTAGATCAGGGAGTTGGCAGTGTGTTGGAGGTAGGTGGTGGTGATTATCCTTAAATGTTGTTTCAACACCCACTGTGTGCAGAGACTATTATGGAAATGAAGAGGCTGAAGACTCAGACCTGAAAGGGACTTGGTTTTTTGTTTTTCTTTTTTTTTTTTTGAGATGGAGTCTTGCTGTGTTGGCCAGGCTGGAGTGTGGTGACACGATCTTGGCTCACTACAATCTCCTCCTACCAGGTTCAAGCGATTCTCCTGCCTCAGCCTCCCAAGCCGGCTAATTTTTGTAGTTTTAGTAGAGACGGGTTTCACCGTGTTGGCCAGGCTGGTCTCAAACTCCTGGCCTCAAGCAATCTGCCCGCCTTGGCCTCCCAAAGTGTTGGGATTACAGGCATGAGCCACCACGCCCAGCCCTATTCTGCCTTTTATAGATTAGGAAATTAAGGCACAGAGAGGTTAGTTAGCTTTTGGTGGTACAAGAAAGTGAGGATCCCAGAATGCAGCATTCTGAGATCCAGGCAGCTCTGGACTCTCTTAGTCACTGTGAAGGTGCCAGAGGGACCCTCAGTCCTGATCAGTGAGGCACGAAGGGGTCACCAGGGGTCCCAGCTCAGTTTCAGATGGTTCCAGAAAGCTGGTGTTCTGATTTTCTCATATGTTTGACGGGCCTTGGTGTCCTGGGATGGAGGGGGTCAGCTGCTCTGGGAGGGGCTCTTACTCCCCGGGCTTCCTCCATTCTGCTGGGCAGTCTCCCTCCTATTCTTTTCCCCCACTTCCTGTTATGGGAGTTTCCCAGAGCTGAGCTTTTGTTCTGCTTCCTGTCTTCCTGTTCCTCACCCTCTCACTCACTTCCTTCTCAACCTGCAATCTGTCTTCTTGGTGTTTGTAAGATATACCTTGTCCCAGCCAGGGCCAGGGGCTCCTGCCTGTAATCGTAGCACTTTGGGACGGATCACCTGAGGCCAGGAGTTCGAGACCAGCCTGGCCAAAGTGGCAAAACCCCATCTCTACTAAAAATACAAAAATGGGCCAGATGTGGTGGTGCAGGTCTGTAATCCCAGCTACTTGGGAGGCTGAGGCAGGAGAATCACTTGAACCCAGAAGGTGGAAGTTTCAGTGAGCTGTGATTATGCCACTGCACTCCAGCCTGGGAGTAGAGGAAGACTCTGTCAAAAAAAAAAAAAAAAGATGCACCTTGTCCCCAAAGAGCCTAGTTTTTTGTTTTGTTTTTTTTTGAGACGGAGTCGCACTCTGTCATCCAGGCTGGAGTGCAGTGGTGCAATCTCGGCTCTCTGCAACCTCCACCTCCTGGTTCCAGCGATTCTCCTGCCTCAGTCTCCTGAGTAACTGAGATTACAGGCACGCGCCACTGTGCCTGGCTAATTTTCACCTTTTTTTTTCAGTAAAGATGGAGTCTCACCATGCTGGCCAGGCTGGTCTCAAACTCCTGGCATCAGGTGATCCATCCGCCTTGGCCTCCCAAAGTGCTGGGTTTACAGGTGTGAGCCACCACACCTGGCTTTTTTTTTTTTTTTTTTTTTTTTTTTGCCGGTGGCAGCTGCTCCTCTTTTCAGACATGCTTCTATCTCGTGCCATCGTCACAGTCACCCGGCCGTCTGGAGCACCCGCATGGCTCTGGTATGCTGCGGGAGCACTGGGCCCAGCCTCCAGGCACCTAAATAAACTCTGCCTGTCTCCTTTTGCTCCGGTTTTTAAGTCAGACTGGCCATGTCTTCATCTGTAGGCTCTTTCCTCTCTTCAGGCCCCGGGCCAGTGTCCTGGGTTGGATCTAGGAGCCGCCCTGTCGGGCAGAGCTTCTCAGGTGATGGCCCTGGTGGCTTCATCCAGTAGCTCTGTGTTTGGCTGCCTTGTGTGTGGCCATGTGGCCCTGCCACGGTGGAAAGACTGTTCCTATCAGGAGCCAGGACTCCAGGAAGGACACCCCTGGGTGCAACAGCACTATGGGCCCTGGAGGTGGGGCCAGGGGTGGTCAGTGGCAGAGCTTAGCAATAGCCTTGGCTATGCCTACAAAGCACAGAGAAAGAAGAGAGAAAGGGCTGGGTGCAGTGGCTCACGTCTATAATCCCAGCGCTTCGGGAGGCCAAGGTGGGAGGATCGCTTGAGGCCAGGAGTTCAAGACCAGCCTGGGCAACATAGCGAGACCCCATCTCTACAAAAAAAATTTTAAAAATTAGCCAGGTACGGTGGCACATGCCTGTAGTCCCAGCCACTCAGGAGGCTGAGGCAGGAGGATGGCTTGAGTTCAGGAGTTCAAGGCTGCAGTGAGCTATGATTGCACCACTGTACTCCAGTCTGGACAACAGAGCAAGATACTCTCTTAAAAAATAAAAAAGAAAAGAAAAGAAAAAGAAAGGAGTAGAGAATGGCAGAAGAAGAGAGCCGGGGGAAGAGGAGGAAGGAGTCACTGAGGGCGCATGAAGAAAAGACCCCTACGTCCCTGAATTCACATGGTCACGTTGGCTCTCAACGTGCCCTCATTATGCCCAGATAGAGGCCAACATGGCGGGGAGACCTGCCCACTCTGGGGAAGGACCCCTGGGGAAGTAGTGGGGTAGTTATATCTTTCGAGATTCAACTAAACCTGTAAGCTTTCATTGATTCTTTTGAAAACAAAGATCTGGCCAGGCATGGTGGCTCAAGGCTGTAATCCTAGCAGTTTGGGAGGCCGAGATGGGAGGATTGCTTGAGACTAGGAGTTTGAGACCAGCTTGGGCAACATAGTGAGACTCTGTCTCTACAAAAAAAAAATTTTTAATTAGCTGGGTATGGTGGTGCATGTCTGTTGTTGTCCCAGGAGGCTGAGGTAGGAGGATCACTTGAGCCCAGGAGTTCGAGGCCGCAACGAGTTGTAATCAAACCACTGCACTCCAGCCTGGGTGACCGAGCAAGACCCTGTCTCTACTTTTTAAATTCTTTTTTTTTGAGACAGGGTCTCCCTCTGTCACCTAGGCTGCAGTGCAGTGGCACTGTGTCTGCTCACTGCAACCTCCATCTCCCGGGTTCAAGCCATTATCCTGCCTCAGCCACCTGAGTAGCTGCGACTACAGGCACACACTACTGTGCCTGGCTAATTTTTGTATTTTTAGTAGAGATGAGGTTTCACCATGTTGACCAGGCTGGTCTTGAACTCCTGGCCTCAAGTGATCTATTTTTAAATTCTTTCAAAAACAAAAAAGAGACCGGGCGTGGTGGCTCATGCCTCTAATCCCAACACTTCGGGAGGCAGAGGCAGGTGGATCACCTGAGGTCAGGAGTTCGAGACCAGCCTGTCCAACATGGTGAAATCATGTCTCTACTAAAAATACAAAAATTAGCCAGGCGTGGTGGCGTGCACCTGTAGTCCCAACTACTGGGGAGGCTGAGGCAGGAGAAAACCTGGGAGGTGGAGGTTGCAGTGAGCCAAGATCCCAAGATCGTGCCATTGCACTCCAGCCTGGGCAACAGAGCGAGACTCCGTCTCAAAAAAATAAACAAAAAAAGAAAGAATAAGCAGTTGGCCACGCGCGGTGGCTCACGCCTGTAATCCCAGCACTTTGGGAGGCTGAGGCAGGCAGATCACAAGGTCAGGAGATCGATACCAGCCTGGCCAATGTGGCGAAACCCCGTCTCTACTAAAAATACAAAAACTAGCTGGGTATGGTGGCAGGTGCCTATAATCCCAGCTACTTGGGAGGCTGAGGCAGGAGAATTGCTTGAACCCTGGAGGTGGAGGTTGCAGTGAGCCAAGATTGCGCCACTGCACTCCAGCCTGGGTGACAGAGTGAGACTCCATCTAAAAAAAAAAAAAAAGAGAAAAAGAATAAATAGTCACAGTAGAAGTCTCCCAGGTTTCACATGACTCTGATGTCCCCTGGGCTGGGAGCCTGAACGCTGGCCCTCGTCCTCCTGCCGCAGGTTACCTCCAGCCGCTGCCATGCCCAACTCAGTGCTGTGGGCGGTGGACCTCTTCGGGAGAGTGTACACGCTGTCCACAGCAGGCCAGTACTGGGAAATGTGCAAGGACTCCCAGCTGGAGTTCAAGCGCGTCAGCGCCACCACGCAGTGCTGCTGGGGCATTGCCTGTGACAACCAGGTCTACGTGTATGTGTGTGCCAGCGATGTCCCCATCCGCCGCCGAGAGGAGGCCTATGAGAATCAGGTAGTGACCCTCATGGTTGGAGTTGCCGAGCGGGTCAGTTCGCTGGGTTATTGGTTAAAATGATGAACCACAGAAGGGAAATAGAGGCCCCAGATTCCCCACCAGTTCCTGCCTTCATTTCCTTCCTTGTACTTAAAATCTGTGTTGCTGCCAGGCGTGGTGACTCACGCCTGTAATCCCAGCACTTTGGAAGGCTGTGGCGGGCAGATCGCTTGAGCTCAGGAGTTTGAGACCAGCCTAGGCATCATGGTGAATCTCTGCCTCTACAAAAAAAATACAAGAATTAGCAGGGTGTGGTGGTGTGCACCTTTAGTCCCAGCTACTTAGGAGGCTGAGGCAGGAGGATCACTTGAGCCAGGGAGGTCAAGGCTGTAGTGAGCCATAATCGTGCCCTGCACTCCAGCCTGGGCAACAGAGCAAGACCCTGTCCCCCTGCACCCCGCCCCTCCAAAAAAAATTCAAGTTGCATAGTATCCAGGGTCTTTGAGGCTGAAGCCACTATTGTGTCCTCACCAAAGCAGTCTGGCCAGGTCCCCACGAGGGCAGGCTCCAGTGGTTTCTGGGAGCCTAGGACAAGGTGTGCCCTCCACCGCCTGCCCTGCTCACAGCGCCGTGGCTGGCAGGAGGTTCTTTGCCCTTTGGGGCTGTGCTGATGTACTTGCTGGCTCATGATGAAGTGGCATGGGGGTCCCCAGTTGCTGGGTCCCACACAGGCCCTCTGCTCACTTCCTATTCTGGAGATCAATGAGGGGGTCGGCTGGGCAGGGTCAGCTGGTCCTGGAGATGCCTGGCCCGCCTGGGTTCCCGCCCAGCAGGCTTGGGTCCAAGGCCGCCTCTGTGTCCCCGGCCCTCAGCGCTGGAATCCCATGGGCGGCTTCTGTGAGAAGCTCCTGCTGAGTGACCGCTGGGGGTGGAGTGACGTGAGTGGGCTCCAGCACCGGCCGCTGGACAGGGTGGCACTGCCCTCGCCGCACTGGGAGTGGGAGTCTGACTGGTACGTGGATGAGAATTTTGGAGGTGAACCCACTGAGAAAGGGGTAGGTGAACTTGGGACCCTCCATGACTGCCCTGTGGGGAGGGGGTGCCTCCCGCCTGTCCCTGCTTCTGTCCCCTGCACCCTGTGGTGCCTGAGCTCGGGTGTTTCAGGCCACACCCTCCCTCCCCACCTTCCCCAGCTCTTCAAATGCCTTCCCCGCAGAGCCTGAGAGCCCCTTCCTTGGTGTTTCAGGGGTGGACGTACGCCATCGACTTTCCCGCCACCTACACGAAAGACAAGAAGTGGAATTCTTGTGTGCGGCGCCGGAAGTGGATCCGGTACAGGAGATACAAGTCCCGGGACATCTGGGCCAAGGTCTCTGTTCCTGAATGTGGGTTGGGGGCAGGATAGGGCCAGGACAGAGTGTCACATGCAGCCTCCTCTCCACCTTCCCCACCTGTGTGCACCAGGGGACACCACGCCCACCTCGGGACCTGGCCTTTGAGCTGTTTCCTGTCCCGGGAACACCACGACACTGCGTGTCCCTTCACTTGGGAGATAGTCACACAGGGAGCCAGGCCAGGCCCAGGACAGCACAGAACTTGCCCTGACCCTGGTGTCCAAGCTGCTCTGTCCCAGACTGAGCCTCCATCTGGCACTTTGTCCTCCCCCTCAGCCAAGGGAGGCACCTCTGGCTCTAGCGTTGCTCCATGACCCAGAAGAACCTCCCAGCTTAGGGAGCACAGCACTGGACCCAGGTCTTGGCGTGGCCTCCAATGAGTGGAGGCCTCCCTGGGACATACAGGGCTGTCAGGTGGGGCTGCCCCTGGGACTGGGAGAAGCCAGGAGACCAGGGAGCTGGCCCTATTTTTTTTTCTTTTTAGAGATAGGGTCTCGCTCTGTTGCACTCTGTTGAGTGCAGTGGTACAGTCACAGCTCACTGCAGCCTGGAACTCCTGAGCTCAAGCAATCCTCCCACCTCAGCCTCCCTAGTAGCTGGGACTACAGGCATGCACCACCATGCCCGGTTAACTTTTAAATTTTTTGTAGAGGCTGGGTGTGATGGCTCATGCCTGTAATCCTAGCACTTGAGAAGCCAAGGCAGGTGGATCACTTGAGGCCGGGAGTTTGAGAACAGCCTGGCCAACATGGTGAAACCACGTCTCTACTGAAAATACAAAAATTAGCCGGGCAGGGGCCCCCACAGTCCTGATGCTGCCTTCCCTGTGAATTAAGGCAGCTGCAGGCTGGGCTGAAGAATGGAAGTCCGGATGGCAGGCGGGCGGGAGGTGGGTGCATGCCCAGGTGCCCACTGGGCGCTGACTGCTACCATTTCTCACTTCCTTCCTTCAGATCCCCTCGAAGGATGACCCCAAGGAGCTGCCCGACCCCTTCAACGACCTCTCTGTAGGGGGCTGGGAGATCACGGAGGAGCCTGTGGGCCGCCTGTCAGTGTGGGCTGTGTCTCTGCAGGGCAAGGTAAGGCCAACCCCTCTCCCTGCCCTGGCTCCCCACGATCCCACCTCCTGTGGGTCCTGTCCTGTGCACCCCCTGGGTCTTGCTCCTCCCCGGAGCCCCGGCCCCCCCACCCCATGCCTGCTCCTGGCCTTTCTCTCCTCCGAGCCCCCAGCGTGCTGATCAGTGCCCAGCCTCAGCTCAGGCACATCAATGCGGCCTCCTCAAGACAGTTTCTGAGCTCCCTGCTGGTGCCTCCCACAGTCTTCAGGAATAGTGTGGGGGTGGGTGTGTGGGTGACAGAAGGTGTGCCACTGGACGGATGGGTGGTGTGTGGGCAGAAGGATGGATAGGTGGGTGTGTGGATGGATGGGTGGATGGGTGGGTGTGTGGGCAGATGGATGGATAGGTGGGTGTGTGGATGGATGGGTGGATGGGTGGGTGTGTGGGCAGAAGGATGGATAGGTGGGTGTGTGGATGGATGGGTGGATGGGTGGGTGGATGGATGGATGGGTGTGGGTGGATGTGTGGATGGATGGGTGGGTGGGTGTGTGGATGGGCGGATGGGTGTGTGGATGGGTGGGTGAGTGGGTGGGTGGGTGTATGGGTAGATGGATAGGTGGGTATATGTGTGGATGAATGGAAGGTATGTGCAGATGGACAGATGGGTGGGTGTGCGGATGGATGGATGGGTGGATGGATGGATGGATGGGTGGGTGGGTGGATGGGTGGGTGGGTGTGTAGATGGATGGATGGGTGTGTGCATGGATGGATGGCTGTGTGGGTGGGTGGGTGAGTGGGTGAGTGGGTGTATGGATAGATGGATAGGTGGGTATATGTGTGGATGAATGGAAGGTATGTGCAGATGGACAGATGGGTGGGTGTGCGGATGGATGGATAGATGGGTGGATGGATGGGTGGGTGGGTGTGTGGATGGATGGATGGGTGTGTAGGTGGGTGGGTGAGTGGGTGAGTGGGTGTATGGATAGATGGATAGGTGGTTATATGTGTGGATGGATGGAAGGTGTGTGCAGGTGGACAGATGTGTGGATGGATGGATGGATGGGTGGGTGGGTAGGTGGGTAGTGGATCTGTGGCTGTTTAGAGAGAGGCAATCCTGTCTCAAGGAGTTTGTGAACTAAGCAGAGGAATCGAAGCAGCCCCTGAGGGCAGCAGAGGCCCCGAGGGTCCTGAACTCAGGGCGCTGACACTCGAGTCATGGCTTTCTGTTGCACAGCAGGATTCTTCAGTCGCTCTCACCACGCATTGACCACAGCTCCCCAGTGGGCTTAGCAGTTATTCAGAAGTTGCCAGTTTTGTCGCAGCCCCCCTCTGCGGCCACGTTGGCCTGGGAACAGGCGAACACAGTTGCTTCCTCAGCCCTGCTGAAGGGCGGTGGCGAGGGGCCGGGCAGAGTGAGGGAGCTGCCCCAGGACTGAGCCCCCATCGGGGGGCCATGGCCATCTGGATGCAAAGAGAGAGAGGGGAGAACAGGGGCTGCAGAGCAGCGTTTGTGTCCTGGAATGTCGGCCGTGAGCTGGTGCTGCCTGCACCACACCTGTGGTCCATGAGAGGTGGCACCAGGACCTGGGCTTCTGTAGAAGCTGGGGAGACAGATGGGCCACCTGCTAGCCGAAGGGAGGCTCCTAGGCCTGGTCCTGCAGGGCCTGCTGTAGGGGGATGGTGGCAGGATTGGGAGGCTGGGTCCCCTGTCTGAAGACAGCCCTATGGGGAGGGTCCCTTGCCCTTTCTGGATCACGAAGTGACATGTAGTCTCCCCCAGCTAAAATGAGCCAAACAGTTCAGACGCTCTGAGCACGTTGCTCCCAGTCTTAACCATTCAGTGAAGGAAAAAAGAACTGACGTCTTAGATAGTTTATGAATGGGAGTTGGAGCCTCCCCTGGAGCCGGGTGTCCTGAGAGCACATCGCCACAAGGGGGCATGGGACACACGGGCTGGCCAGAGTGGCCGGAGACCCACATGCCTGAGACTGGAATCAGGTGGTGGGTGGGTGTCCATGAGTGGGCTGGGTTGGGGGCATCACCCCAAACAGATGAATGGAACAAGTGTATCCCTCAGGACCACCGGAATCCAGGGTTTGCGTTTTTTGGCCGGGGTAGGGGGCAGGGAGTGAGATCTGGACGGTCAGGGGACATGGGTCCTACCCCCTACCACACCGAGACCCCCGTGCTTGGCTGGTGTGAATGAGTTGATGCAGGTGCTGTGTCCCTGTCTTGCCTCCCAGGTGTGGTACAGAGAGGACGTCAGCCACTCCAACCCCGAAGGGTCCTCCTGGTCCCTGCTGGACACCCCCGGGGAGGTGGTTCAGATCAGCTGTGGGCCCCACGACCTCCTGTGGGCCACACTCTGGGAGGGACAGGCCCTGGTCCGGGAAGGAATCAACAGGAGCAATCCCAAAGGTGGGCAGCCCGGCTCCCCCACCCACATACCCTGTACTGGGGAGAAGGGTGAGGGTCACTCGCTCCCCAGCTGTCCAGGCTGATGGGGGCCACTGGGGGTTTCTTGGGGGCCCGGTAGGAAGTTCCTGGTCCATCGTGGAGCCTCCTGGATCTGAAAACGGGGTCATGCACATCTCGGTGGGAGTCAGCGTGGTCTGGGCTGTCACCAAGGACTGGAAGGTAAGATGGGGATGAGGCTGGGGGATCACTTGAGCCCAGGAGTTGGAGACTGCAGTGAGCTGTGATCACACCACTGGACTCCAGCCTGGGTGACAGAGCGAGACCCTGTCTCAAATTAAAAAAAAAGAAAAACCCAGGCCGGGTGCAGTGGCTCACGTCTGTAATCCCAGCACATCGGGAGGCCTAGGTGGGCAGATTGCCTGAGGTCAGGAGTTCAAGACCAGCCTGGCCAACATGGTGAAACCTTGTTTCTACTAAAAATACAAAAAATTAGCTGGGCATGGTGGCGGGCACCTGTAATCCTAGCTACTTGGGAGGCAGGAGAATTGCTTGAACCTGGGAGGTGGAGGTTGCAGTGAGCCAAGATTGCACTATAGCACTCCAGCCTGGGCAACGAGAAAGACTCCGTCTCAAAAAAGAAAAACCCATTAGAACAAATCCGGCACCAGCTGAGCACCATGCATTGTTTGTTGCTGAAATTGTTGCCAATCTCCAGGACGTTTTGTGCCGTAAAATCCTCTTCCACCCACACGCTGGTACCCAAATGCAGCAACTGCAAGTATCACCTAATAGGCTGCAACATTTCGAAGAATCGGAAGCGAATTTCCTGAAGCCCTTGATTAACCAAGCGCCTCCCCATCCTCTAGTCACTGCTTGTCTTTTGCATCTTATCAGCGGCAAGTCCAATAAAACCAGCCGATTTCCGATTACTCACAGGGTTTTTCTTTTGTTTGTTTTTTTTGAGACGGAGTGTCGCTCTGTCACCCAGGCTGGAGTGCAGTGGCGCAATCTCTGCTCACTCCAAGCTCCGCCTCCCGGGTTCACGCCATTCTCCTGCCTCAGCCTCCCTCGTAGCGGGGCTACAGGCGCCCGCCACCACGCCCGGCTAATTTTTTGTATTTTTAGTAGAGATGGGGTATCACCGAGTTAGCCAGGATGGTCTCGATATCCTGACCTCATGATCCGCCCGCCTCAGCCTCCCAAAGTGCTGGGATTACAGGCATGAGCCACCGTGCCTGGCCAGTCACAGGGTTTTTCTAACTGCTTGTCAAGGGGGTTTCCCTGGCCCGGGGGATGGACGGCCCACACGTCTGCATCTGTATCTCCAGTGCTGAAGCTCTCAGAGTCTGAGGCCACTCCCAGCCCACAAAAATACAGACCAGACTGTCCCCCACATTGGATCCTGGTCACCCCACTTCCCAGAGACCACAACTTCCAAGCCCCTCTTACAGCCATGTGTCACTTTCTTTGGATTAAATGGGCAACATTGGATTTCTTTTTTTTATTTTTTAATTTGAGACAGAGTCTCGTTCCGTCACCCAGGCTGGAATGCCGTGGCCCGATCTCAGCTCACTGTAACCTCCACCTCCTGGATTCAAGCGATTCTCCTGCCATGGCCTCCCAAGTAGCTGGGGTTCCAAGCGTGTACCACCACACCTGACTAGTATTTGTAGTATTTTTTAGTAGAGGCAGGGTTTCACCATGTTGTTCAGGCTGGTCTCCAACTCCTGACCGCAGGTGATCCACCCGCCTCAGCCTCCCAAAGTGTTGGGATTACAGGTGTGAGCCACCGTGTCTGGCAGCATCTCAGGCATTCTAATAGCACAAGGTCTCCAGTAGGTCTGAGACTAACGGGGCCTCCCAGGCCACCATGGAGAATGTATAAGAAGAGCCCTGATGGAATGCCGGGTGGCGGGGTGGAGCATGACCAGCCGCTGAATCACAGAGCCACAGACAGTCTGGGAAAATCTAGTGGGAGTGTGTGTATTTTTACACGTCGACATGAAAATACTTCACTTTAAGTATTTCTTGAAGTACTAAGAATAGACCCAAAATAGGGGTCTTGTTTTTTCTAATAATGAGCTTTTTAAAAACTAGTTTTCCTAAATAACAGTATTAAGGCCGTTGTCTTTCACAGGGACCAACTCAATTCAAATAAAGTAGCCTTTTCCAAGCGTTAGGCTGGAGAATGGGCAGGAAGCTGCCAGGACACATGTGGCTGAGGCCAGAGGACCCTCAGCCCTCGTGGGACAGTGCCAGGCACAGGAGATGCGGTCAGGGTGTGGGAAGAGCGGCGTGGATCACGGATAAGGGCTTCCTCGCTAAATGATGTACCACTGCTCATTTGCGACGTGAACCAAAGGATCAAATTATTCACTTGTTCTCCCTGAGGCTTAAACGAACGAACCGTCTGTTTCAGTGGCCCTCCAGGAAGGCATGTTTATTTCTGACTCCCCCAGGTGTGGTTCCGAAGAGGCGTCAACTCTCACAATCCCTGCGGCACCAGTTGGATTGAGATGGTTGGTGAGATGACGATGGTGAACGTGGGAATGAACGACCAGGTGTGCACGTGGGTCTGCAGCCCCTAAACAGCAGGGGTCTCAGAATGGGGGCTCCTGATGCCACCCAATAGCCTAGTGGCCGCTTCCCACTGTAGGAGAGCCCCCCACTCCATTGTACTGAGCAAGAAGTTCTTTCTGAGGTGCCAGGCTTCCCTCTGCTGCCACACCCTCCTCCCACCCCCCCGGTGGCACAGCACCCAGAGGCCAGGGGGAGACAGGCACCTGCTAGTGCACAGGGGTGCTGAACCCAAGGCGAGCCTGCCAGGGCCAAGGGACAGAGACGCCACAGCCTACCTAGCCAGGCCACCTAGGCCCTTTAGCAAACCTTACTTCTTGCCCAAAGGCAGAGAGTAGGATGCCTACCCAGAAACCTTTTCCATGGAAAGTGAGGTCAGAATCAGGGAAGTTACTTTACATCTTAAAAAAAAAACACCACGGCCAGGTGTGGTGGCTCACACTTGTAAATCCCAGCACTTTAGGAGGCTAAGGTGGGAGGACCACTTGAGCCTAGGAGTTTGAGACCAGCCTGGGCAATATAGTGAGACCCCATCTCTACAAAAATTTAAAAATTAGCCAAGTGTGGTGGTGTGCACCTGTAGTCCCATCTACTCAGGAGGCCAAGGCAGGAGGATTGCCTGAGCCCAGGAGGTCAAGGCTGTAATGAGCCATGCATGATTGCACCACCGCACTCCAGCCTGGGTGACAGAGTGAGATCCTATCTCTAAAAAAAACCAAAAACATTCCGGGCACAGTGGCTCACGCCTGTAATCCCAGCACTTTGGGAGGGTGAAGTGGGTGGATCGCCTGAGGTCAGGAGTTTGAGACCAGCCTGGCCAACACAGTGAAACCTTGTGTCTACTAAAAATACAAAAATTAGCTGGGCGTGGTAGCACGTGACTGTAATCCCAGCCACTCTGGAGGCTAAGGCAGGAGAATCGGTTGAAGCTGGGAGGCGGAGGTTGCAGTGAGCCGAAATCACGCCACTGCACTCCAGCCTGGGTGACAGAGCAAGACTCCATCTCAAAAACAAAACAAAACAAAACAAAACTTAGCTGGGTGTGGTGATGGGAGCCTGTAATCCCAGCTACTTGGGAGGCTGAGGTAGGAGAATCACTTGAGCCCTGGAGGCGGAGGTTTCAGTGAGCCAAGACTGCGTCATTGCACTCCAGCCTGGGTGACAGAGCAAGACTCTGTCTCAACAACAAAAAACAAAGACAACAAAACCAGGACCACCTCTGGGTTCACTGGGGGCATCTGCTTCCCACCAGAGGGCACACGCAAGACAGGGAGGCAGGTGAACCTCATTTCCTAACACAGCGTCCCCCAGCCCCGCCACTTCCCGTGGACCTTGTCACCTTGAAACCCTGGGTCTGCCTGAGGTCAGGGAGACGGGACCAGGTCGCAGCTTCTCCTGAGCCCCCTTCCAGTATTTGACTTCTGTGCCCACCACACAGCCCCAGCATGGACCTTCCCAGCCCACACACACCTGCACATGGAGGACCCTGCCTGCATTTTGCACCCCTAGGAAGCGAGAAGAGCCCCCGGGCCTGCGCCCAGATTCCTCGGAACACAGCCTCTCTCTTCCAGGTGTGGGGCATTGGCTGTGAGGACCGAGCCGTGTACTTCCGGCAGGGTGTCACCCCCAGCGAGCTCAGTGGGAAGACCTGGAAAGCCATCATCGCGGCCCGAGAGTGTGACCGGTCACACTCTGGCAGCTCGTCTAGTCTCCTCAGGTGACTGGGGGTGGCAGGGTGCGCAGGAGTCAGGCTGGGATGGGCCGTCTGAGCCTAGGTGGTCATGTCCAGAAGAGGCTGCCACCTGCCCCACTGGGTCCCAGGACTTGTCCCAGGCAGGAGAAAATGGGTCTCCACTCACAAAAGCCACAAGAGCCGAAGCCCTCCTGCCTCGGTCCCACAGAGAGGAGGTCCTGGGGGCAGCCTGGGGTGGCCACTGGAGGTGTTTGACATACTCTGGGCTGCTGGTGGCGGCACCTGGGAGCAGGGTAAGGCTGGGCTGTCGTGATGGAGGTAAGGCTCGACCCTGAGCTGGGTTGTCCCATTGGGTCCGAGGCTGAAGATCTGGGGCAGAAACAGTTTCTCTGGGGTGGAAGTAAAGGCCCTTCTGTCCAGGGGAAACAAGGACAAGACAGAGGGTCTCTGCCCAGCCTGCAGCAGTGGTCTCAGACTCAGGCATCGGGGTCTCCTGGAGGGTTTGTTCAGACTTTGATCTCCGGGTCTTACCCCGAGTTTGTTTGAGACTTGGTATTTCTCACCAGCCCCCAGGTGATGCTGCTGCAGTTTTGGGGCTGCACCTGGTGGTCCGTGGGTCTAAAGAGCATGGACAAGCCCCAGCTCTGCCCACCAGCCGTGAGAGCACAGGCAGGCGACTCAGTGGATGAGCTGGGGACATCTCAGCTCTGCAGCGGGCGTGTCCACATCATGGGCATGGATGGAGATGGCGCTCAGGGCCCAGGCTCTGCAGCCGTCCACGTTTCCACCTATAGCTGTGACCCTCCCTAGCCCCTGGTCCACACCCCTCTGTGCCCTGAGCCTGGTGGTTGCCACCCTGCCGTGCTGTCAGCCCAGAGGCCCAGGGAGGACAGCCAGGGCAGGCGTTTGCTCATGTGTCACCTGAGGGTTTAGTCTGCTCAGATGGTGTTTTTTTTTTTTTTTTTTTTTTTTGAGACAGTCTCACTCTGTCATCCAGGCTGGAGTGCAGTGGTGTGATCATGGCTCACTGCAGCCTCAAACTCCTGGGCCCAAGTGATCCTCCCACCCCAGCCTCCCAAGTAGCTGGGATTACAGATGTTCACCACCACACCTGGCTAATTCTTGTATTTTTAGTAGAGACAGGGTTTCCCCATGTTGGCTAGGCTTGAACTCCTAACCTCAAGTGACCCTCCCACCTCTGTCTCCCAAAGTGTTGGGATTACAGGCGTGAGCCACCACACCCCGCCAGCTGGTAGTTCTTTTTTTTTTTTTTTTTAGACGGAGTCTCACTCTGTCGCCCAGGCTGGAGTGCCACGGCGCGATCTTGGCTCACTGCAAGCTCCACCTCCAGGGTTCACGCCATTCTCCTACCTCAGCCTCCCGAGTAGCTGGGACTACAGGCACCCGCCACCACACCTGGCTAATTTTTTGTATTTTTAGTAGAGATCAGGTTTCACCGTGTTAGCCAGGATGGTCTCGATCTCCTGACCTTGTGATCCTCCCGCCTTGGCCTCCCAAAGTGCTGAGATTACAGGCGTGAGCCACTGCGCCTGGCCCCAGCTGTTAGTTCTTAAACTGGAAAGCACATTAGAATCAGCTGAGAAGCTTCAAAAACTACAGATGCCAAATCTTTATAACTTTGAGGTTAGCGATAGCTTCTTAGATATGACACCAAAAGCACAGGCAATGAGGAAATACAGATAAATTGGACTTCATCAGAATTAAAAACTTTTGTGAATCAAAAGGACATTATCAAGAGAGTGAAAAGTCAGTGGAAGAAAGGCAAGGCTGGGTGCGGTAGCTCACACCTGCAGTCCCAGCACTTCAGGAGGCCAAAGTGGGTGGATCGCTTAAGCCCAGGAGTTCAAGGTCAGCCTGGACAACATAGTGAGACCCCATCTCTACAAGAATTTTTTAAAAAATTATCTGGGTGCTGTGGCATGGGCCTGTAGTCCTAGCTACTTACAAGGCAGAGGTGGGAGGATCACATGAGCCCAGGAGGTCGAGGCTGCAGTGAGCTATGATCACGTCACTACACTCCAGCCTGGGCAACAGAG
The DNA here is from genome assembly GCF_000001405.40 of Homo sapiens. Lineage (NCBI taxonomy): Eukaryota > Metazoa > Chordata > Mammalia > Primates > Hominidae > Homo > Homo sapiens. Next base: position 98,234,742 of record NC_000007.14, on the reverse strand, counting down.
AAAGACTCTATCTCAAAAAAAAAAAAAAAAAAAAAAAGACAATAACAAATGCTAGTGAGAACATGGAGAAATTGGAACTTCATACACTGCTGGTAGGAATGTGAAATGGTACAGCCACTGTGGAGAACAATTTAGCAATTCCTCAAGACATGAAACCCAGAACTGCCATGTGAGCCAGCACATCCACTGCTGGGTGTATATCCAAGAGGCTTGAAAACGCGTTTTAGTCCATTTTGTGTTGCTATAAGGGAATCCTGAAGCTGGTCTTTTATAAAGAAAAGAGGTTTATGATCGGGCGCGGTGGCTCACGCCTGTAATCCCAGCACTTTGGGAGGCTGAGCCCAGCGAATCACTTGAGGTCAGGAGTTCAAGACCAGCCTGCCAACATGGTGAAACCCCGTCTCTACTAAAAATACAAAAATTAGCCAGGCGTGGTGGTGCATGCCTGTAATCTCTCAGCTACTCGGGAGGCTGAGGCAGGAGAATCGCTTGAACCTGGGAGGCGGAGGTTGCAGTGAGCTGAGATTGTGCCCCTGCACCCCAGCCTGGATGACAGTGAGACTCCGTCTCAAAAAAAGAAGAAATACTAATTCTAGATCTTCACTCTCAGATATGTGGATGTGATTGGTCTGCAGGGTGGCCCAGGTGTCAGCTCCCTGGAAGCAGGTGCTGATGTATACCTTGCACAGAGGAAGAGACAGGAGTTCAGAGAGGTTCTGACTTGCCCAAGTTTCCACAGGCAGTCATGGTGGAGCACGCTGGAGCTGGGCCTGCCTGACAGCGCCTGTTCCCCTGCAAGGGAGTGATGGGTCTGCCCTGATTTGTCCCCAGTGCCGGCTGCTTCTTCGGTGATGAGGTGAGGGGTAGTGGCGAGTCTGCCCCCAGCGACACCGATGCCTCCTCGGAAGTCGAGAGACCAGGGCCTGGCCAGATTCTCCCTGCAGAACCTCTAGACGATTCCAAGAATGCCACAGGGAACTCAGCCTCAGGCCTGGGGGCTGGCAGGACCGCAGAAGATACCGTGGAAGATGCCTGCCCAGCCGAGGGCAGCAGGGAGGCCAGACCCAACACGCACCCCGGCCCGGCCCCCACCCCGGCCGAGCTGCCCTGGACCAATATTGACCTCAAGGAGGCCAAGAAAGTGCCCAGCCACTCGGCCGCTGGCTTCCCCGAGACCACCAGCCTCTCCTCTCTGGGGCTCCTCCCACTGGGCTTGGAGGAGCCGTATGGGGTGGATGACCACCCGCTGTGGGCCTGGGTGTCGGGAGGCGGCTGCGTGGTGGAGGCATGTGCCATGCCCAGATGGTTCACTGTCCAGGCGGGTAAGGGCTCCTGCAGGGCCTGGGGGCATCCACATGGCCAGGTGCCCTGGGGGTGTGGGGTGTGGGAGGAGGCCGGGGTCAGGGGGCTCGGGCAGGCCTGCTGTCCTCCCTGGACGCCTCACTGTGCTCAGCAGCTCTGAGCCAGGCATTGCGCTCCTCTGTGGCCTCCAGAGACCAGCCCGAGGCTGTCAGGACCTGGAAGCACGGTGGCCAGTGCCCCTTCCCCTGTCTGCAGCCCCTCCCCTGTGCTAGCGGTGGTGGCTGCTTTCCAGGCTGAATTACTGGGGGAGAGCAACTCATCCAACAGGGCAAAGGGTGGAAGGAGGCTTAACAGAGAGCGTAGCTTTTGAGCTAGAAAGGGCTGATTTGGTGGAGGGGAGCGCCGTGGCTTCCTGCCCAGCTGCGGGCAGGACAGTGCCCCGGCCCTGAGGCTCTCTCTGCCCCACAGGCCTGTCCTCCTCGGTACACATGCTGTCCCTGTCCATCACGCCGGCCCAGACCGCTGCCTGGAGGAAGCAGATCTTCCAGCAGCTCACGGAAAGGACCAAGCGGGAGCTGGAGAACTTCAGACACTACGAGCAGGCCGTGGAGCAGGTGGGTGCCCCGGTGGCTGCGCATGCATTTTTTTTTTTTTTCCAGCAATCATTCATTGAGCGCCTGCTGTGTACCAGCTCTGAGAGAAACAGATAGATGCCTCCATCCCCTGGTCTCCCGCCCAGATGCAGGCATAGAGAAATGAGCTCAGGGTTTCTTCGTCCATCCTGAAGACTTTGGTTTGGGCCTCACTGTGTTCCAGACTCGTTGGAGGCCCTGGGGACCCAGAGACGGCAGCAACCTCAGAGGGTGGTGGGTGGGGAAGGGAGGGTGGCCAGGGAGGGGAACCACGTCATCCTCTTCCTGCTGGAGGGAACCCCGGGCGCCCAGGGGTGTAGCGTGTGATTGCAAGGAGTTAGCACAGAGGGCGGCCGGAGACCCCACCCCTGGGCTGACCCTGCTTCTGCCCCACTATCCTGTGGCAGAGCCCGGCCCTCAGAGGTCAAGTGTGGGGGTGACAGGGAAGTCACACAGAGCATGTGACCTGCCTCATTCCAAAGGCCCCTGGACACAAGTAGGCTGTGGTTTGGGTTCTAGCTCTGCCGCTGGCTCACTCTGTGACACCAAAGCCAGGCACGGAACCCTCCCGAGCCTGTCTCCCCATGCAGAAGGCGGGATGGCAGTGCCCACTCTGGCTGTTTGAGAGAGAGGAGGTTGTACGGAACAGCCCTGGCTCAGCCTGCACCTATTGGGTGTCCGGCAGCGTCACTGTTATCATTAGCATAGGGGGAGCTGGGCTGACAGCCGGGAGTGCTGGGTGGGCCCTACCCCAGCCCTGCCTCCTCCTCTGGGCACCCCCAGCCCCGCCCTCCTCCCCTGGCACCCCGGGCCTGCCTGTGATGGTGTCCACTGCCCCGGCCTGCGCAGTCGGTGTGGGTGAAGACCGGGGCGCTGCAGTGGTGGTGCGACTGGAAGCCCCACAAGTGGGTGGACGTGCGCTTGGCCCTGGAGCAGTTCACGGGGCACGACGGCGTCCGGGACAGCATCCTCTTCATCTACTATGTGGTCCACGAGGAGAAGAAGGTGCCCACGGGTCCCACAGGAGATGGGGCCAGGGAGGGGACACAGGGCTGGGGTGCTAGAGGAGGGGTACAGAAATGGGGGTGCCCAGGGGAGGGGTACAGAAATGAGGGTGCCCAGGGAGGGACACAGAAATGAGGGTACCCAGGGGAGGGGTACAGAAATGGGGGTGCCCGGGGAAGGGGGTACAGAAATGGGGGTGCCCCAGGAGAGGGAGTACAGAAATGGGGGTGCCCAGGGGAGGGGGTACAGAAATGGGGGTGCCTGGGGAGGGGGTAAAGAAATGAAGTACCAAGGGAGGGGGCAGGGCTGGGGGTGCCAGGAGAGAGGGTGTCCGAGGGCCAGGGTCCCAGGGTGAAGCACAGTGGGGGTCACCCTCCAGAGGCCTCCTGCCCTGGGTGACAGCCCTGCCGGGCGCCTGTTCTGTGAACAGTACATCCACATATTCCTGAATGAGGTGGTGGCGCTGGTCCCAGTGCTGAACGAGACCAAGCACTCCTTTGCCCTGTACACCCCTGAGCGGACACGGCAGAGGTGGCCGGTGCGTCTGGCTGCTGCCACCGAGCAGGACATGAATGACTGGGTGAGTGGTCGGTGGTCCCCTCGGGCCGGGGGGAGGGATAGCCATGGTGGGGTGGCCTGGCCTGGCCTGGCCTGCTCAGCAGTGACCGGCATTGTGCCACACCAGCTCGCCCTGCTCAGCCTGTCTTGCTGCGAGAGCCGGAAGGTGCAGGGCCGCCCGTCCCCGCAGGCCATCTGGTCCATCACCTGCAAGGGGGACATCTTCGTGAGCGAGCCCAGCCCAGACCTGGAGGCCCACGAGCACCCCCTGCCCTGCGACCAGATGTGAGTGAGCCGCACTCTGGGTGGGGTCTGGGGCCTGGCCTCACCCCGAGCTCGTGGTTACAGAAGGGGGATCCAGAGGACTGGAGTCCACGCAGGGTCAAGCTTCTCGCTGACCAGGCAGAGGCACGGCCACTGGTTCCCAGGCCCCCAAGTCCCCCTGGGCCTGTCCAAAGACTCCAAGAGGGGGAACCAGAAGCCCCACTGGGCCCAGGGTGGGTCAGTGCCGCCCAGCAGCCTCTGAGCATCGGGAGGAATGTGGAGTGTGGGTGAGGGGCACAATTCTCCACCCCAGGGGGCTTCCAGGCTGTAGCAAAGCAGCCACGTCTCTCCACCTGCCCAGGGCACAGACCCGGTGCTCAGCCGCCTCCAGCTCCAGCTGAGCCCCTGCTGCATGGGCGGCCCGGGGCCTGGGGGCAGAGAGGAGAGAGCCGCTGTGGGAGGAGAGTTTGGGGGCGTGGTCAAGGCAGAGTTGGTAGGGTTTGAAGTCCAGCAGGAGTGGGCAGAGAGAGGACTTGACGTTTGGCACTGGGAAATGCTGGTGGAGACTGGACCTGGGGGACGTGGGGTAGCCAGGCTGGAGTGGGGTGAGGGCAGGGCTGGGCGCACAAGCCTAGGAGACATTGTTCTGTTGGGGACATTGAGAGCCACAAGGTGGGGCTAGGCAGGTTGGCTCACGCCTGCAATCTCATCACTCTGGGAGGCTGAGGTAGGAGGATCACTTGAGGTCAGAAGTTCAAGACCAGCCTGGGCAACATAGCTAGACTCGTCTCTACAAAAAAAAAAAGAAACCAAAAAAGTTAGCAAGGCATGGTGTCATGCACTTGTAGTTCCAGCTGCTCGGAGGGCTGAGGTGGGAAGATCACTTGAGCCCAGGAGTTCAAGGCTGCAGTGAGGTGTGATCACACTCACACCACGGCACTCCAGCCTGGGCAACACAGCGAGACCCTGTCTCAGAAAAAAAAAAAAAAGCCACAAAGGGGGAATGAGGTTCCCTGGGGGGGGGATCTGAGCTGAGTCCTGAGGACAAGGGCCCGGCAGGGGACATGGGGGCTATGATTCTGTCCCCTGTGGGACAGAGGCTGCCCTGGGGTTGTTCCCAAGCCGACGAGGTCCTGGGCTTCATTACCCGTGGGCACTGGGGCTGGGGACATAGTGAGCCAGAAGCCCTGGCTGCAGGAGGGGACAGCAATATCCTGTCAGAGGATTCAGACCGCCTCTGGTGACAGTGACAGTGACAGGGCCTCGGCCGCAGGAGGCTGTGACCTGCACCAGCCGCAGCCTGCACTCTGCCCACCCAGGAGGCCATGCTGTGCTGGCACCGCCTCCCGCTGACACCCTGGAAGCCCAAGGGCCGTGCTGTCACTCATGCAGAGGATTAGATGTCATGTCCGGCTCTGCTCTGTGACATTCAAGCCTGGCTGCACCTGCCACTGTGGCCAGCCCATTTCCCCAGGTCCCAGACCCCAAGGGGCCCCTGTGAAACACGCCGCTGGCCTCATCTCCCTCCATGTCACCATGGGGCTGAAGTGGGTGGGTTCCAGAAGACTCCCAGCCCATGGAGAGGGTCTGACCTGCACAGCCCCAGTGCCGAGACCCTGCACCTCTCGTGGGCTGAGTCTTTTTAGCGTTGATTAATATGAACGCGGAGGTCAGGCAGGGTGGATGGTCTGTGCTTGGAGACCGAGGGCTGGGAAAATCCCAGAACCACAGGAGGACACGGAACAAAAGGGCAGCCAGGCAGGGTTGGAAGGTGGGGTCTGAGGGGTTTCCACCTGCCCTCTCCCATCCTTCCAGGTTTTGGCGGCAGATGGGAGGCCACCTGCGGATGGTGGAGGCCAACAGCCGGGGCGTGGTGTGGGGCATCGGCTATGACCACACGGCCTGGGTATACACAGGCGGCTATGGAGGCGGCTGCTTCCAAGGTGAGGGCGGCCCACAGCCCCCCCGGAGCCTTCCTGGGCGTTCTTTCCTCTAGTCCCCGTCTGGGTTCCCTGCCCAAGGCCAGGGCCATTGTCCCAGTGTTCACACTCGGCTAACAGCTGGCTGACAGGTGACCTTCACCACTGCCAGCCTCCACCCAGGATGGTCCCTGCCAGTACCCACTTCGAGCTGAGGGCCTCGAAGGTTCCAGAGAGGCAGCGGCCAGGGTCCACCAGCATGTCCAGCCTCTCATTTTCAGGGTGTTAGGTGGGTTCCTCCTTCAGGGTAGGCACTCGCTGAACTTCTGTGGCCCCCCGATTTCTAGGAGCCAGGGTCCCTCTGTTCCTACTGGAAAACGAAGGCGGAAACAGACACTGAAACGGGGCGTTCCAGGCCGCAGCCCACATGCCCCACGGGGGAGCAGCTAACCCCAGAGAACTGTGGTCCCCTGATACCCCAGGAACGCATATCTGAGCAGGCTTTCCAGCTTCCCTGTGTGTGAGGCAGGAATGACCTCTGTCTTCATTTTACAAGTGAGGAAGCCGGGGCTCACGGAGGTTACGTTGATGGTCCCAGGTGCCTTTGTAACACAGAGTGAGCTGGGTGGGCCTCATGCCTCCCTGGTGCTAAGTAGGAGGGCAAGGTGGGAAGAGGCGCTGGAGGGGTGTGGATGGGAGATTTAATGCACAGCAGGCTGTGCTCATCGAGGTTGCACAATCCCAGAATAATCACGGTCCCGGAGGAGAAAACCCAAGCCAGGCCGACCCCCGTGCGATAAGCTCAACAGGACTGTTTGCTCCTCTCCGCTGACCTGGCTCCAGCCCGCCCTCCCCGTCTCTCTGGGAATCTGTGCTTCAGACGGAAAGCCAGAGTCCCAAGCGGAGCGTATGTGGCCTCGGTCCCAGCAGCCACCTCTCCCCACAGGCCTGGCCAGCAGCACCAGTAACATCTACACGCAGTCAGACGTGAAGTGTGTTCACATCTATGAGAACCAGCGCTGGAACCCCGTCACAGGCTACACCAGCAGGTAAGTGGCACAGGTGCCCGGCCAGGATGCTGCCTGGCATAGGCCTTAGTCCTGGCAAAAATAGGACAGCAACATCCACCGTAGCGTGGAGTCCAGTAGAGCCTGGTGTCAGGCCGCCAGCAGGAAACTAACCGGATCTTACCGCTCACTGAGATTTTTTTCCTTGAATCTTTTTTTTTTTTTTTTTTTTTTGATACAGGGTCTTGCTCTGTCACCCAGGCTGGAGTGCCATGGCATGATCTCAGCTTACTGCAACCTCCGCCTCCTGGGTTCAAGCAATTCTCCTGCCTCAGCCTCCCGAATAGCTGGGATTACAGGCGCCTGGCACCACTCCTGGCAAATTTTTTGTATTGTTAGTAGAGACAGGGTTTTACCATGTTGGCCAGACTGGTCTTGAACTCTTGACCTCAAGTAATCTGCCCACCTTAGCCTCCCAAAGTGCTGGGGTTACAGGCATGAGCCACCACGCCCGGTCAGAAGTCTCTAACTGTATTGACAAAGTTTCTACCTCCAAGAAATGTATGTAATTCCTTCTTAATAAGATTCTGTTCCTGATTCAAGCACCAGAGATAGAAGAAAGAGAGGTTTGTACTTTTGTTTTCTTTTTCTTTTTTTTTTTTTTGAGACCGAGTCTCGCCCTGTCGCCCAGGCTGGAGTGCAGTGGCGCGATCTTGGCTCACTGCAACCTCTGCCTCCCAGGTTCAAGCTATTCTCCTGCCTCAGCCTAACAAGTAGCTGGGATTACAGGCGCGCTCCACCACGACTAGCTAATTTTCGTATTTTTAGTAGAGACGGGGTTTCACCATGTTGGTCCGACTGGTCTTGAATTCCTGACCTCATGATCCGCCTGCCTCGGCCTCCCAAAGTGCTGGGATTACAGGTGCGAGCCACCACACCTGACCTGTAGTTTTCTATACTGGAGCTTTGACATCTTTTATTAGACGGTATTTCATATTTTTGGACAGTATTATAAGTGGCATATTCAAAGTTTTAAATTTTTTTTTTAACTTTTTGAGGCTGTCTAAAGAAATGCAATTGATTTCCTCTCCTGCTTTTCTTTGTTTTTTTTGTTTTGTTTTTTGAGACACAGTCTCACTCTGTCGCCCAGGCTGGAGTGCAGTGGTGCGATCTTGGCTCACTGCAGCCTTTGCCTTCTGGGTTCAAGCGATTCTCCTACCTGAGCCTCCCGAGTAGTTGGGATTACAGGCATGCACCACCATACCTGGCTATTTTTGTATTTTTAGTAGAGACAGGATTTCACCATGTTGGTGAGGCTGGTCTCCAACTCCTGAACTCCCGAAGCCCGCCTCAGCCTCCCAAAGTGTTGAGATTACAGGCATCATCAGGCGAGAGCCACTGCGCCCGGCCTCCACTTCTGCCTTTTCCAAATTGACGAAATAAACACTTAGTAATAGAAACAACAAACTCTCTGACAACTCTAATCTCACCAGCCAAAGACAGCAACTGCAATTAGCATGTGGGGTGTGGCCTTCCAGCCATACTGTGTGTCCGTGTTGGGGGCAGACAAGGCCAGGCACAGGGAGGTGGCTCCATGACCTCACCGTTCTGTACCCAGAGTGGACCCAGTGTATCTGACTTTACTCAGCCTTGGACGTCTCAACCATATGTGACCTTTTCAGCGTCCTATGGAACCATTTAAAGGATGTCCCTGTGTGTAAATATTTGTGTGTCTGTGTGTTTACCCCAGTAAATCAGGGGATTTGAGATTTTCTAAGGCGGTTGGCACACATCGCCAAAATATTTCCATCCTGAAAACCTCCGCCTCAGCTGTGGGCAGTGTCCACACAGCCTGGCAGCACACTTGGATCTCCACTCCCTCCTCACGTCCTCCTCAGTTCCGACGGAGGACAGGGCAGGGCAGGGCAGGGCTGCGCACCCACATCTGTCTCAGAGAGGCCTGAAAGGGCCACAGCTGGTCAACACAAATGCGTGCCCCAGCTGCGTTCTCCAGGCATCTCAGCCTCAGCCGTCCCCAGAACTGCCCTATGTGCTGCTTCCTGCCACTCGAGTGTCCTGTGGTGGTACTAACAAAGTACCACAGACCACATGGTTTGAACAAGAGAAATGTGGCCACGTGTGGGGATTCACGCCTGTAATCCCAGTGCTTTACAAGGCGAGATCAGCCTGGGCAACAAAGCAAGACTCCATCTCTACAGGACACTTAAAAATAAATTAGCCAGGTATGGTGGCATGTGTCTGTGGTCCCAGCTACTCAGGAGGCTGAGTTGGGAGGATCAATTGAGCCCAGGAATTCGAGGCTGCAGTGAGCTATGATCATACCCCTGCACTCCAGCCTGGGTGACAGAGCGACAGCCTGTCTCTGAAAAGAAAGAAAGAAAAGAGAACGAGTGAGCAAGAGAGAAAGGGAAAGAAAGAGAGAAAGAAAGTCTTTTCCCCTCTATGCATGTGTCTGTGTCCAAATTTTCCCCCCTCCCCCCGCCTTTTTTTTTTGAGACGAAGTCTTGCTCTGTCGCCAGGCTGGAGTGCAGTGGCGTAGTGGCACGATCTCCGCTCACTGCAACCTCCGCCTCCCGGGTTCAAGCGATTCCCCTGCCTCAGCCTCCTGAGTAGCTGGGACTACAGGCATCCGCCACCACACCTGGCTAATTTTTTGTATTTTAGTAGAGATGGGGTTTCACCATGTTGGCCAGGATGGTCTCGAACTCCTGACCTCAGGTGATCTGCCCGCGTCAGCCTCCCAAAGTGCTGGGATTACAGGCGTCAGCCACTGTGCCCAGCAGGCTGTCACCTCTTAGGAGTGCGAGTGCCTGGAGGTGGCTGGCTCTGAGACTGGAGCTCGGTGCTTCCCTGTGGGGTGTTATGGGGGTGTCTGAGTGAGCCAGTTCATTCCCCAGTCTCCCTCGTCACCTGCCCTGTTGTCCTGCCGCAGGGGTCTGCCCACGGACCGGTACATGTGGAGCGATGCCTCGGGGCTGCAGGAGTGCACGAAGGCTGGCACGAAGCCCCCGTCCCTGCAGTGGGCCTGGGTGAGGTCCCGCTGCCCCCTGGGGGGTTGGGAATCCGCCCTCCCACCCCTCCTTGCCCCTCCTCGAGTGTTCTGACTGCCTTCTGGATTCGGGGGGTCCCATCCTCACTGACCCACTCCTCCCAGGTTTCCGACTGGTTCGTGGATTTCAGCGTTCCGGGGGGCACGGACCAGGAGGGGTGGCAGTATGCCAGCGACTTCCCTGCGTAAGCCTCTCCCTGCACAGGGCCTTCGGGCTGGGTCCTGAATGTCAGGGCCCTGGAGTGTGTGGCCTCTGGCCTCACTGCTCTTCCAGGCTGAACCCTGCCCCCTAGGCCTGGCCAAGGAGCAGACCCCTGGTGCCAGCCCTGCTACTGGAGGGGGAGGAGCCAGCAGAGAGGCCAGGAGGGGCCCAGGGGAGTGCTCCCTGCACACGTGGCACCCCTGGCCTCCATGTGTGGCACGGGTAGGAGCACCATGGCTCCCCCACGCCACGTTCATCCCTGCTGTGCCAGGCACGGGCTCTGGGAGGGTCAGATGGTGGCACCCAGGGCACCAGACTGAGGGGCTTGAGGAGGGCGAGTGGCCTCTACAGCCTTAGCAGGGTGAGCTCTGGGGGGCTTTGAGCCAGGCCCTTAGTGTTGAGGGACCCAACACGAGATGTTAGGTGAAGGGGCAGTGTGAGCCCCTCGGAGAGATGCAGTGGCTGTCACGAGGCCCTGGACCCTGGCGGTGCAGGTGCACGGCGTGGGCAGGCCCTTCACGGCACAGTCTCAGCCTGTTGGAAGATGGAGCCAGGACAGCCTGAGCTGGGGCCCAGAGCCAGGTGGCTTCTGAGCAGACCAGGACCGTCCCCTCGGCCACAGCCAGGCCTCCTGGACCACCCTCCGCTCAGCCTCGGGCCTCATCCTGACCGAGGGCTCTTGCTCCCCAAAAGGGCTCTGATGGGGCCTGGGGAGGGGAGGGCTGAGTCCCCTTAGCCTGACCCCTGACAAGTGACTGCTCCGCTCCAGCCCCAGGGAGGCCCGACCCCCTTCCCCAGGGAGACCCCTGCCCCTGGGAGGCCCCAACCCCCAGGAGGCCCTCCCTGCAGGTCCCCAGGGCTGCACTCAACCCTGATCCTGCCGGGGCAGCCAGGAAGCGCCTCCTGAGAGCCGCGCGTGGTGACACCTCCTTCTCTGAACCCCATCCATGGCTTCCACCCAGTCCCCATGCCCTGTAACGGGTAGAACAAGAATGTTTACATGCACGGTCCCTTTCCAGAAACTTCCACGAAGTGGCCCTGATTTCATCTTCTTCCTCCTTGCAGCTCATACCATGGGTCCAAAACGATGAAGGATTTTGTGAGGAGGAGGTGCTGGGCCAGGTGAGGCAGGGCTGCAGGGTGACTGTCACGGTCAGGCTCCTGGAGGAGCCACCCTTGAGGGAGCTCTGGTTCCCTGCACCCCGGGCCAGATCTCCTGGCCTCTGACCTCAGTCCCAAGGGAAGAAGCAGTGGGGAGTAGGGTGAAGAGGGAAGCCGAATCTGAGTAAATGTCAGCCCAGGAAATGCCCGCAGGCTCCCGGTGCTCTCTGGTTTCAGAATAGTTTGTTTTCATGAACAAATAAGAGAAATGTCACTGGCACACTCCACCTGTGAGCGGGACAGAGAACGGGGCCTGGCTGGGGCTGGGGGTGGGGGTGGGGGCCTGGCTGGGCCTGGATGGGGGTGGGGGTGGGGAGGAGGCCACCTCTGGGCCCCTCTTTCTACCCGCCCCGGGGTTGGCTGCTTTCCTCCTCCTGGCTCCAGAGGCAGAGGCCCTGGAGCCTGGTGGTCACCTTGGGGTCCCTGGGCTGTGTCCCCTCTCCACTGTACAGAAAATGCAAGCTGGTGACCAGTGGGCCCTGGCTGGAGGTGCCCCCCATCGCCCTCAGGGACGTGTCCATCATCCCGGAGAGCCCGGGTGCCGAGGGGAGTGGGCACAGCATCGCCCTCTGGGCCGTCAGCGACAAGGGGGATGTGCTGTGCCGCCTGGGCGTGTCGGAGCTCAACCCTGCGGTGAGTGCCGGGGCCAGACAGATTCTTCTTGAAATGAGACCTTTGCTCTGGAGTCCGGCAGGGCTCAGACCCTGCTCAGGACAAGCCCCTAGGACCAGTGGACACTGCCTGTGGTCCGAGTGGGTCCCTGTGCCCTGGGGCAGTTGGCCCAGGAATGAGGCGGGTGGGGCGGGGGTGACAGAGGTGGGCCAAGGGGACACTGCGGCTCTTTGGCACCCAGTCCTTGGTGGTCAGCACCCCGGTGAGGTGCACACGCCCACGGGGGCGCTTTCCCTGCTCGCAGGAGGATGAGATGCGCCCAGGATTTCAACAAGCACCGAGATCAGGCCGGGTGGGGCTGTGTGACTCCCGGCTGTCCCCCAGCCACCTATGCTGCCCACGCGCTAGGCCCATTTCTGCTGGTCCTGGAGGTGGGGCCCTGGGGGTGGGGGCCCTGGTGACCTCAGCGCCCCTCCTTGCTATCCCCAGGGCTCCTCCTGGCTGCACGTTGGCACCGACCAGCCCTTCGCCTCCATCTCCATCGGGGCCTGCTACCAGGTGTGGGCCGTGGCAAGGGACGGCTCCGCCTTCTACCGGGGATCCGTGTACCCCTCGCAGCCAGCCGGTGAGTGCCGCGCCCCAGGAGCCCCTGCAGTGTTCACCTTCCGTCCAAGCTGATGTTTGCTGAACATCCCCTCTGGGCCAGGGTCCCCCAGAAGCTGGGACTTCCCCCAGAAGTGGGAGTCCCCCTCCCACTGGGACTGACTGGGAGGTGGTCACCCTGGTAATGGGGCAGCTGGAGCCAGGCCTGCCTGGCCCTTCCTGGGGTGGCCCCTGTGTCTCGGCCCTGCAGGGTCCACTCCACAGTGACCAATCTGGTGGCTGCCCGGGAGGACGGGCTGTGCTGGCTTGTTCTTCTCCAGATGTCCAGTGTCCAACACGGGGACGCTGGTACTCAGCTGCCCTCTGCACAGGGATGGGTTAGCAGGGCAGCCCCTGAGGCTGGGTCTCCACCATGAGCTGCACAGGAAGCCTTTGTGTTGCGCTGGCAAGATGAGTCCATCGGAGCCCGCCATGGCTTCCAGAGACCCCAGGCACAGTGCTGGGTGGACGGCAGGGCACGTGTCAGCTCTGTGTGGCACACAGCTGACACCAGGCTACACATCCGAGAGGCAGCTGGGGACCGAGGCCCACAGCCCCACCTGGCCCATGCAAGGAGGAGAAGGCAGCGTGCCTGAGTCAGCCTCCCCTTCGCAGGTGACTGCTGGTACCACATCCCGTCCCCACCGAGACAGAGGCTGAAGCAGGTGTCCGCGGGGCAGACGTCGGTGTATGCCCTGGATGAGAATGGCAAGTTGCTCTTTTTTTAAATTTTTAATGTTTTGGCTGGGCATGGTGGCTCACACCTGTAATCTCAGCACTTTGGGAGGCCGAGGCCAGCGGATCACCTGAGATCAGGAGTTCGAGACCAGCCTGGCCAACATGGTCTGCATGACACAGTGAGACTCTATCTCAAAAAAAAAAAAAACTTTAATTTTTATGGGTACAGAGTGGGTGTGTATATTTATGGGGTACATGAGATGTTTTGATACAGGCATGCATGCATAATATCACATCAGGGTAAAGGGAGTATCCACCTCCTCAAGCCTTTATGTTACAAACAATCCAATTCTACTCTTTTAGTTATTATTGTTATTATTTTTTCTTTGAGATGGAGTTTCGCTCTTGTCTCCCAGGCTAGAGTGCAGTGGTGCAATCTCGGCTCACTGCAACCTCCACCTACTGAGTTCAAGCGATTCTCCTGCCTCAGCCTCCCAAGTAGCTGGGATTACAGACACGCACCACCACACCTGGCTAATTTTTATATTTTTAGTAGAGGCGGGGTTTCACCATATTGGCCAGGCTGGTCTCAAACTCCTGACCTCAAGTGACCTGCCCACCTCGGCCTCCCAAAGTGCTGGGATTACAGGTGTGAGCTACCGCGCCTGGCCCTCTTTCAGTTATTTTAAAATGTACCATTAGCCAGGCACAGTGGCTCATGCCTATAATTCCAGCACTTTGGGAGGCTGAGGTGGGCGGATCACTTGAGATCAGGAGTTTGAGACCAGCCTGGCCAACTTAGTGAAACCCATCTCTACTAAAAACACAAAAATTAGGCCAAGCGCGGTGGCTCACACCTGTAATCCCAGCACTTTGGGAGGCCGGAGCAGGCGGATCACAAGGTCAGGAAATCGAGACCATCCTGGCTAACAGTGAAACCCTGTCTCTACTAAAAATACAAAAAATTAGCTGGGCGTGGTGGCGGGTGCCTGTAGTCCAAGCTAATCGGGAGGCTGAGGCAGGAGAATGGCGTGAACCCCAGAGGCGGAGCTTGCAGTGAGCCGAGATTGCGTCACTGCACTCCAGCCTGGGTGACAGAGCGAGACTCCGTCTCAAAAAAAAAAAAGCCAGATGTGGTAGTGCGCACCTATAATCCCAGCTACTCAGGAGGCTGAGGCAGGAGAATCGCTTGAACCTGGGAGGAGGAGGATATTGATTGCAGTGAGCCAAGGCATGCCACTGCACTCCAGCCTGGGTGACAGAGCAAGACTCTGTCTCAAAAAATAAAATAAAAATAAAAATAAATAAAGTAAAATGTACCGTTAAAAAATTTTTTTTTTGTTTTTGAGACGGAATTTCATTCTTGTTGCCCAGGCTAGAGTACAGTGACATGATCTCGGCTTACTGCAACCTCCGCCTCCCAGGTTCAAGCGATTCTTCTGTCTCAGCCTCCCAAGTAGCTGGGATTACAGGTCCCTGCCATCATGCCTGGCTAATTTTTTTGTATTTTTAGTAGAGATGGGGTTTCGCCATGTTGGGCAGGCTGGTCTCGAACTCCTGACCTCAGGTGATCCGCCCACCTCCGCCTCCCTAAGTGCTGGGATTACAGGCATGAGCCACCGCGCCTGGCTGTGTTGTTTTTTGACTTTATAATAATGGCCAGTCTTGCAGAAATAAAGTGGTATTAATATCTCAGTGTGGTTTGGATTTGCATTTCTCAGATGATTAGTGGTGTTGAGCATTTTTTCATGTTTGTTGGTCATTTGTATATCTTCTTTTTTTTTAATTTGAGATGGAGTTCTGCTCTTGTTGCCCAGGCTGGAGTGCAGTGGTGCGATCTCGGCTCACTGCAACCTCTGCCTCCCAGGTTCAAGCGATTCTCCTACCTCAGCCTCCCGAGTAGCTGGGATTACAGCCATGCACCAACACACCCGGCTAATTTTGTATTTTTAGTAGAGATGGGGTTTCTCTGTGTTGGTCAGGCTGGTCTCGAACTCTCAACCTCAGGTGATCCGCCTGCCTTGGCCTCCCAAAGTGCTGGGATTAAAGGCATGAGCCACCGCGCCCAGCCGCATATCTTCTTTTGAGAAATGTCTATTCATGTCATTTGGCCACTTTTGGATGGGATTATTGGTTTTTTGTTTTTTGTGTGTGTGCTGATTTGTTTGAGTCCTTCTAGATTCTGGTTATGAGTCCTTTGTCAGTTGCATAGTTTGCAAATATTTCCTCCTATCCTGTGGGTTTTCTGTTTACTCTGATGATTATTTCTTTTGCTCTGCAGAAACTTTTTAGTTTAATTAGGGCTCCTTTATTTTTGTTTTTGTTGCATTTGCTTTTGGAATCTTAGTCAGAAATCCTTTGCCCAGGCAAAGCCCTTGAATAGTTTTTCCTAGGTTTTTTTTATAGAATTTGTATGGTTTTAGGTCTAGATGTAAGTGTTTGATTCATCTTGAGTTGTTTTTTTAATATGGTGAGAGATACGGATCCAGTTTCATTATTCTACATGCGACTATCCAGTTTACCCAGCACCATTTATTGTATAAAGTGTCCTTTCCCCAGTTTATGCTTTTGTATGCTTTCTCAAAGATCAATTGGTTGTGGGTATCTGGCTTTATTTCTTGGTTCTCTCTTCTGTTCCACTGGTCTATGTGTCTATTTTTATAGCAGCACCATGCTGTTTTTGTTACTGTAGGCTTGTAGTATAATTTGAAGTCCAGTAATGTGATGCCTCCAGATTTGTTCTTTTTGGTTAGAATTGCTTTGGGCATTGAGGCTCTTTGTGGGTTCCATATTAATTTTAGGATTTTTTTTTCTAATTCTGTAAAAAATGATGACAGTATTTTAATAGGAATTGCATTGAATCTGTAGATTGCTTTGGGCAGTATGATCATTTTCATGATATTGATTCTTCCACTGATTCATCCCATACTCATCAATCCATGAATATGGGATGTATTTCCATTTGTTTCTGTCATCTATGATTTCTTTCAGCAGTGTTTTGTAGTTCTCCTTATAGAGATCTTTCACCTCCTTGGTTAAGTACATTCCCAGGTATTTTATGTTATTTTTTGCAGCTGTTGTAAAAGGGGTTAATTTGATTCTCAGCCTGGTTGCTGCTGGCATGTAGCAGTGCTACTAATTTGTGTGCATTGATTTTGTAACCTGAGACTTTCCTGAACTCATATGTCAAATCTAGGAGTCTTTTGGAGGCGTCTTTAGGGTTTTCTAGGTATTTGATCCTATCATGGGCAAACAGACACACCGTGACTTCCTCTTTTTCGATTTGGATGCCCTTTCTTTCTTTCTCTTGCCTGATTGCTCTGGCTAGGACTTCCCTTGTCCATAGTTTCTGCCTCAGCAGAAAGAGGATCAGGAGGCCGGCCGTGCCCAGCACAATAGGGCGATTATGAGGCTCGGGGGACGCCCCGAGTGTGCAGAAGGCGGAGCTGGCTGCAGCCCAGGCTCCTGAGTGTGGAGAAGCGGAGGAGGCTGTGGCCCTGACTCAGGGGCCAGGACCCTCCTGCCTCCCCAGCAGCTTCCCAAACCCCGAAGTGGTTAGAGCGGGGCCTGGCCACCGGCTGCCGGGCCGCACGGGCAGGAGGGGCCGGGAAGGTCTTCCCCTTTGACCCTCACTGCTTTTCTCCCCAGGAAACCTGTGGTATCGCCAAGGGATCACGCCCAGCTACCCGCAGGGCTCCAGCTGGGAGCACGTGTCCAACAACGTGTGCCGAGTGTCCGTGGGGCCCCTGGACCAGGTGGGGGTGCTCAGGGGGTATCGGGCACTTGGGGTGCTCTGGTTCCCTCTCTGGTCTCCCCCATCCCATGCCCAGCCGTCCCACTGCAGGTAGGGCTGAGGGCTTCATGGGGTCTGTGCTCCAGGTCTGGGTGATCGCCAACAAAGTGCAGGGCAGCCACAGCCTGAGCCGGGGGACAGTGTGTCATCGCACCGGCGTGCAGCCTCACGAGCCCAAGGGCCACGGCTGGGACTACGGCATCGGGGTGAGCGGGGCCCGCGGCCTTGGGCTGTGTTATCACCTTGTGCCTGCACTGGGTGCTGAAGACGGGACGACCACTGTGGGACTGTCCCCTGGGACCCGGTGTCTGGGTTGCAGGGAGGCCCCCAGGCAGATCCCCTCCAGGATCCTCGAGTCCCCGAGTCCCCTGGTGACACAGCTCTCTCCTTCCAGGGAGGCTGGGACCATATCTCTGTCCGGGCCAATGCCACCAGGGCCCCCCGGAGCTCGTCCCAGGAGCAGGAGCCGAGTGCCCCACCAGAGGCCCATGGCCCCGTCTGCTGCTGAGGCCCCCCCACACACCTACATGCAGGGACGGTGCCCAGTTTGGGGGATCAAGGCTGAGCCATTCTTGTGCTGGAGTGTGCACCGTGGGAGCAATGTGGCCCAGGTGGACTCAGGAGGGAACCTGGCCCCAAGGCTGCGGCCACTTCAGAGGCACTGGCTGAGACGGCCCTGAAATGTGAAGCTCCGCGGACACTCCCACACGTGTCCCCGTCTGCGAGGAGTCCCGGGGTGTGGGGCATGGGGTGGGGCTGCACCTCCCAGAGGCCCCTCCCACCCTTCCCTTCCCCTCTCCCTTCTGCCTTTCCAGGACTAGAACCGGGAACCTGGAGCCCTCCGGGAACGCCGGCCCTGGGGCAGCAGAGCCAGGATGGAGCCCTCCTGAGCTGGCATCTCAGACAGCACCCGGGCCCGCCACCCCTCACCAAGAGAGATGGCCATGGGGCTCAGGGCCTCTTTACCATGTGCAGTGACCATTTCTCAGAGCAGGACTTGCAAAGAGGCTTTAATTTCAAAAGTGAAGGAAGGAGGCCAGGCGCCGTGGCTCACGCCTGTAATCCCAGCACTTTGGGAGGCTGAGGTGGGCAGATCACCTAGGTCAAGAGTTTCAAACCAGACGGGCCAACATGGTGAAACCCCATCTCTGCTAAAAATACAAAAAAAAAAAAATTAGCTGGGCATGGTGGTGGGTGCCTGTAATCCCAGCTACTCGGGAGGCTGAGGCAGGAGAATCGTTTGAACCCGGGAGGCGGAGGCTGCAGTGAGCCGAGATCATGCCACTGCACTCCAGCCTGGGCGACAGAGACTCCATCTCAAAAAAAAAAAAAAAAAAAAGTGAAGGAAGGAGACAGCAGATTGGAAATAACACTGGAGTGGATGGGATGTCCTCTTCCCTGAGGGGGCCGGGGTACCAGACGGGAGGCTGGGAGAGGATGAGAGGCTGCCCCATGGCTGGAGGCAGTGTCCGTGTGTGCAGTCACCATCATCAACCCCCATTCGGCCCCTTCCCCAGATGCGCTGGTGACAGGGGCTTCTTGGATGTCAAATCATGTTGTAGGAGGGTGCAGACTGCGGGCTTCTGTGGGGAGCAGTACTACTGTGTCTGTCGGCAGTGGCCATGGGACCCTCAGCCCGTCCTGTACATGGAGCAGGGTGCACAGTCACCCTCCATCCTGTGGCGAGAGGCTGGCCCGGCCCGGCCAGGCGAGGCAGAAGGTGTCGGCCAAGTGGCCCCGACCCCATCCCGCAGTCTCTCAGCTGCTTTTTATTACCTCTGTGCCCCATTTGGGAGTTTGCTTCCTCCACCTGGACACTTTGCCCGGGAGGTCATCAGAGCCCAACCCCAGGCTCTGCTCGGTTGGAGAGGGGATGACTTCACCACCACCTGACCTTCCTAGGGTCCTGGTCTCACTGTCAGCTGGGGGTCCGTTGTGTGTATTTGTACAGTTTTGCTGTATGGGGTTTGTCACCCAAAAGCTGATGCTGAGAAAGGCCTCCCTGGGGCCCCTCCCGCGGGCATCTGAGAGACCTGGTGTTCCAGTGTTTCTGGAAATGGGTCCCAGTGCCGCCGGCTGTGAAGCTCTCAGATCAATCACGGGAAGGGCCTGGCGGTGGTGGCCACCTGGAACCACCCTGTCCTGTCTGTTTACATTTCACTATCAGGTTTTCTCTGGGCATTACGATTTGTTCCCCTACAACAGTGACCTGTGCATTCTGCTGTGGCCTGCTGTGTCTGCAGGTGGCTCTCAGCGAGGTACGGGGAGGGCGTCACCCTGCAGAACGGCAGAGTGACGCGTCCTCTCGCTGCTGAGCACCAGCTGTTTACCTGCCCTGCATCACTTCCTCGGATACTTTACTCAATAAGCATTTCCCCTGGAGTGTCCGTGCCCTGGTGTTTTTTATCGATACGTTGATTAAAACGCGTGGTTCCCCGTGTGCCTGAAGCAGACATTGCTGTGAAATCTTTTATTTTTGTTTTATGACACAGCATCAATTTCATGAATACTTTGAAAGGGCCATTAGAAAAAATAAGAGCCAATTTGGGTCATTTGAGAAACATTTTCAGCACAATTACAGTGGGGGCACGGGCCGTTCGGCTCCAGCTGGGTTTTCCCAGATGCAACAATCGCGGTTCTGGCTTCTCCACTGGTGGGGATGGGGATCGCGCCTTCGGAGCTCTCAGGGCGCCTGTCTGTCGGGGGCTGGGTGCGTCCACAGCCCCGGGGGATGGCGCGTGGCGTAGCCCAGGAACGGCATGTGGGTGGGTCTCTGACCTGCTTGTGCAGGGACTTGAGGGACCTCATCCCGATGGCCGAGGCAGGGGCTCCCCACGGGATAAAAGGATCCGGCCTGGCCTTGGGGTCCAAGAGGAGGGCCAAGGGAGTGGACCTGGCCCCTGTCCCCTCTCCTCCTCGAAACACTGGACACCCTGAAGCGAGACTATGGCTGCTGAGGATCCTGTGTGATGTGGCCGCGGGGCGTCCCCTCTGGCCTCAGGGGAAGAAGGACTGGGCGGCTCGGCCCAGGTCACCCTCTAGGAAGCAGAGGAGGTGCAGGTGCCAGTTCAGGGCAGAAAGAAAGAGCCACTGAGGCCATTGTCCTGAAGGCGGTGACCCCCAGGCACTCCTGCTGCCCCCCAGGAAGCCCTGGGCTGCGCTGGACACCGGGCCGAGTCTCCGTCTTCTGGACCGAGGCTCTTCTGGGCTTTCAGGCTCAGCTCGTCGGTCCATTCAGCAAGTTCAGGGGCAGACTGAGCCCTGCTCTGGCCATGGCTCAGCCGGAAACAAGAGCTGCCATGTTCGTAGCACCTGAGTACCCCCGCCGGGGAGGTCTCTGTCATCTCATGTCCCCGCTGGGCAGGTGCCCCACAGCAGGGGAGCCCTGGGCTCTCTCTGTCCCAAGCTCCCAGCTGCATCCAACCTCAGCTCACAGTTGTGGATCACCCTGACCTTCCAGAGTGCCCCTCCCAAGGGGCAGACCCAGCATCCTGGAGTCCCCACCCCGAGCTGTGCTGAAGGACAGCTGGGGCGGTAGGGCCAGGACCAGACCAGGCCTCTGACAAAGTCTCATCGAAATGAAACCAATGTGCCCGGGCCACCTTAAGGGGCCCTGACCAGGAAAGTTAGGCCTGAAGCTGCCAATGCCAGATCCTCAGGGTGTTACCTGTGTCCTTACGTGGCTAGGCCTGACCCCAAGTGCCACAACCCCCAACTTGGGGAGGGCAGGGCCACCTGGTGGGGACGGGCCAGCCAGAGCCCTTGGTCTCAGCTGTGGCAGCCACATCCCTGGCCCGGCTTGGCCCTGAGGGCCTTTGGGACATCTCTGGGCAGAGGCATGAGGGAGGGGAGAGTCCAGTAGCCAAGTCCGGCAGAGCCAGTGGGGCAGGAACGCCCAGCAGAAGGAAGCTGGGCTTGGGGCAGCAGAGACGTGCCAAGCCACCAGGCCTGGCCATGAGGATGAAGCACCTGGGCGGGGGAAGGGACGTACCTGCCACCCCAAGGCTCCACCAGGCAGAGAGACCCAACGGGCTGCCAACTCAAACCAGAACCCAAGCACGTCATAATGTCCTACAGACAGCATGGTGCCAATTATATGATAACCCCACATCAGTGAGAATAAGTAACGGCGGTGGCAGGGGCTGGGTGGGGGGCACACTCGCTCCCCACACAGGCCAGGGCTGAGCAGGAGGCCTCAGAGCTGCTCTTGGGGAGCAACCCAGGGCCTTGGGGCTTCTCTCCCATGCCCAGAAGGGCTGCACCAGGAACACCCAGCCCTGTCTCCTGCTCCAGTTCCACAGCACCCCTCACACCCTGCCCCAGACCCTCCACAACCAGGCACAGCCTGGAGTCAACACATCCAGGAGCCCCAACTTGGGAGGAGGGAGGAAGAGACTCCAGCCCCTCCCCACCATTCAACTTTTAAGGATGAATTGGAGGTCATCTGATTAGAGTTTCTGGCAGCTCCAATCATCTCTGATTGGCCCCACTCCCCGAGCAGCCTTAGGCTCTGCCGGGCTTGTCCCGGGCCTCAGTTTACCCCAAATGAGGATGCTGAGCCCAGGCCCCATGTAGCCCTATAACAAAGGTTGGAGAGGGGGTCCTTGCTGGGGCTTTGGCCTTGGAAAACCTGCAGGTAAACCTTTTCCTGGGATCTCCCCTTGCCCAGAAGTCAGGGTGAAGAGACGTTAGTTCCAAGGCTAAGGAGGCCTTTCAACTCGGGCTGAGACTGCCTGGCTCAATGAAAAATCAGGATCCAACTGGGCCCTACCTAGAGGTTTGGGCCTCACGCCGCTGTCCAGGGCCACAGCCGCAACTAGGCCACTCGCTGGTCCCCAGCGGGGCAGGAAAAATTGCTCCAGGGAAGTGGCTGAATGTTCGGGGGAAAATGGAACCGCTGAGGCCGTGTCCTTGTGGGGTGTCACCGCCCATCTGGGGCTCGTGGCTTGGAGGGACTGGGGCTGGGAGGAGCAGGCCAGGCAGCTGCGGCCACCGCCACCCCCACCCAGGACTGGGCGCTAGGTGCCCTCTCGGAAGCTGTGGATCTGCGTGGAGTACCTCTGCAGGTGGCCCTGGGGCTGGGCCTCCGTGGCCCCCAACGCACCCCCAGCCACCTGCTGCTGCTGCTGGTAGTGCTGGTAGAGCTTGGGGCCCGGCCCCTCCAGGCCTGGGAGGCGGCTGCTGGACATGGTCAGGATGGTGGCCGTCAGCGATTTGATGTAGTTCTTGGCCAGCGTGAGCGTCTCGATCTTGGAGAGCTTCTTGTCCGCGCGCACGTGGGGGATGACTTCACGCAGGGCCTGGAAGGCGTTATTTAGCTTGTGCATCCGCTGCCGCTCCCTCTCGTTGCTCTCCAGCCGCCGCTGGATGCTGCTGTCACGACGGCCACCGGGCCCGGAGGGTCCTGGCCGCCTGCGCCTGCCCTCGCCCGGAGCCCTTGCTGCGGCCCGGGCCGGCCGGCTCCGCAGACCCTTGGCCGGCTCTGGCCCCGGGTTCGGCAGGGACCCGTCGGGCGTCCCCTCCCCGGGGGTGGCCTCTGTGTCCTGCACCGGGGCCCGGCGCCGTGGGGGCCGGTTCTTGGTCTTCATGGCCCTGGACTGGCTGTCCTAGGAGGTGGCGGCAGGAAGGTGAGGCCCTTGGAGCTGAAATCCAGAACACAGGACACTCTGTGGTCACCCCACATGGGCAGGGGACCCGCTGGGGTGCCGTCCCTGGCAGCCTCCTCCTTGCTGACAGCAATGGTACCAGGGGCAGGGGTTGGCGCTCTGCGACTGGAGGTCCTTCTGTTCACACGCTTAGCCCTGGGCTGACCCCACACACACCCACGCCCTTGCTTTACCTCAAACAGACCTCTGGAATCTGTCCCTGTCCCTGCGTCCCCCTTCCCCCAGGATGACTCATCCTGACCCCTAGATCTTCCTCTGGCTCATGCCCCTCACTGCCCCCAGAGTGCCTCCTGAGCTCGGTGACCTTTGACACTTTGCCTAGAATGCGTCCCCCACCCTAGCTTAGGGGGCGCCTCTGCCGGAGGCGGCACTGACTTCATCCCGTGGGCGGGCAGTGACTCCAGCCACCAGGCTCTCACTGTCCTGCCCCGCTGGACGTGACACGTGCAGGGACAGCACTGGGGCCAGAACCGCTGCGGACATGGGACAGCACTGGGGCCAGAACCGCTGCGGACATGGGGCAGCCGTGGAGGTCAGAGGTCGGCAATGGCCAGGGCCTGGCGGCAGCCCCCAATCCCACCACGTGGATGGGCCCCGTGGAGCCTCCAGACAGACCAGAAGTCCCCCACCCGGGTTTCCCCACAGCCCCCACAACCCCCACAACCCCACCGCCAGGTCCTGCCCCTGGGTCCCCTCCCCGCGGCCCCACCCGAGTTCCCAGCTCCCGGGTTACCTGGGGATCCGCGGCCACACGCGCCGAGGCTGCCCACGGGGGACAAGGACACGTCGCTTTAGCCGCCCCGGGAGGGGCCGCGGACGCATGCAAATGAGCCCTCGGGGCGGGGCCGGGGCGGGGCCGGGGTCCGGGTGTCCCGGCGGGCGCTGGGCAGCAGTGGCGGCACCTGCGGGCGGGCGGGCGGGAGGCCGGCGCCTGGGGCTCCCGGACCAGGTGGCCGCGCAGCCCCGCCCCCAGCTTCCGCCCCGCCCCCAAGATAGAAAACCTCCCCCGCCCGCCTCTCCCCATCCTCCCCCTACTGCCCCCCACCCTCGTCCCCCAAGACAGCCACCCCCGCCCGCCTCTCCCCACCATCCCCCGACAGCCCCCGACCCTCGTTCCCCCAGACAGCCTCCCCCACACGCTTCTCCCCATCCTCCCCCGACAGCCCCCCAACCGCCCCGAGATAGCTTCCCCCCATTCGTCTCTCCCCATTCTCCCGCTACAGCCCCCCCAAGACAGCCTGCGTCCCCACCTCCCCTACTCCCGTCCCCCGACAGCCTCCCCACAACCTGCTTTTCCCCATCCTCCCCCTCAATTTCCACTCGCGCCTTTCCCACCCGCCTACCCCATATCCGTGCCCGAGACAGCCTCCCCCCGCCCGCTTTCCCCGACCCTCCCCCTGACACAGCACCCCCGCATCCATGCCTCCCGCGATCCTCCTTGCCCGGCCTCTCCACTCGTGGCGGGGCCCGGGCCCATTCCGCCAATGGGAAACAGGTCTCTGGGAGCCGCCGGAAGGAGGGGCAGCCCCGATTCAGGCTCAGCACACAGATCCCAAGTCCCAGGAGCACTCCGGGACGAGCCGCTCCGCGAAAACGCGGGCATCTCCCAGGGGATCCCCCGCCCCGCCGCCCGGGATGTTTAGGGGAACCTGGGGCTCCTACGGGCTGGGGGCGGAGCCCGAGTTGGGGTGGGGGTGGGGGGCTCCTTGGGCAGGTGTGCAGTCCTTGGGAACGCCTGTTTTGTTTGTTTGTTTGTTTTTGAGACGGAGTTTCGCTCTTGCTGCCCAGGCTGGCGTGCAATGGAGCGAGATGATCTCGGCTCACCGCAACCTCCGCCTCCCGGGTTCAAGCGATTCTCCTGCCTCAGCCTCCCGAGTAGCTGGGATTACAGGCATGCACCACCACGCCCAGCTAATTTTTGTATTTTTAGTAGAGACGGGGTTTCTCCACGTTGGCCAGGCTGGTCTTCAACTCCTGACCTCAAGTGATCCACCCGCCTCGGCATCCCAAAGTGCTGGGATTACATGCGTGAGCCACCACGCCCAGCCAAAGCAGCATCTTGCTCAGGGACTATTCGGGGCTGCTAGGGGTGCGGTGACTGCACGCTGCTGGGGGTGCGGTGAGTGTCACGCTGGCTGGCAGGCCTGGGCTCCACACTCATGGGTCTCGCCGCTCTGTCTCAGTACCTCTGGGTGGGAACTCAGAGGGGCCATAGTGGGGCGGGGGGCGGGCACAGAAAGGCTAGCTTGGAGCCAAGGTTAGTTAGTTCTTCTCTTGGCCTAAAGCTCATTTGAGGCTGGGCCAAATGAGGTCCTTGGAAATGAAAATGCTTCCGAAATTCATGAGTGCAAAGGCATGGTTTATAGACATGCTTCAAGGTGGCAGGAACACTAAACAGGTTTGGTTTTCCAGTGGTTATACAAAGCTTTATGTCCTCAGGAGTGCGGGGAGTTTAGGTCTGTCACACAAGCTCCAGAGGGACCAGGGCAGGGGCCTGGAACACAGGCTGCGGGCGCTCACAGCAGGGCAGGGCCAGGCCACCCACCCAGGTGGCCCTTGCACGGTGGACAAAACACAGAAGAAACGCGGCCAACAGAGTTTATAAATATATAACTATATTTATTTTGAATATTAAATAGTTTTTAAATTACAAGCAATTTATTGAATCACACTATGCATCAATATACAGTAAAAATCTTACAATTTAAAAATGTACACAATTTAAACTGAAAGTTCATTGACTATTATATTGCCATGAACCTCTTCTGCCTGTGTTAAAGCACAGCAGGGAGGCCTGGTGGGTGTGACGGCCCCCTACGTCCTCCTCTGCAGACGGAATCCGACGGTGGATCCATACACCAGCCCCATGATCAAGATCCCGCTCGGCCCACGTAGGCCTGAGTGCTTAACCAGCACGTGTCCACACCGGTCAAACTGATCTTCACAGGCTGTTGGTAATTCAACACTGTCAATGCATCTTTAAGAATTTCTTTATAGATGAAAGAGAATGTTCTTTGTTAATAAAGACTTGAGCCAACCCCATTGCTACTTAGGAATATTGTTTTGGAGATTTCCATCGGAAGTCACTGCGTATACCCATTCTTTTTTTAAGGCTACTTCCCATAAGGCTCATGTTTTGAAGCCACTCTAACAGAAGCCCAACCTCTGGCGTCTAACCCTTGGTTCACTTCTGAATTTTCAGATGATGGGCTGAGTTAAGGAAGAGCAGGCGCTGCCTTCCTTCCACCGGGGCCCTGGGGACAGGCATGCAGTAGGTCCTTAACTCTACAAATACCTTATTTCGGGAAACAGGAATAAAAGGAGGGGTTTGGAAAGGCCTTTTACAGCAGCAAGACAAACCAAGACTTTTCTTAGATAAACCCATTTCTATAGAAACGATCGAACCTGTACATTTAAAAATAGAACGAACGTTGTTTGCAATTCGGCTTGGTCGAGCTTTCTGCACCCTTACGGTGAATGGCTTCTCGTCCACACACACAGGCCAAGTCTCAGAAGGATGTGGGGAGCACTTTTTCTGGGTTGCCCTTTCTGGCTTATTGACAGGGTCATTCAAAAAGACAAATTCGCATCTAGCTAGTAAGGAAATGAAAACTAGATTATTTTTGTTATAGGATTTAAAATGTACAAACTCCACCAAAACAGGACTAATTCAGATTGATTCTGGGTTGCTACCCCATAGAAGGCCAGAAAATATTCTAACCTTCCCCCACATTATCTAGAGAATGCCACTGATTTAGTTCATTGTACAACTTATTAGAACAAGTACATTTTGAAAACCCACCACTGATAACCAACTTATTAGTTAAAAAATAACAAAACAAACAACAAAAACCTGAACTGAACACAGCACATGCTGACATTTCAAAAATGGGCTGCAATTTTTATTCTACTTAAATTTCCTGTGTATTGCTTGGATTTCAAAAAAACATGTTAACCCACGTGTTGATTATAAATATAAAATCTCGCCCCTCCATGCAACACCACACTAAGATCCACTACCCCCCAACTCAATGTATAAAATGCTTTTTTGGCAATTAATTATGAGTGACTCAAAATAAATAAAAATGGGAATTATGTTATGAAAAAAATTGTTTTTTTTTTTGAGACAGGGTCTGGCTGTTACCCAGGCTAGAGTACAGTGGCATGGTCTCAGCTCACTGCAACACCCATCTCCTGGGCTCTAGCCATCCTCCCACCTCAGCCTCCCAAGCAGCTGGGACTACAGGTGCACACCACTATGTGCCCCAGCTAGTATATATATATATATATATATTTTGTATTTTTAGTAGAGACGAGGTTTCGCCATGTTGCCCAGGCTGGTCTTGAACTCCTGGGCTCAAAGTGATCCGTCCGCCTCGACCCCCCAATGTGTTGGGATTGCAGGCGTGAGCCACCGCGCCCGGCCAAAATCTTAATCCTAGTGGAAAACTGACAGCCCCAAAAGGTTAATAAATGTACTCGAGGCTGACACTGTATAAGACGACGACAGATTCCATGATCTGTATGACTTTGGTCATTAAATCTGAACTCCTTAAACCTGCAATTGAAAAAGTAGTATAATCACGTCTCATTTCTCTTCAGCCAAGACTAATCTTAGATGTAAAAACTGAGAAAACTCAGGAAGTCCCCACAGCAAGAATTCAGAGTCATGACAATTTTGGCAAAATCATCTTCTAATGCCCTGTTAATTAAAAAAAAAAAAAAAATTCGCGCATCCCGAGACAGTGGTGCTCCCCACATAGCCCAGGTGGGCACCGCATCCACCCCATGCCTACACAGGAGGGGACTCTCTCCATCCTGAACTTCTTGCTTTGGAAAGTTATTGCTTAGTATAAAAAATGAGAGGAGTAGGGTGGAACTGGCAATGAAGGTCATTTGCTGCGCACTCTCTGGCAACGTCCGCCTGCATTTTGCACTAGGACTCAACTTCCTTCCGTGTACCCCAGGCGGCCCCTGCACGGGTCTGGAGAGCACCCCAGGTTGCGCTGGAGTCTGGAAACATATCAGCACCGGAAAATATGTTGGGTGAAGGGTGAGTATGAGGGGACTGCAGGCCCAAGGACCCCCGAAGGAACGGCTGCCTCCCCAGCACAGCACAGCCGCGCTGCACCAGCCACCGAGGACTTCCTTATGTCAGAGCAGAACTCAGGGAGGGAGGTGTGAGGTCGCCCATGACCACAGGGGCTCGTGACGATGTGACGAAGCTACACTGGGAGCACTCGGGCCCTTTCAAAGCCAGAAGAGAACCTGGGGCTTAATGCAGAACGGAGGGTCCGTGAGATGAGTCCCGGGCCATGCAGGACCACCCAAGGCCCCGACCCGAACTATGTGTCGGCTGCTGATGCTCTGCCGTCGGCCGTCGTCCCTTGTCCATCCCCCTTCACAGCTGCAGGATGTGGTGTTATCTCATCCCACATGGATAACCACAGACTGGCCAGGCCCAGCTGGACGTGACGTGGAGTGGCTCGGAGGAGAAGATTCGGCTGTGGAGGTTTTTTTAAAGCTCAAGTCCCCACCACCTGAAGTGTGCACACATCATCAAGTCGAACGGTCCCCCACGGCTGGTATGCTCTGCGGAGATGAGTCTGCCTGAGTTCCCCGGCTTCTTGAAGGAAGGACTGACAGGAACACGGAAGCTTCCCAGCAGCCTGGCCTCCGAAAACCAGGCAGAAGAGCTGCGCGGAGGGAAGCGGTGCGGTGCCCCGTGCAGGGTGCAGCTCTCTGGACCTGCCACGCCAGCACGTCCCCAGGGATGGGCCGGGTCCATCTGAGGTCTGCGGCCACAACCTGTTGGTTTTTACCAAAAGGGCTTTAAAAAATGGGATGTGGGGTGGGAGAATGACAAGGAGAGGCTGCAAGACCTCTCAGCTCCTCAGAGAGAAGCCTCATTTGCTGCGGCAAAGCCGCTTCATCAAGAAGAGACAAAAATGCATTCAAGTCCATCAACAAAACAGTGGTATTTTGGACTCAATGAAAATATTTCCTATATGAACATAAAACACTAACATTCAGAATCATTTATCATTTATGAAAGAGTACCATATGTACAATCCCAACAATCCTAGACACAGTAGAACACTCAAAATATTTAAGCTTCACAAGTACCATGCAGCGCAAACTATAAAACAGAAAAAAAATCAAACTAGTGGCTAGCATCGGCTTGACCTGCCTCATTCCCCTCGAATAACTGAAGATCCTGTACAACAATGGAGACTCTCGGAACATTTATCCACAGTGCAATTACAGAAAGCAGTTCGTGATTTCTCTAGAAATAATAAATATGGCTCACTGGTGACCATTCCCCTCACGTGTCCTCTGTGGTGCCCACACGTGCGCCGGGATGTGCAGGCGTGGACGCAGAGACGCCCCTGTGGAAAGCACACATGCGGTGCACACAGCTCCACACGCGCGCGCACATGGAGGCTGTGCCCCTGCCTCCCCCGACGGCCAGCGCATGAGCACTGCCTGGGAGGCCGCGGCCGCGGGTGCACGGGGCACTGAGGGACGCCGGCTCCTGGACACGGCCTCGCTCTGCACCTGGGCTCCCGAGGGCCCCGCCTTGAACGCAGCTAAGAGCCGTCTCCCTCTTCACCTCTGGATTCTTCCTCCCAATCTCATGTCAGCAAATGGCGAGTGGATGTCGCTGCTCGGGCTGAGGGCGCAGGGGCGCCGCTCCAGGGGAGCAGCCTCGGACCCGAGCGTGCGCGTTGGCAGCCACCTAGTCCTTTTCTCCGTCTTCGCTGCTTCCTGTTGAGGAGAGAGGAAGCGAGACGACAAAGCTGGGTTTTTAAAATGATCAGACAGGCATGGCGTGGATGGCATGTGCGCTGCACCACAGGAACGGAAGCGGGTGTTTTGAGCCCAGCACCGCCTGAGCCGCCCTTCCTGTCCTTTCCTTCGGAAGCAGCCCCTGCCTGACTCTCCCACATCTGCTAGGCTCAAATGCCCGCTGGGCGCTAAGGGTCAGGGTGCAGAAGAAGTCAGCTGGGATCCACACATCTGCCCCGACAGACTGGCAGATAGCAGGTGTTATCTAATCGGCACAAATGAAGCCTAGCGCCGAGGGAAATAAAGCCTCTTTGTATTCCATATTTATTATTTGATCTGTAAACTTCCAATCAAAAAATGAGCCTATTAACCTTTATCTTTCAATCTAGTGACGGGGAAAGAAGGCTCCCTATGTTCAGATACCTCGACTTCAAATGGCCCCTGCCCATTCACCCCACCCCGCCCTCGGGAGCCACACCAGGACCAAGACTCAGCAGCAAAACCAACATTCCAGGGGCAGCACCAGAGGGCATGTGGGCTGGTCCCAAGTCCAGGGGTCAAGTGCTCTTACGAGCCTGCTGAAGAGCAGGTTCTCTCTGGGAAAGGAGGAGACAGAGTGCGGAGGAGGGACTATGCAGCCACAGGAGAAAAAGAGGAGATGGCGCGCAGCCTGGGCGTTCCTGGGACCCAGAGCCCCTCTGCCTCAGCCTGGCCCCACAGGGTGGCCGGTAACGAGCCTGAGAGTGACCACAACAGGCAGGGGGCATGGCCCCGAGAGCACACTCAGGATGCTGGCAGTTTTATTTATTTATTTTAGAGGCAGGGTCTTGCTCTGTCACCCATGCTGGAGGGCAGTGGCACAATCATAGGTCACTGTAGCCTTGAACTCCTGGGCTCAAGCATTCCTCCCACCTCAGCCTCCTGAGTAGCTGAAGTGCAGGTGCACACCACCACATCCAGCTAATTTTTTAGTTTTTATTTTTTTTAGAGATGGGGTCTCACTATGTTGCCCAGGCTGGTCTCACACTCCCAGGCTCAACTGATCCTCCCACCTCAGCCTCCTGAGTAGCTGGGATTACAGGCAGGAGTCACTGCACCCAGCTGATGATGGGAGTTTTATAAAAACAAGTTTGTAATCTACTCAGCAAATGTGAAGAAGACATGAGATTATCAGGCCTGCAAAACCACCATCTCCCAGCTGCAGCGCCCCACCCCCGACCCTGCACTCCCAATCCCCAGCACGCAGCGCCTCTCACCGCCCTGCTCGATGTCCGAGTCGGTCAGGTGTGTGAGGGAAAAGCTGGCAATGTTGGCGGGAGAGATGGAGAACCGGGAGTAAGGCGCCGAGTGCGGCCAGCTCTGCTCCGTGCTCCGGGCCGGTGGCGGCGGAGAAAAGTACTTGGATGTTTGGAGAGAAGGCTTGGAGCTGAGCAGGTTACTTGTTGTCTTTGACATAAAAGGATCTGGGGAGAAGTCATCATCCCACTCAAAGCCACCACCTAGAAATAAAAAATAAAACCCCACCCTTTTTATCACTGCGTGATGAGGGAGAGGGGGAGCCTCTGGGCAGGTGCGCCCTGCAGGTCGGAAGACACAGCCCGGCCCGGCTGGCAGATGGCAGTTCTGTGCCCATGTCAGGGGGCGTCATTAAAGCAACATGGGAAGTTACCCTCAAAAAACCTTTACATTACTCAATTTTTCAGTTTCCTTTAAAACTAGACAATGACGTGAAATACCTTCTTCGTCGGTGGAGCTTTCGGAGTTGATGCACCTGCTCAGGTAGGGAGAGCCTGAGGCTGGGGCTGGGCCGCTCAGGTCCGGGCCGCACGCCTCTCCTCCACAGGGCCCCAGCTCTTTGGTTGGGGTCTCCTGAAAAGTCAAACAGAAACTCCTGTCAGCAAAGGCCTGCTCACGGGAACCCCCCGTGTGACCGCTTCCCCACTGGCAGGCGCATCAGACTCATCGACTGAGAAGTAAGCGTCTCAAGACAAGGGCGGCTCCAGGCCTGGGAGGACGGACAGACACTAGGCCCTGTCTCTCCCTCTGCCTGCAGCTCTGACCTCGGCAGAGGCATGAAGCAGCCCTCTGAGGCTGCAGAGAAGCGCAGAGCAGCAGGCAGGCGGGCACGAGCGGCAGTGCTCAAGGTGCCACCCACCAGCAACAAGTGTGTCGGCTTCTCCTCCACAATCCCCCGCCTGGACTCAGGTCAGCCCGGAATCCAAAGTGGGCACTGCCCTGGACACAGTGCTCCAGGAGAAGCCCTTGGTTCTGGCTTCGGAGCAGGAAGGGGGTCTTCTGATGCTCAGAAAGAGAAGGGGGAATTCCAGCTTTCTTCTTTTCTCTGTTCTCTTGCTCTCCAGTCTCAAGCAATCCTGGGGCAACAGCTGCCTATAATCCTGAGGGCCATGAAGCCTCCTCTCCACTGGAGGACTGTGATCACGAGCGGGAGGGGACCCTCGCTGAGTTTTTTTCCCTTCTGTCCTCCCACTGCTTGGCTCCAGATGCGCGTGCGATTGCAGGAAGTATGGCACATCGTGTAACTAAAGCCTCAACTTTCTAGCTAGGGGACCAGAAAGCAGAGGCCCAAAGAACTGCAAGTATCAGGGACATCACAGAAGAGGGAGGAGCTCAAAAAGGTGACCCGATGAAGTTGCTGGGGGGCTCCTGGGCTGTGTGTGGTAGATCTGACTCTGAACACACCCAAGCTTTGAAAATGAACCTCAGGGGAGACCGGGGTGGGGTGCGGGGCACACACGTGGGGCAGGTTCAAACAGCACAGCGAAGGCTTTGAAAGGGGAACTGGGAGCTGACACTGAAACCACAACCCACAGAAGGCTGCTTGGAGCTTGTGGCCTGCACCCACCGGGTCAAGGCCTGCTAAGGTAAAAGTATCAACATGATTCACAGCATTTACACATGGCACAGACTGCCTAACATGATAGGAGGATCCAAAAGCTAAAATTACTTCACATACAAAAACCAGGAACACCTCAATTTACCTGGGAAAAGACAATCAACAGGTGCCAGTGTCACCGTACCACAGATGTTGGAATTATCTGAAAAAGGACTATTATAAAAATGCTCCTACAACTAAGGGGAAACACTCTTACCATGAACAGAAATAGGGAAAATCTTAGCAAAGGAACAGATGATAAGAAGAATGACAAAAAGCAAAACTCAGAAAAGAAAAGTATAATAACCAAAATCTAGCAATTCAATGGATGGGCTCAACAGCATAATGGAGATGACGAAGGAAATCATCAGGGACCTTGAAGACAGAGCAACAGAAATCACCCAATCCAAACAAGAGCAAGAAAAAAAAAACCTGGAGGAAGAAAGGACCAGAGCCTCAGAACCTATGAGAGAATACACAGGGTCTAACCCTGGAGTCCCAGGAAGAGAGGAGACAGGGCGTGGGGCAGAAAAAGTACTAGAAGAAAAGAATGCCTGAAAACTTCTTAAATTTGGTGAAAGATACAAAACTACAGATTTAAGTTTAGCAAAACAAAAACGGGATAAATACAAAGAAATTGGGCCAGGTGGGGTGGCTCACAACTGTGATCCCAGCACTTTGGGTGGCTGAAGCAGGAGGATCCCTTGAGGCCAGGAGTTCAAAACCAGCCTGGGCAACACAGTGAGATGCTGTCTCTACAAACAATTTAAAAATTAGCTAGGCGTGGTGGTGCACGCCTGTAGCCCCAGCTACTCAGGAGGCTGAGGAGGGAGGATCACTGGAGCCCAGGAGTTCAAGGGTGCAGTGACCTATGATCGTGCCACTGTACTCCAGCTAGTGACAGAGCAAGACTCTGTCTCAAACAAAACAAAACAAAACAAAACAAAACACACACACGAAGAAATCCACCCTCAGATGCACCATAATCAAACTGCTGAAAGCTAAAGACAAAGATTTGAAAGCAGCCAGGGATAAAACATGTATTACAGCTTGAGCATCCCAAATCGGAAAACCAAAAATCCAAAATGCTCCAAAATCCAAAACCTTTTGAGCGCTGACATGACGCCCAAAGTGTTCACTGGAGCACTTGGGATTTCAAATTTTCAGATTTGGGATGCTGAACTGGTGAGTATAATGCAAATATTCCAAAATCTGAAAAAATCAGAAATTTAAAATGCTTCTGGTCCTAAGCATTTCAGATAAGGGACGCTCCACTTGTACTTCTAGGAGAAGAATGATCTGAGTGACTGCAAATTTCTCATGAGAGACCGTGGAGGGTGGAAGGAAGGGATACATTTTTAAAATGCTGAAAGAAAACAATTATCAACACAGAATTCTACACTCAGAGAAAACAGGCTTCAGGAATGAGTGTGAAATAGTCTTAGATGGAAAAAAAAACTAAGAGAATTTATTTAAAAATAAAAGGAATCCTGCAAAAAAATGGGTTTTTAAAAAAAAGAGAGAAAAGAAAAGCTAGTTAAATTTCTTTAATTAGAAGGGAAAGGGTTCCAGAAGGAAACCTAGAACATCAATAATGAAAAAGAACAGAAGGACAGGAGGCCCTCCAGATCAGAGAGTTCCACATCCTCAGAGTCAACCAACCAGGACAGAAAACATTCAGAAACAACCACAAATAAGAAATAACAGTATAACAACAACAACAACAACAACAAAATAAATAATACAGTATAACAACTATTTTCATAGCATTTACAGTGTATGAGGCATTATAAGTAATCTAGAGATGACTGAAAGTCTGCAGGAGGATGTGTGTAGGTTATATGCAAATATGATGCCATTTCATATAAAGCACTTGGGCAGCCTCTAATTATGGTATCCAAATTATGGAACCACCACTTCTTGGAAACCAAGGGACAACTCCAGAAACGATCTGAACAGAGATCAGTGACAAGACCACCCGTGCATAACCACACCTGTGCATACTAAGTCCTGTGGTTAGCCTTGCGGAACCCACATATACAAAAAGTCAGCCCTCCGTATCTATACACAGGTTCTACATCCCGAGAATACTGTGCTTTCGATCTGTTTTGGGTTGAAAAGAAGCCATGTTATAAGTACACTCACACAGTTCAAACCCATGTTGCTCCAGGGCCAACTGTATAATACTATTCATTTCCTCTTGAGTTTCTTAGAATGTGTTTGATGACAGAAAGTCAAATGTGTTGCACTGTCTGAGGAGTTATCAGTGTACATGTATGCAACATAGAAGAGCATGTCAAGAAGGGGACGGAGGGCAAAAGGCCTAAGTGACAGTAGGGTTTCCACATTCCATCTGAAATATGCAAATACAGATTCTAAGTAGATTGTGAGAAGTTTAATACATACATTGTAACCCCCAGAACAACCACTACAAAAACTACGCAAAGAGAACAGTGTAAAAAAAAAGAAAAAGAAAAATGTAATACTAAAAATGTTCAATTTATTAAAAAGAGGAAGAATAGAAATAAAAATAGAACAAATAAAATGGTATACGTAAATCCAAAATATCAATAATTTTATTAAAGGTAAATGATCTAAACATACCATTAAAAGGCAGATTTTTCAGAACAGAGTTTTAAAAACCCCATCTAACTATAAGATCTGCAAGAAACTCATGTCAAATATAATGATACAGGTAGATTAAAAGTAAAAGGATGCAAAAGATACACCACGCAAACATTAACCAAAACAACGTGGCCAGGAGCGGTGGCTCACGCCTGTAATCCCAACACTTTCGAAGACCGAGGCGGGCGGATTGCTTGAGCTCAGGAGTTCGAGACCAGCCTGGCCAACATGGTGAAACCCCATCTCTACAAAAAATACAAAAATTAGCTGTGTGTGGTGGTGTGCACCCGTAGTCCCAGTTACTTGTGGGGCTGAGGCAGGAGGACTGCTTGAGCCCAGGAGCTCAAGGCTGCAGTGAGCCAAAATCATACCACTGCACTCCAGCCTGGGTGACAAAGTGAGACTGTCTCCGAAAAAAGAAAGAAAGCTGGAGCAGCTCTATGAATATAAGGCAAAGGAATACAGAAGGACATTACGAAAGGATAAAAAGGTCAATTCAGCAAGAAGACATCATCATCCTCAATGTATATGCATCAACAGAGCTGCAAAATACAGGAAGCGAAAATAAACAGAAATGAAAAGAGAAATAGACAAATCTAAAAATCACAGCTGGAGACTTCAACAACCTCTCTCTGAGTAATAGAACAAGTATGCAGAAAAATCGGCAATGACAGAGAAGAACTAATACCATCAACAAATTAAATCTGACATTTATAGAACGATCCACCCACCAAAACCAAAATACACACTCTTTCAGGTATACATGGAATAATTCACCAAGAAAGACCATATCCTGGCTCTAAGATAAACCTTAACAAATTTAAAAGCATTGAAACCATATTAAATATGTTCTCTGCCCATAATGGAATTAGACTAAAATTTAATAACAAAAAGATACAATAAAATCTCCAACTCTTGGAAATTAAACAATATACTTATTAAACTATATTAACCAATTATTAGTAATTATTAATTATAACTAATATATTAAACTATACTTGTTAATCTATGCTCCCAAGAGGAAGTCTTACAAAAAACTTTTTGATCTGAATGAAAACGAAAACTCACACATTAAAATTTGCTGGGTGCAGCTAAAGTAGTACATAAAGGGAAATTTATAGCATTAAATTATTAGAAAAGAAGAGGCCAGGTGCAGTGGCTCACGTCTATAATCCCAGCACTTCGGGAAGCCAAGGCAGGCAGATTCACCTGAGCTCAGGAATTCGAGACCAGCCTGGGCAACATGACGAAACAAAAAATACAAAAATTAGCCAGGCACGGTGGTGGGCGCCTGTGGTCCCAGCTACTTCAGGAGGCTGAGGCAGGAGAATCCCTTGAGCCTGGGAGGTGGAGGCTGCAGTGAGCAGAGATCGCACTACTGCACTACTACAGCCTGGGCGACAGAGCGAGACCCAGTCTCAAAAAAAGAGAAAAGAGGCCAGGCGCGGTAGCTCAGGCCTGTAATCCCAGCACTCTGGGAGGCCGAGGTGGGCAGATCATGAGGTCAAGAGATTGAGACCATCCTGGCCAACATGGTGAAACCTCGTCTCTACTAAAAATACAAAAATTAGCCAAGCGCGGTGGCACACGCCTGTAATCCCAGCTATTGAGGAGGTGGAGGCAGGAGAATTGCTTGAACGCGGGAGGCGGAGGTTGCAGTGAGCCGATATCACGCCACTGCCCTCCAACCTGGCGACAGAGTGAGACGTCTCAAAAAAAAAAAAAAAGGAGAAAAGAAGTAAGGTCTCGAATTCTAAGCTTTTCTAGAAAAAGCAAAATAAATTCAAAGCAAGGAGAAGGAAGGAAATAATAAAGACAAAGCAGAAATCAACGAAAGAGAAAAGAAAAAAAAATCC
The DNA here is from genome assembly GCF_000001405.40 of Homo sapiens. Taxonomy (NCBI): domain Eukaryota; kingdom Metazoa; phylum Chordata; class Mammalia; order Primates; family Hominidae; genus Homo; species Homo sapiens. The sequence goes on along the minus strand of NC_000007.14, from coordinate 98,198,068 downwards.
ATGAAAACAAAAGCAATTTTTTGGAAAGATCAACAAATCTACATAATCTCTTCCAAACACTATCAGAGAAGGAAATACTTCCCAACTCATTTTATGAGACCAGCATTAATTACTCTGATAACAAAACCAAAGACAGTGCCAGCAAACAAACAAAACCCAAACCAACCAAAAAAACCTAGGTGGAGCCCTGAATGTTTATTCCTCAAAGCTGGAGAGCAGGAGCCTCTCAGACAGGGTCTCACTCTGCCATCCCGGCTGCAGTGCAGTGACACAATCATAGCTCACTGCACTCTCAAACTCCTGGGTTTAAGCGATCCTCCTGCCTCAGCCTCCTGAGCAGGTGAGACTATAGGTGCGGGCCACCACAACTGGCCAATTTTTTAAAAATCGGTTCTTATTATGCTGCCTAGACCAGTCTCACCTCCTGGCCTTAAGCGATCCTCCTGCCTCAGCTTTCCAAAATGTTAGGATTATGGGAATGAGCTACTGTGCCCAGCCTTCAGTGCTTGTTTACAGTATGACGGATCAGGCTGGAGGGAACCCTGTCGCACTAATTGCAAGTAAGCATCATTACCCGCTACTTTTGTCTCAAGAACACTGTGCACTGAGGAAGGACATCGCAAGTGCTAAAAGTCGAATGCGATGCCAGGCTGCAGATTGTAAAGGTGCATGCAAGAGGTGGCAGGGCTCAGTGGTGAAAAGTTCTGTGCTCGGTCCAGGAGACTTGGGTCAAGCCCTAGCACTGCTACTCACTGGGGCCAGACCCTGTGCAAAGTTTACCTACTCTGAGCCTCAGGGTCCTCTCCATGAAGATGGTGACAACCACCCCCACATGGGGAAGCAAAACAAGACTCAATGTATAATAAAGGTGCTGGCACCCACAGACTGTTCACCAGCCTTTACTACTTTACACGGTAAGTGCTGGTTAAGTATTTGCTGAACTGACAAATAGTAATATAACCAAGAAACAATTGCTGCCCAATCCCATGAACACTCAGTTAAAAGTTTGGAGCCAAGATACTTCAACTGCTTAAAAACTACACAACTTCAAAACCAGCTCATTAAAAAAGAAAGCAGGAGTGGGAGGAAACCCTCAGTCCTCGGCCTGAACGCTTGGTGGCTGTCGCTTCAAGGCATGCTGCATGAGACGCATAAGCAAACGAATTTCAGATCATCAGAAAGATCTTCCTCATTTTCTTCTGGCCCTGACCCACCTTCCGACTTTCTCCTTGACACTAACTTCCTTGTCAAAGCCTCGCGTCCATTAAGCATGTCTGGTATTTGATCTCTGTACCTTCCATCCCATAACTAGAGTGCCCTTGTCACAGATCTTCATCTTTTGCAATTCTGTCTTCTAAAGTCAGAAAAACATAACATCCTCCACAAAGACTTGTGCAAGGGGCCCATACTCTGCGGCCCCAGGGAGTTTTCTCCACAGGCTGCTTCCACTGGGACTGCGTCCCTCTCACTACTCCAGCTACCCCCAGGCTTTCAGGAAGTGGGGACAGCGTGCTCCCTAGCTCCTAACCGCACTGCTCACCGAGCACAGTTGACAGTTCCGTCCCACCTATACATTACCCCATCCATGGAGAAATGCAGCGATAATCCAAGTTCACAGAGACGGTGGAGAAAGGGCTATGTGGATGCATTGAAAACAAAACACAAACCCGAGGGGCCAGGTGATCCCTTCTCCCTTCCACTCTTACTAGAAAACGGCAGCGTGTTTTCTCAGGCTCCCTGAGCTCAGAGGCTCCTGAGTTCGAGATCTGCCTAGGAACCACCTGGGGAATGAAAAGAGAAAGACGGCCTCCTGGCCCCTCGCAGAATCAGGTTCAAGAGGTCAGGCTGAGCTCAGGAGGCTGCTTTTTTTTTTTTTTTTCTGAGACAGGTCTCACTCTGTCACCCAGGCTGGAGTGCAGTGGTGCAATCTTGGCTCACTGCAACCTCTGCCTCCCAGGTTCAAGCAATTCTCATGCCTCAGCCTCCCAAGTAGCTGGGCCTGCAGTCTTGCCTACCGTGACTGGCTAATTTTTATATTTTTAGTAGAGATGGGGTTTCGCCATGTTGCCCAGGCTGGTCTTGAATTCCCGACGTCAGGTGATCCGCCCACCTTGGCCTCCCAAAGTGCTGGGATTACAGGCATAAGCCACCGCGCCTGGCCTTACTTTTCATTTTTTAAACATCCACTTCCCCGCCATATATGCTATAGCTCAAATGCGGGTGATTTAACGATTTTTAAAGAAACATCATAAAAACCAAAGTGAACAGAACACAGAGGAACAAGGCATAAAGTGACGTTCAACAGACGCAGCTCCTGGGGGAGGAGGTGGAACAGTGCTTGGACCCGCCATAGCCACGGACCCATGAGGGATGGTGCCACGCAGGGGCTGAGACCAAGGTCTGGGTTCCCAGAATGGAGCAAAAGGGAGGGCAAGCAATGTGAAGGAGACGGCGAGGACTCCTGCGCCTTCTAGAAGGTGAGGGGACCCCATTTTCATGTCCCACCACTGAGCTCTCCCAACAATCCAGCTGATGCAAGCAGCAAATTCAAGGGCTACAAAGACTAGTATGAAAAGAACTTTTTTTTTTTTTTTAAAGCATGCTTGAATTATCCGCTGTTACATTTTTAAAGGAGCCTAAATCCATGCCCACTCAGCAGTGCACACTAAGCTGCCTGCTCCAAAGCAGGGAAAGAGGACAGGTCAGGGGACAGAGCAGAAGGACCACAGACGCTCCTGCTGTGTGTCACACCCTCCAGACACCCACCGCAGGGCTTCTGGTTGGCCCCTCTCCTGAGCTGTCTCCAGGGCTGCACGCCAGCCATGGTTCCAGGCTTGTACCCAAGTGGTGGGTCCTACTGCCAATTGTCAGGCTCTAAAAATTGGAGGCCAAGCGCAGTGGCTCATGCCTGTAATCCCAAAACTTTGAGAGGCTGAGGTGGGAGGATGGCTTGAGCCCAGGAGTTTGAGAGCAGCCTAGGCAACATAGCAAGACCGTGTGTCTACAAAAATTAAAAACAAAACAAAACAAAAAAAACACCAAAACCTTAGCCAGCCATGGTGGCATGAACCTGTGGGCCCAGCTATTATGGAAGGTGGGAGGATCACTTGAGCCCAGGAGTTCAAGGCTGCAGTGAGCTGCAACTGTACCACTGCATTCCAGCCTGGGCCACAGAGCAAGGCTGTCTCAAAAGAAAAATAAAAAAGTAAAACAGTAAAAATTTGGTGTGTAAAGGGTGACTAATTCAGGAAGACTCCATTAGAAGACCCAGGAAGAGCATTCGGGTCTCTTTCTCTTAATTTAATACGAACTCCCTGAGCAAATGACATTTCTGCATATTCTTAGAACTCTAACCAACCCCAAATTACTTTTTGTGAGTAATCACAATCTGCTGCCTCAAAATGGCAACTAGAAAACAGACCACACTCAATTTCCTAGCACATTTTGGAATCCTTATATGGATGTGTATAGAAAATGATTTAGAGGGAACAGATACCTGGTCAAACAGGTAGACTGTGACATCATCGAAAAACGTGACTGCCTTCTTTTCCTTCTTCCAGTCCTCGGGCAGTGGGTCGGGGGCATTGGCCGCTGTGGGCTTCAACAGACTCCGCAGGTGCCTTCCGTCCTCGTTGCTGAGGATGATGGGCACGGGGTGCTCGGTCTCGTCCTCCGACTCGGAGCTGAGGCTATGCAGGTTGAAGGCCCGCAGGTCCTCGTCCGAGTCGTCGCTGTTTTCGTCCTCCTCGTCTGCATCCATCCCGTCCTCTGAGAGGTCGAGCATCCCTGACACCCCGAGTTTCCCCAGGTACTTCCCTTCGATGTCCGGCTCCTTCAACTTCGGGCCCTCGGAGTGGCTGGACAGGGACTTGTCCAGCGCAGAATTGGTGTAGGCAAGGAGTTCGTTCGTGTTGGTCCCCGTGGAAGCGAGGGTGCAGGGGCGATCGTCCTGTGTCTCGAAGTCATCGCCGCTGCTAAGTTCTGCATTCAGCACACTCCAGGGACTGCTGGCCTCGTCTTCCGTGGGATGCACCTGCTGGGGAACACCAGTCTGTGCTGGCTCCGGCGTGGCTCTTAATTCCAGGTCACTGGAGTTGTGCAAAGCAGACAGACAACTTTCATCTGGCTGGCTCTTTCTGGCTTCCAGGCAGCTATCCTGGGCAGCAGGACTTTGCTCGGGGAGGACTGGCTCGGGTAGGGGCTGCTCCTGTACCAACACCAAGGCGGATGGGGAGGTTCCCGGGACCTCCTCAGACCTTTTCTCGGGCTCAGAGTCATTGTCTGAGAAGTACGCAGAGTCTCGGTATGAACCCTGGGAGCCAGCTGTGAACGTCTCAGGGGTCACTTCTGTGCCTCTGTGACCATCGCCGGCATCTGAGATGACAATGACCGGGTTGGGAGGCAGACCGCTGTGGCCGCCATCGCCCGTGGTGGCTGGTTCTGAGTCTGCGGTGCCCTCGGGAGCGGGATGCAAGGTCCACTCGGGAGACTCCAAGTTCTCTGTTTCGTAGCCACTGTCTGCCGGCTTATCGGGGGGCACTAGTTTCTGGGGAGTGTGAGATCCTAAAGAGTCCAGTAGCGCTTCGTGGACATCCACTGACTCCAGAGAGTCCGGGGTTTCCAGGGACGGCTCAGAGGCTGGGAAGGGTGCTGACAAGCTGTCCTCCAGGAGGCTGTCCTGACTGGTTGAGTCCGAGGAGAGGGCAGACACCAAGCCTGCTTCTTTTGCTGCGTCTTTAGAATTGAGCTGATTTAAAGTCTCCACAGCCTCTAAGTTTTTCTCTAGCCGGCGATGACTGTGATGGTCTTCCGAAAATGGTTTATTGTGCAATTCCTGTCCCAGTTCCGGGAGACTACTCCCTACACTCACCCTGCTGGCAAGGATGTCATCAGCAAGAACAGAGTCACTTTCGGTGAGTCGCAGGGTCTCCTCACTCTCGCCAGGAGAGTCCTGGGACCTGTTATCCAGGCTGTGGGTTCTGGCATCAGTTGAGAGAATTTCAACCGGGACAGTCACAGCGTCTGGACTGATGTCCTGGTGGAGACAGTCCTCCGGGACAATAACATCTAAACACGTGGGCTGGGTTTCTCCCTGTGTTGGGAGTGAGTCTGGGGGTACCCGACGGGGCGTTTCTTCTGTTTCGAAGGAGGTAGGAGGTACCTGCACTTCCGGGGAAGACTGCAATGAGGTGCTCAAAGTGTCACCTGTGAGCATGACATCTGTATCGTCACCCTTTGTGCTTACGTTTTCCTGCAACAAAGACAAGCCTGGCTTATTTTCAGCAAACTGAAGCTCAGTATCTAAAGAGTTTCTACATGACGTTTCTAACATAGCTTCAGTAAAACCAGCATTCTTAAGTTCTGTCTGAAGATCATTTATGTGTTCTTTGCTGGACAATGAGCCTTTTAGTAAGTTTTTCTCTTGAAGAAATAAAAAGTTTTCTGACAATTCTTGAACATTCAATGGATCAAAATTATCTTGGTGCATAAGATTATCTGATAGGCAGAGAGGCTCACTGTCAAAAATCTTACGGGGCTTTTCTTTCTCAAAGTGGCCTGTTATGACTGACTCTTTGGGGTTATCCAAACTGGAACTTAAAGTGGCAGGTTTAAAGTCGGCTTGAACTCCGTTTAATTCCATTAAGTCGAATATTTTTTGGTGACTGGGCAAATCTTCCGATTTGTCCACATCATTAAATATATTGTTGAAAGGGCTCTCGGGGCCACTGGTCACGTGTAAGTCCCCTGGTAAGCTAGAGTCTTTGGGGTCTGTACTGCTTTGGAAGAAGTCCTCATCTGTACTGGACTCCTCAAGTTCAACGCTCCTGAGCGCCGTGAGCTGGGACAGTTCAGGGCCAGTCCTTTCTGGATTATCCATGTCGGTTGTGAGCAGCGCTGGTGGGTAATCAAGCTCCAAGTTACTACCACTTTTTTCTTCTAACTGGATATAATAGTCGCTTCCAACAGAAAGGTTGTGGGCATCAAAAACAGGAACCACTCCAGGGACCCTCAGGGGGACATCCTGGCCGCTGTCATCTTGCTTTCCGGGCCCAGGATCTGAAAGCGAACTCTCAAAAACTTCAACCGGATAGAAGATGCTCGTGTAGGACAAGCCTTCGTCCAGGTGGCCCCGGCTGCGCTCGTCAAAGTGGTCGTGCTTAGCGGCCTCCCAGACATACTCGAAGCTCAGGCCCTGGCTGGTTTCGGTCACGGTGAGGACTTCCTCCATTTCACGACCCAGCCGGTCCCTGGCAAAGTGGTCGAGAATTGGGAATGCAGCATTGTTGGAGGAGTCTCTGCTGTTTGTGTTCGGCTTCAGAGCGTTCCACTGCTGTTCAAAGTCGACCTCTGAGTCCCGCTGGCTCTGCAGCCGCAGGTAAGTCAGCAGCCTGTGCACATCTTCAGCCGCGGGTCTCTTTTCTGGTGACAGCCAACAGAACTGTAAGACTTCATACCTGAGCAGCACACGACAAGCAATCAGTGGAACCATCACGAATTTTTTTTTTTTTTTTGGTTCGAGACGGAGTCTTGCTCTGTCACCCAGTCTGGAGTGCAGTGGCATGATCCCGGCTCACTGCAACCTCTGCCTCCTGGGTTCAAGCAATTCTCTTGCCTCAGCCTCCCGAGCAGCTGGGATTACAGGCGCCCGCTGCCGCGCCCAGCTAATTTTTGTATTTTTAGTACAGACGGGGTTTCACCATGTTGGCCAGGCTGGTCTTGAACTCCTCACCTCGTGATCTGCCCACCTCAGCCTCCCAAAGTGCTGGGATTACAGGGATGAGCCATTGTGCCTGGCCGAATCAGTTAAAAATATCAAAAGAGGCCAGGCACCCTGGCTCACACTTGTAATCCTGGGGCAATGGGAGGCTGAAGTGGGAGGATCACTTGAGCCAGGAGTTCAAGAACAGCCTGGGCAACATACTGAGACCCTGTCTCTACATTTTTTTTTAAATAAAAATAAATAAATAAACAATATGAAAAGAATTTACAAGGACCCTAAAGCCAACTCAACACCCGAAACATTTCTACACCTTCATCACTGCCAACCACATTAAGTAGTTCAGCTCATGGTGACATCATGGTGAAAGAGGAAATGAAGAAACATAATATTTGGCCCACGAATTTTTTTGTGTTTTGGGGACACCTCACAGTGAAGACGAAACAGAACAGGCGGAATGTGAGGCTACCAACCATCTATCAGAGTAGGGCTGCTCCAGCTGGGGCTTCGGGAGTTTTGTGTCTCTCTCTCTAATGACTTGGTTGAGGACATCTAAGTTGGAAAGGTTTGAATACGGCTGTGCGGCATTGTCAAAAAGCTCCCAAAGTGTCACACCCAGAGACCTGTTGGAAAAAGAAAATGGCTGTTTCTCTCTCCCTTTAGATGTCAAATTTTTAACACTCATACTTGTTACATAGCCAGTAATTTTAAGGACAAGGTGTGTATTGAAAAGATTATTAATAGGATCTTTGTTGTTGTTGTTGTTGTTTTAAGACAGAGTCTCACTGTCGCCCAGGCTGGAGTGCAATGGTGTGATCTCCACTCACTGCAACCTCTGCCTCCCGGGTTCAAGTGATTCTCCTGCCTCAGCCTCCCAAGTAACTGGGATTACAGGCACAAGCCATCATGCCCTGCCAATTTTTATAATTTTAGTAGAGATAGGGTTTCACCACGTTGGCCAGGCTGCTCTCAAAGTCCTGACCTCAGGTGATCCACCTGCCTTGGCCTTCCAAAGTGCTGAGATTACAGGCGTGAGCCACCACAACCAGCCAAGATTGTTCTTTAATCTGAAACCAATAATCAACAGCACAATAGCAAAAAAAGAGGCATTTCTGTTAAAATGAGGAAGACCATGCCTCCTATTTGCTACTGAATACCACCCTAGAAGTTTTGGCCAATGAAAAAAGTACAAAACAGAGATAATAGGTGTAATTATGTGGATGAGATGACTATCAACTTTTAAGTACTCAATAAATTATTGGAAAGACCATCAGAATGTTCTAAAAATTTGGCAGAATTGCTGGAAACAAGATAAATACCCTGAATTCTGATTTTTTTTTTTTGGTAGAAAAATACACCTATTAACAACATTAGTAAACACCAGAAACCATCTAAAAGGAATCTTTACATGGGCAAGACGATATCCTCTCTGTGAGACCCACAAGTTTGGTTTGAGTTACTCCTCAGTATCGTGGGTTTTGCTGCTATTCTGAAGGGATCCCCCATCACGCTGGCAGCTGTGTGCCAGGAGAGACCCTGAGGGCTGCCTCACCACAGCAGGAACGCCCTTCTCAGTCCCAGCCCAATCCTCTCTCACACTGCGGTGCTCTGTCCCCATGGAAACAGCCTCTGCTGGCTTCCTGGGTCAGAGGAGCTGCCTCTCATTTCCTCCACGAGGTCTCTGCATTTCCTCCCCACCACGCACTGCCTCCATCCCGCATTTGTGTCTATTTACTGCAATGTTCCCGAACGTGACTCTCATCTGTGTCCTCTGGGAAGCCGTGAACACACACACTGCTAGGTCAGATCCACCCCTAAAGGATGCTTAGTTGGTAGATCCAGGTGTGGCCTAGAAAACTCACGTTTTAAAAAGTTCCCCAGTGATTCTGATGTCCAGCTAACCCTCCACGACACGCCCCAAACAACAAAGAAGCAACTACATTTTGACAAAAATCACTAAAGGAGAGCACCAGAGCCCATCAAAGGAGTAACAGGTACTCAGGAGATTCAGGACAGCCACAGCGAGAGCGGAAGGAAACGCCTGGCCTCCACCACCCCATCCCTGGCAGGCGCAGCCAGGAACCAGGAGCAACTTTCTCTTCCAGGTAAGGGCAAGTAAGAGGATCTCACTGTGGACCCCTACATCCTCACACTGCTCACCGTGGACACTACAGTCCTCACACTGGGGTCGCCTGGGGTCCTCACAGGCAGTAAGCCCAGCTGAAGAATTCAATAAATGAAATAAAAAGAAATACAGAACTTCAACAACAGACTCAAGCAGAAGAACCTCTCAACTTGAAGAAAGGTTGTTTGAAATCACCCAGTCAGAGGGAAAAAGACAGAAGAATGAAAAGGAGTGAAGGGAGGCTTCAGGGCTTATGGGAGACTACAGTGCAAACAAATACACACATTATGGGAGTTACAGAAATAAAAGAGCTAGGAGAAGGCAGAGAAAGGCTATTTAAGGAAAGAACAGCTTAAAAACTTCCCAAGTCTTGGGAGAGATACAGACATCCAGATCCAGGAAGCTCAAAGGTCCTTAAAATACAATCAACCCCAAAAGGTCATTTCAGAGGCACATTATAGTCAAATTGTCAAAAGCCAAAGACAAAGATAAAAATTCTAAAAACAGCCAGAGAAAAGCATTAAGTCACATAGGAGGGAAGCAGAGAATAGGATGGTATACTCAAAGTACTGAAATTGGCAGCCAAGAACACTATGCCCTGCAAAGATATCCTTCGGAAATGAAGGAGGGTTGGGCGCGATGGCTCATGACTATAATCCCAGCACTCTAGGAGACTAAGGCATGAGGATTGCTTGGGGCCAGGAGTTCAAGACCAGCCTGGGCAACACAGCATGACCTCGTCTCTACTAAAAAAATATATATAATAATAACTTTTTTTAAAAAATGGAGAAATAAAGTCTTTCCCAGATAAGCAAAAACTGAAGGAATTCATCATTATGAGACATGCCTTAAGAGAAATGGTCCAGGAGTCCTGTATCTGGAAGCTAAAGGAGGATAACCATCAACATGAAAAAACACAGAAGTATCAGACTCACGATACACTAGGTAGAGCAGATACACAAGGGGGAAAGAAAAAGGAAGAAAACCTCATCACTCGTGGAAGATAAAAAGGTTGATCTCATAGAAGTAGAGAGTAGAAGAGTGATTACTTGAGGCAGGGAAGGGGAGGGAGAGGAGGAATAGTGAGAAGCTGACTAACGAATACAAAATTTCGGCTGGGAAGGAGGAATAAGATCTAGTGTTCTAAAGCACTGAAGGGTGACTATAATTAACAACAAATTTTTGTATATTTTCAAACAGCTCTAAGAGCGGCTTTTGAATGTTCCCAAAAACAAAAAGAAAAAATGATACATGTCTGGAGTGAAGGGGATACTAGTTACCCTGATTTGATCATCACACACTGTATATAGGTATCAAAATATTACACTGGGCCAGGTGCGGTGGCTCACGCCTGTAATCCCAGTACTTTGGGAGGACGAGGCAGGCGGATCACTTGAGTTCAGGAGTTCGAGACCAGCCATGGCAAAACTCCATCTCTACTAAAAGTACAAAAATGGTGTGGTAGTACATATTGGTAATCCCAATTACTCGGGAGGCTGAGGCACAAGAATTACTTGAACCAGGGAGGTGGACACTGCAGTGAGCCGTGAGCCGAGACTACACCACTGTACTCCAGCCTGGGCGACAGTGAGACTCTATCTCAAAACAACAACAACAACAACAACAACAAAAACATATATATATATCACTGTACCCCATAAATATGTCCAATTATATGCATCAATGAAAAAAATAATAAAAGCAAAAAAATTGTTTTAAAGAAATCAATCCAAAAGAAAGCAAGGAGAGAAAAAAAAAAGCAGGACAACAGCACATAAAACATAGCTATAAATTAAGAAGGCTGTGACAGAAATTGTTAGTCAAAGTTTTAGGTGCATCTTTTTAGCTCCCATTAAACTGACTCCTATAAATCATAGTATAAACATGATAGTCCACACCCCTTTCAGTTTCTTCTTTCACTTCAATAAATACATATTAAATATCTATTACATGTCAGGCCCTGTGGGAGGCACAGAATATGAAACAGACTTGGTTCCTGCTTTTCTAAAGGAAAATGGGTAGCAGGGGCAGTATTCAAAACGTTAACTCCATCACCACAATTGTGATAATTACTATTTGTGTCTTTTAAACTGTCTTTTTCACACCATCAGATACTCTTTTGTTCCTACATCTTATACAACTACTTTCCTTTAAGGAAGTACTCAAAGAGGAAGAAGTTAGGACTTTGCCAAAGAAATGACTAATAAAACGGTAAGCCAATACGTACCAGATATTACTATACTTAGTCTGATCTGCAGTTAGCAGTCTGTCTTGAAAGCTGGTTACTAATTCTGGAGCAGTCCATCGCAGAGGGAAAACTTTTTTATCATCTGTTTCAATATAATCCTCCTGTTTTGTTAGAAAGCACACAGAATTTTGAATAGAATTATACTTTTGGTGAGTTCAAGAATTTAAATCCATGGTATTCTCAGAAAACATATACCCAATCCAAAAACCAGGTCAGAAAAAAAAGCAGGCATGAAGAGTGACTTTCTGGGCAGAAAGTGGGTAAGGAGTTTTGCTGAAGCCTCCTGGGCTTCATGACCTCATCTGCGAGCCATGAACGCTTGCTAAGTCATCCTTCTTGGATAAGAAAGTACGCTGTGTCTGATGCATATAACATAGACTCTGAGCAAAACACTAAAACAATATATACTGGGACTTATGCGCTGAACAGTGAAGCCAGTTAGGGAGCAAGACTGTAGGCTTTAGACTCTGACAGACCGGGGTTTGAAGTCCTCATTCTACCATTTACCAGCTATGTGATTCTACGCAAGCAACAACTTTGTGAAGTTTTTTCCTGATCTGTGAAGTGAGGAGAACACAAACCTCCCCTCTGCGGTGAGGATTAAATGAGATGATGCAGGCCGGGCTCGGTGGCTCACGCCTGCAATCCCAGCACTTTGGAAGGCTGAGGTGGGCGGATCACAAAGTCAGGAGTTCGAGACCAGCCTGGCCAACAGGGTGAAACCCGTCTCCACTAAAAATACAAAAATTAGCTGGGCGTGGTGGAGGGACCCTGTAGTCCCAGTTACTCGGAAGGCTAAGGCAGGAGAATCGCTTGAACCCGGGAGGCGGAGGTTGCAGTGAGCCGAGATCGCGCCACTGCACTCCAGCCAGGGTGACAGCGAGACCCCATCTCAAAAAAAGAAAAAAAAAAAAAAGAGATGATGCAGGATACAGGCAGGTGCTAAGTGCCTGACATCTAGCAAGTGCTCGAGACACTAGAGCTACTATGTAGACAAATAACCAATTTCTATTTGCATAATATTTTTTGAAAATATTACCCGTTTGGTCCTCACAAGAACTCCGAAAAACAGAACAGATCTTATCCGTATGTTGCTGCTCAGAAAGCGGAGGTCAAGGCTGGGTGGGGTGACTCACACCTGTAATCCTAGTACTCTGGGAGGCCAAGGCAGGCAAGTTGCTTGAACCCAGGAGTTTAAGAACAGCCTGGGCAATATAGCAAGACTCCGTTTAAAAAAAAAAAAAAGAAAGGAAAAGAAAATGGAGGTCAAGTGGCTTATCCGAGGTCTCCTGACAGCCCGGAGCTGGGACAGTCCCATTCTCTGCCCCAGAACGCTCTACCTCATTCACTGGGGCTACACAGACACACACAAATGGAAACTTCATTGACTTCTTCACTTATTTCCTTTAGAATATATTCATGACAGAGTTAAAAAAACCTAGATCCCCAGGTTACTGAACATGAGCTGAAATTTTACTGACCACGTAATGGAGAAACATTTATATGATATGTATATTTTATCATAACAGGTAATAATAACTACTGTTGCTCATGTGTTCACTCTAAAATTTATTATGCACCATCAGACTACATCATTTACAGTGTTTATAAATATTTTTAAACGAAACTTTTGGAAAGCTGTTGCAAAACCTCGGATGCAAAGCCGCAGACTTACACAAGCCACACGCCAGAAGCCTAGACCACATTAAAATGACTGCTGCAAATCCCTCTCCAGAAAGCCTAGCGACTAAGATTCTTATACAAACAGTGGGGCATTTGGTGACATTACAACTTCACAATTCAAATTAAATCAGACTGAAAACATTTAAACCTCTGGCTTACCTTGTACCTGCTGAATCCTATTCCGTAATCTCCCACTTTCACATTTAAGTCGGAGGTGAGAAAACAATTCCGCAGGGCTAAATCACTGAAAACAGAGGGAAGTGAACATGGCAAGAAGAATCAACAACCAGGATCATGCTGTATGGAAATGCCACAGAAATGGGCTTTCTCTCGGGATCCGAGTAAGTATATTGAGCTCTCTGCTTAAGAATTAACCTCTCAAAATTCTTTTTCATAGTAGAAGTATTACATATGTCATCAATCACTTAAATAATAAAGATGATCACACTTTTAGGCAAGTAACTAGCTCAGGTTAAATACTGACCATATCTGTACCACGTTCTACATTAAAACCGGATGTATGGCTTGTTTCCTTGTATTTTCTTTTCTTTTCTTTTTTTTTCTCATTCAATTTAGAAGTTTATTTTGCCAAGGTTAAGGACGTGCCTGTGACACAGCCTCAGGAGGTCCTGACGACATGTGTCCAAGGTGGTCAGGCTACAGTTCAATTTTATACATTTTAGGAAGACATAAGACATCAATCAACACATGTAAGATGTACAATGGCTCAGTCAAAAAAGGCAGAACAACTCAAACACTCTAAGTGGAGGCTTTCAGCTCATAGGTATGTTAGAGTAGGTAGTTAGGCAGATATGGACAGGGCAGGAGAGCACCCCCACACACATACCCCCAACCCGTTGCCCCCAGGACTGTCAGGCGACAATAAAGTGATGGTCAGGTGGTTGTTAAACTGTCTCTCTAAAATGATAAGTGGTCACAGCCAGCACCAGGAAAAGACAGTCTCCTAACAGACAGAAAACACTCGGAACTGGTGTTATCCTCTTCTCAAAGACCTCAAACAGGCACACTAAGAGGCAAAATGGCCTCTTATACGACCTCCCACTGGGAACGCTCGACAGGTTAAGGAAAAAACTCCTCAAGTGAACACGTGCACAACTTCAGCAAACCCCAGAACCATAACAATGTACAAAACCCCAAGTCAAGGGTTGAACAGGGCACTTGGATCTTGCAAGTCACCCGCTTGGCCCTTCTAAGTGTACTGCTTCCTTTCACTCCTGCTCTAAAACTTTCAAACAAATTCTCACTCCTGTTCTTAAAACTTGCCTCAGTCTCTCCCTCTGCCTGAAACCAACTACTGCCTCTCAGCAAAATTCTTTCCTCCAAGGAGGCAAGAATCAAGTTGTTGCAGACCCAGATAGATTCACCACTGCTAACAGGTGGATTCAAAGATTTTCCGATTAGCAACCTGTCAAACTAGTTTACCTAAAGACCAGAAACCCACTTGGGCATGGTGGCTCACACCTGTAATCCCAGCATCTTGGGAGGCTAAGGCAGGCGGATCACTCGAGGCTAGGAGTTCAAGACCAGCCTGGCCAACACGGCAAAATCCTGTTTCTACTGAAAATACAAAAAAGCTGGAGTGAGGCCAGATCATGGTGGATCACACTTGTAATCCCAGTACTCTGGGAGGCTGAGGCAGGTGGAACACATGAGGTCATAAGTTCAAGACCAGCCTGGCCAACATGGTGAAATCCCATCTCTATTAAAAATACAAAAAAATTAACCAGGCATGGTGGTGCATGCCTGTAATCCCAGCCACTCAGGAGACTGAGGCACGAGAATCATGTGACCCCCAGAGGCGGAGGCTGCAATAAGCCGAGATCGCACTACTGCAATCCAGCCTGGGTACTCAAAAAATAAAAAATAAAAATAAATAAAAAATACACACCTGAAATTCCATATAAGGGAGTGTCTGGGTTAAGATAAGGGGTTGTAGAGACCATGGTTCTTATTATGCAGATGAAGACTCCAGGTAGCAGGCTTCAGAAAGAATAGATTGTAAATGTTTCTTATGAGACTTAAAATGATGAAAGACTCAAATAATTCTCTCCAGGATCAGAGAAAAGACCTAGAAAGGGAAAGGCATTCTCTACAGAATGTAAGATTTTGCCTCTAAGAGACAGTTTTGCAGGGCCATTTTTAAATATGTCAAAGGAATATATTTGGGGGCAAAATACTTCAATTTCTTACAGGGCCTGCTATCTGTCATGTGATGCTTTACTTTAGTCAGGCTGGAATATGGTGTCTTATTGCTACAAAAAGTCGTAAGATCTCTGTTTTAATGTTAATGCTGGTCAGTTGTGCCTGAATTCCAAAGGGAGAGTATAATGGGGAATCTGATCGCCCCCTCCCCATCATGTCCTGAACTGTGAGATGTCCTTGGCTGAGAGGATGAGTTCATTCAGACAATTGGAAAGCTTAAAGTTTTATTTTTAGTTTACATTTCTTCCATATTTCAGCTATTGTGAATGATGCTGGTATGAACATGGGTGTACAAATTATCTCTTTAAGACCCTGTTTTCAACCATTTTGGGGATATGCCCATAAGTGGCATCACTGCATCACATGGAAATTCTATTTTCAATATTTATGAGGAGCCACCATACTGCTTCCCACTGTGACTATACCATTTTACCTTCCCACCAACAGAGCACAAGGGTTCCAATTTTTCCACGTCCTCACCAAAACATATTATTGTTTGATGTTGATAGTAGCCATCCTAATGGGTGTAAGGTGGTATTTCATTATGGGAAATTGACTTGGATTTTCCTAATGATCACTGATGCTGGGCATCTTTTGGTGTACCTATTGCCATTTGTATATTTCCTTTGGAGAAGGAAATACACACTTTCCTTCATTTTCTAATCAAGCTGTTTGTTTTGTTGTTGAGTTGCACGAATTCTCCATATATGCTTTATATAACCCTTTTCAGATATATAATTTGCAAATACTTTCTCCATTTGGTGGTTATCTTTTCACCCTATTGATAGTGTCTTTTGATTAACAAAGTTTAAACATTTTCATGTAGTCTTCTATGTTGTTGTTGCTTGTGCCTTTGATGTCATACCCAATAAATAACTGCTGAATAAATCACTGTCATAAAGTTTTTTCCTTATTTTCTTCTAAGACTTTTATAGTTTTGCATCTTACATTTAGGTCTTTGATCCATTTTGAGTTAATTTTTGTATATGGTGTTAGTTAAGGGTTCAACTTCATTTTTTGCATGTGGATATCCCATTTTCCCAGCAGCATTTGTTGAAAACACTATCCTTTCTCCATTGAATAGTCCTGGTACTCTTGTTAAAAATCATTTGACCGGCTGGGTGCAGTGGCTCACAACTGTAATCCCAGCACTTTGGGAGGCCAAGGCAGGCAGATCACAAGGTCAAGAGATGGAGACCTTCCTGGCCAACATGGTGAAACCCAATCTCTACTAAAAATACAAAAATTAGCCGGGCATGATGGTGGGTGCCTGTAATTCCAGCTACTGGGGAGGCTGAGGCAGGAGAATCGCTTGAACCCAGGAGGCGGAGGTTGCAGTGAGCTGAGATCGTGCCACTGCACTCCAGCCTGGCAACAGAGCGAGGCTCCATCTCAAGAAAAAAGAAAAAAGAAAAAAATCATTTGACCATATATATGAAGTTTTATTTCTGGGCTCTCTCTTCTATTTCATTGGTCTATATGTCTTCCTTATGCTAGTACAACACTGTTTTGATTACTGTAGCTTTGTAGTAAGTTTTAAAATCAGAAAAGGTGAGTCTTCTAGCTTTGTTCTTCTGTTTCAAGACTGTATTGTATTGAGTATTTGAGGTCCCTTCAGAATCCATATGAATTTTAGGATATGCTTTTCTATATCTGTAATCCCAGCTACCTGGGAGGCCTAGGAGGGAGGATCCCTTGAGTCCTTGAGATGGAGGCTACAATGGGCTATGATTGCACCACTATTCCAGCCTGGATGGCAGGGTGAGAGCCCATCTCTTTGGGGAGAACTTTACCGGTCCACAAATCTAGTTGACATGTGAAAATGCATGTTCTTGTTATAGATCATAAATGACTTAGGCTCAGTACAATAGAGTTCTCCAAACACAAGTCTTGGTTTGCAAACAGAAGTTGAAGAGGAATCAAGAAACACAAGCTAAGTTCTCCCTCAACTGAGCTGCTGGAAAAACAGCATCTCCAGATTTTCTTTCAGGCTTTGAGAATTTTTCTCCCATTCCACACTTTTATCTTGATACTGATATCACTGTGGCGCAGAAGGGCTCCGCAGAAGGGCTCCCCAGCTCCTATTCCCTGAATCCTCCTCCTCCTCCCCTCCTCTTTCTCTCTCTCTCTCCCTCAGTCTGCCGGGCGCTCACGGAACCGGAACCAGCTGGGCCCGGCCCGACCTGAAAGAGTGTTTCCTTGTATTTTCAGAGTGACTAAGAAGGAACTCTAAAATGCTATTAGCAAAATTGGTGAATTTTTTTTACAGCTTGTATTACTTGAGTAATAGTCTAGTAATAGTCTGTTATAAGTAAATATTAATATAATTTATAACTTCAAGCACCCAAAAATAATCCACATTATTAAAAATGTTTATTTTTCCCCTTTCTCAAAGATATGCAAGCGTTGTAGTCAGGCCCTTTCCAAATTACTTTCATGACTTCCAAACTCTCTACTTCTCCACAAGGGAGGTAAAGAGCATATTTCAAGACACAGAACAATTATAGAATTTATTTTAAGAAACAGTTAATTTTCAAAAACACACAATTTGACAAGTAAAAACTACTTTTTCTAAAGGAACTTTCCACACAGACAACAGATTAAGTTTTTTGGCTTTTGGCTTTAACCCTTAGAGTCTTTATAATCACCAACTGGTATACGAATAAAAAAGCCATTAAATTAAAATAGAAAAGGAGGCCTAATTTATAGTTTTAAGTTGTAAACTGAAGATATCAAAGCTGAATTTCCATAGTGCAAAATGTATGTCTTTACAGAAAGGCAAAAGACCAAAAACTTAAACTATCACATTCATATTTTCAAAGATTTTAATTTCCAAAGCTCACATGTCTGAAATACAAGGATAATGGAGATGATGACAGCAACGGCTAACACCGATATAATTCGGTAACAGCTTGATACATAACATTGATTCAATAACATAATCATGGCTAATATTCAAAAAATACTTACTTCACAAGAGGCATTTTATGTTTTCTCTAAGTGTTTAATCTTCACCACAAACCTGTGAGGTGGGTACTATTATTTTCCTCATTAACAAATATGGACACTGAGGCAGAGAATTGAAGTGACTTCGCTAGGGCCACAAAGCTAGCAAGGTAGTGTTCGGTAATATGTTTGTGTTTTCACCGTCAATAACTCTCAACGATGATGCAGTGACACTTGGAGCTGCTGTTCCAAGCACGCAGCTGGTCCTCAATGTGGATTCCAGTTAGCTACCTCACATCACTTGCCACACTCTTTGTGCTTACAAGTGATTTTCTGCACTCCATCCAGAAGCCTTCAGGCCTGCTGAACTGCCTGGGAAAAACCTTGGGACACCTGTGACTCCACTGTTATGAACAACAAAGAATCTTCTAATTGTAAGAAGAATGTTGGTCCCCATTTCTTGGAATTAAGCAAGGGAGAGAGGGAGGGAGGGAGAAAGGGAGGGAGGGAGAAAGGGAGGGAGGGAGAGAGGGAAGGAGGGAGAGAGGGAGGAGGAACATGCCATATGAGGACAGAAAAGTGAAAATGCTTTAAGTAAGGCTGCTCTATCCACTGGGCCAACAGCTGCGACTGCAGAGATACAGGTTTTGCCAACAGAGGCTCCGTCACTGGGCACCACCAACGACCACCTCTAGGGTCTATAAACAGACCCTGTGAACCTTCCCGACATCTCCCTCCTGAGACCAGAACAAGGAGCTGGATGCCAGCATCCCAACAAGGGCAAGCACGCATCCTGCTAGGCCAGGGGCAGCAGCCTGAGGCTAGCTTGGGCGATGTCGAGCTCAGGCATTTCCTGGATGGCAGGATGACTGTCCCAGTCCCTCCCTCCTCTTCTCTCTCCATACTAACATTCCACGTAGGTCTTTGGATACTTGAAATGCAAAGGCTTGGTAAAAGATGAACAATTACGCCTGCAGAAGGTCCTTGGCTCTCATTATAAAACTCGAAAGCAAGCAACTGGTGTTCCCAGGGGAAAAGGCAATGCTTCTCATGACCTGAAACCCAGAGGTGGTGAGGAAGCAAACAGTGGCAGGACTGGGTCCTGCCCCACTCCTCCCCAAGTGCCCAGGCTCCACAATGCAGTGGGAGGGAGCCCTGGGCAGTCAGGAGGCCAGGAGCTCATCTCAGTTCCACTGCTGCAAGACCATGTGATGCTGGGCTGGTCACATGCATAGCAGAGGAGCCTCAGTTTCCTCACGAAACAACAGGTTGCACTTGAAATGGTTAACTCACAAGGCTGTTGCAAGGGTAACACTGAAAAATACATGAAATGTTTTGAAAACATAAAAGTGCTGTACAGATTCAAAGTAATGATACAATTTGGGCCAAAGTTGGTAAAAATAAATATTATCTGAAGCCCAATAACGTGCAAAGCTAAAGAAAAACACACAGGTGTCACTTCTTAACAACAGAGGGAACTCTTGACGTCAATGGCTGCTTTTGTCAGGAAATGCAAACACACAGCCAGTCTGCTCTCCCTTCAAGTTGAAAAACAGGTCCAGGGATGAGGCTACCAGTGGCACCAGCCCCGCCCGGCTCTCAGAAGGCTCTGGCAGCGTCGCCTGAGCTTGGCAGCACTTGCTGTGACTGAGACCACAGTAACCATGAGACTCAGGGCCGCATGAGCAGAGCGATCGACAGAAAGTGGGAGCTCGCGGTTCTGAAGGGTTCCCACCCCGATTCACAAGGAAGTACCACTGCTTGCTGCTCACTCACGCTAGGACTAGTTTGCGCGTCTTCGGGGTTCTCCAATGCAAACTCAACACGCAGGAGGCATTTTCAAAATAATCCACACCTCTATTATGTGAACTACTTATGCTTTCCCGAGTAATCTGGATTCCTGATAAGAAGAGTTCACAGACAGGAAGCAAAATACCGGAAAGTTACTGAATATTCTTCTAGCAGCTTGGCATACTTTATCTCCATCTTGACAACAGCACTCCAGGGCTTTAAAGACGATCCCCATTTTATAGAAGAGATAGAGCTCCGAAGGATGAAATAACCAGGCTTATACTGGTAAAGCTGATGAGAGGTGAATGAAAACTTCAATTCCAAAGCCTCCCTCTGCTCGTCACGTCATTCTGACTCTGGCAGCCACAAAGACTTAAGCTTCCGAAGGGACTCTGCACTTAACACTCTAAGATGGGATGGAGACGTACCAGGAGAGGATTAAAACAAGAGGATTCCGATAAAGCACACAGAGGCAACTTTATACTAGAGTTTTGACAGTGTTTGCCCTGCTTATTAGGTCAGTCTTTGCTAGCTGGGCAATGGTACATTTACTGAGTGCCTGCTGTGTGTATCTCAGGCACCTGCTAGGATTTGGGTACACAGAGTTCTTCCACAGGGTGTGAAATTCTTATTACACCCTAGGGAAAACGCCTCTGGCTGGAATAGGGTCCACCACTGATGGTGCATATGTATAGTCCCAGCTACCTGCGAGGCTGAGACAAGAGGATTGCTTGAGCCTGGGAAGTCAAGGCCAAGCAAGTGAGCCATGATCGTGCCACTGCACTCACTCAAGCCTGGGTGACAGAGCGAGACCCTGTCTCAAAAAAATAAAAAATAAATAAAAACCCTGTTCAGATTCGAATGGGAATTCTTTGAGTGAACTGGCATTTTTGTGTGGCCTCCCCACCATAAATCATGGTGCATCTTTCCATGTGTCCACATGTTATTTTACATTCTTCAATAAGATTTCATAGTTTTCTTCATACAGTCCTGTGTCTTTCTCACATAATATATACCCAGATAATTTATAATTTTGGCATTATTCAGAATAAAATGGTTTTTATCCACCTTCACTACTGGGTACATAATTACACCTGTACAGAGAAAAACTACTGACTTATGTATACTGTCTTATAAAAAGCCACAACAAATTCTTTTATGAATTCTAATTTTTTAAAAGCACAGTTTCTTGGTTTTTCTAAACATCCAACACCATGGCACCAGTAAAGAAGGGCAATGTTCTCTTCTTTTCCAATGATTGTGTGGTGTAGCTCGGTGGTTAACAGTGTGAAATCTGGAGGCAGACGGTGTAGCTTTGAATCCCAGCTCTGCTGGCTTCCAGTTGCACGACCCTGAACAAGTCAGTATACCTGTCTGTGCCTGCGTCTCCTGACCTGTAACACAGACGGGAAAACCAGCACTACCACTTAAGAGTTGGTGTAAAGTAGCTGGCATGTGGGAAGCATTCAGTAAATCATTATTATTATTGAGATGGAGTCTCGCTCTGTCATGCAGGCTGGAGTGCAGTGGTGCGATCTCAGCTCACTGCAACCTCTGCCTCCCGGGTTCAAGCGATTCTCCTGCCTCAGCCTCCCAAGTAGCTGGGATTACAGGCATGTGCCACCACGCCTGGCTAATTTTTTTGTATTTTTAGTAGAGATGGGATTTCACCATGTTGGCCAGGCTGGTCTCAAACTCCTGACCTCAAGTGATCTGCCCACCTCGGCCTCCCAAAGTGCTGAGATTACAGGTGTGAGCCACTGTGCCTGGCCTATTATTATTTTTTTCTTTTTTCCCCCTTATTTCTTGGGCCTATTATTTTTAAACTGATAATTTTATAGTTTGTGTTTGTATTAGCTAGTACCTCCAAAGAAATGTTGGAAGGTAACAGAAATAGTGGGCATCTCTGCCTGGTTTCTCATTTAATTGAAAGGACTTTATTATTTTGCCATTTAGCAATAGCATGATATTGCTATTAAGTTTTGGTAAAGTTTTGAGTCTTAGTCCATATGATATTTAAGTTGTATCTTTCCTTTCCTGTCGGAAGAAATGTTTCCCATCAGAGGAGAATATGTTTACATAGTCTATGTAAACACAGAATAGCTGCTGAATTATACTAAATGATGTTTCTGCAATCTATTGCTATAATGTATTTCTCCTCTTTTATTCTGTCAATGGAATGAATTATGTAGACATATTTTTATAATACACATCTACCCTTATAGTCCTAGAATAAGTCTTAATTGTTTTATTCACACACTGCTACATGCAGTTTGCTAGTATTTGTGTCTATGTTCATTCAGGAGAATCGTCAATAATTTCTTTATGTCATCTTTTGCTATTAAGCTTGTGTTGGATTCATGATATGAGTTATAGAAATTTCCGTCTTCTTTATGGTCCGGAATAGTTTAAATACACTGGAGCCACCTGTTCATTAAAGGTCAGACAGAGGACACCCATGAAACCCTCTGGACCTCGAGCCTTTTAAAATGAAAGCTCTTTAATCACCTTCCCAGTGTAGCTACTCGGCTGATTACAGTCTTTCCATCTCTTCTTGGGTTGTAGCTGCAGTCAAACTGGTTCCTTTCCCTTGAAGCCTTCCTCATTTCTGTGTGACATACATCATGGGAGATACAAAGGTCAGGAAGATACAATCCCTGCCTTCAGCAAGTCTTCCATGTAGAAAGGGAAATAAGGAAACTTCATGGACACCCACCATATATGAATTCCGGTTTGGTTTTCGTTTAGGTAGTGCCTTCTCTTTCTAAACCAGCCTAAGCTGAGGTGCAATAGTGATTAAACATGCACGCACGTGCACACACAAAGCTCTGGGCATGCCATCCTACTGCCTACAGAACACAGCCTGAAGGCCTTATCTTGGCACTCAGGCCCTCTGTAATTTGGTTTCAAGCTGTGTCTCTATTCTTATCTCCCACTATCTTCTCTCCTGCGTCTTCTTTTCTGGTAACACTGGACTATCTGACATTTCCCTAAACTCCCTTTCTTTCTCTTCCTCCTACCATATACATCATCTTGCTACTCCCTTCTCCAGAAATTCTGAATGTCCTCCAGCCTTCAACTGATGCCCATTCTTCAAGGATCACTAAAACGCCACCTCCTTCCAAAAACCGACCTGGACTCTTCCCAAAGTAACTCTTCCTCCTCCTGCAGAAATGACCACACACGGTATGTGCACGTGGGTACAAACTGCTCATCAAATGATCAAATGAGTGGCTGAGACAGACCAACCGCTCAGCACCCCAAGCCTCAGTATTCTCCTCTGTAACTGGGATGAATAATGGCACCTGCCTCGTGGCACGTGGGGTGGCCCTGACGATCAAATCACTACTCACAGAACGTTCTGCAAATGCATGGAACACGGCAAACACCCTGCCAAATGAGAACATGCGTTTCCACTCTCCTGCTGGGGCGGTAGTGAGCAACAGGTGTGCACTTTGCTTTGATTTTAAATGTATTTCTCTGTCTCTCACCTTGTCACTGGATTTTAAATGCATTTCTCTACCTCTCACCTTGTCATTGAACTCTGCAGGCTGTGGAAGTTCGCTACACACTAACCCCAGTGTTGCACAGCAGAAAGTAACTGTAATGCTACAACCTGGCAAATCCTATAGAGGTTCTTTTGTACACAATGGTCACCCAGGTACTCCGCAAGGCTACCCCCTCCAGGTCTCCAGCTCCATGAGTCACTGCGAGGAGGCAGGCCGCCCATGAGAACCCCCTGGCTCAGCTCATCACAGCGACCTGGTGGCATCTCACGGACAGGCTGCTCAGGAGACTGGCAGGCAGGGGACAGGAAGTCCTGGGCTCCAGGCCAGCAAGGCAAGTGGGATGGCACAGCAGCAAGCTGGCAGCGCCTGCTGTTTACATGGCTTTCCAAAAGTCACATGCACGACTTCAGAGACACAGGCTCCTCAGACTCCAGGTTAAGGCTCTTCTTAAACAATAGGTAGAAATACAACTTCACTGTGGGTGCCTTACTAGATTAGTTTCCAAATGGAGCTAAGAACTTTAATTGGACATGTAGGTTGTTCTATTTTCAACCAACAGAGGAAGTCCTACTTTAAGTCAACCAATAAATATTCTAAATTCCAACTTAAAAATATACTATATGATATGCTACTGACAAAAAAGATCTTAAAACACAAAACTTTGCCCCAAACAGAAATTTAATATAGATATGATTACTTTTTCTTTTTTTTTTTTTTTTTTACAACAAAATGAAACAGCTGTCAATGGTTTCAAGGGTTTTTTGTTTTTTGAGACAGAATCTCGCTCTGTCACCCAGACTAGAGTGCAGTGGCATGATCTCGGCTCACTGCAAGCTCCACCTCCCGGGTTCACGCCATTCTCCTGCCTCAGCCTCCCGAATAGCTGGGACTACAGGCACCCGTCACCACATCCGGCTAATTTTTTGTATTTTTAGTAGAGACGGGGTTTCACCGTGTTAGCCAGGACAGTCTCGATCTCCTGACCTTGTGATCCGCCTGCCTCGGCCTCCCAAAGTGCGGGGATTACAGGCATGAGCCACCGTGCCCGGCCTCAAGGATTTTCTTTAACTTGAGTTTTAGAACTTGAATAAAACCCAAACTATGTGATTTACTCATCATCTTTACTTGCTCTAAAGTCCACAAACTTTGAAATTAAGTAAAACTTTAACTTGAAACTCACAGGAAAATACTATTTACTCTGATATCTTTGCCAATTTAAAAAATACAGATTCTAGTTGTCTTTGATAATTTTACATTGCTGATTCCAATATTATGCTCTTTTAAAATTAAACCCCCTTCTCCAAAATTTAAGAATTCCTATACCAGTATTAGTAATTATCTGCATTTTGTAAGATATATTAACAATATAAATTATGCTAGATAACAGCCTGTTATAAAAGACATCAAAAGCTAAATGTAGGCTTTCTCCATTACGAAATCTTTATAAAGCTTCATATAAGGGATTCTGCTTTGGGTCTTAAGAAACTGGTAACTTTTTGAGTCTTTAAAAAAAAAAAAACACTTTACCAGAATGATTTGTTTACTATCGTAAATCAAACAAGATATAAATGTGTAAGAAGAAGGTTAATAATTTTCCTCTGTCCCCCCTTGAAGGAATGTTGACAGTCTGATAGGCACGGTACTTTTCCACGCCTGTTTAAGACACACACACCTCTAGAAATACGACCAGGTGTTTTCATACTTAAGAAATGGAATCACACTAAGCATATTACTGTGAAATCTGCTTTTTACAAAAAAGAATACTTCAAGCCAGGCACAGTGGCTCACACCTGTAATCCTGGCACTTCGGGAGGCTGAGGCGGACGGATCATCTGAGGTCAGAAGTTTGAGACCAGCCTGGCCAACATGGTGAAACCCCATCTGTACTGAAAATACAAAAATTAGCCAGGCCTGGTGGCAAGTGCCTGTAGCCCCAGCTACTCGGAAGGCTGAGGCAGGAGAATCACTTGAACCCTGGCGGTGGAGGTTGTAGTGAGCCGAGATCACATCACTGCACTCCAGCCTGGGCGACAGAGACTCCGTCTCAAAAAAATAATACATAAATAAATAAAAAATAGAATACTTCATACACATCTCTTCAAGTCAAGACACACAGGTGTTCCTTTTTAGGTCAATGGATTACTAAGAGTTAAATGATTTACTTAAAGTTGACTAAAGAAATACTGCCTGGTTTCCCTGGAGACCTAAGAAATAATTTTAAACGTATTGTGTTGTTTTTAAACATAAAGCACAGCTCAAAAGCCTAGAGGAGAATAAGCAGAAATCTCCTTTTGGGTTCACAGAACAGACTCCTCATTTGAGACGGGACTCCAAGTCCTTTGGTGTTTTAATTACGAAAATCACCATCTATGATCTTAACAAAATATAACGTGTTCCAAAGAACTACGGTCATTCAAGGCGTGAACCCGGGAGGTGGAGCTTGCAGTGAGCCGAGAACGTGCCACTGCACTCCTGCCTGGGCGACAGAGCAAGACTCCGTCTCAAAAAAAAAAAAAAAAAAAAGAACTATGGTCATTCAAGTGGGGCCTGAAAAGCTGCAACAGAAATGTGCTACACAGATCGCTGTGCTGCTCACAAGCAGCCCCTGACTACCCACCCGGGAGCGGGGGGCCTCATCAGATCGGATCCCATGACACCTCTGCTTCCAAATGGGCACCTGAAGCCCACCCTTCAGCTGGCCAGAAACCAGTGCTATGACCTTGTGCAAACAGAGGCTGCTGGCCTAGAGATTCTCTCTTCCTCTCTCAGGAATGTGAACTGGGATGCACCATGAAACCGGGCGGGTGGCACCAGAAGCCTAAAGCTGGTGTGGCAAGGATGAAACACGCGAGGTGTCATACGGTGGATCGGGACTGTTTACTCCCAACTCTGAGGCAGGTACAACTATTCACATTCTTTGAAATGCTGGAAATAATAAATGTATTAAGACATCTTATTCCCTGGTACTGGTTTCAATGAAGCCCAACTCAACCCTTATCCGGACATGGGTAAGAACGAGATCGCTTCTACCTACATGAGCTGGGTTCATTCTGCCACCTCCTGTCCTCCTTAAGTTTCACAAACTCGGCAGCCTCTCTGGACTGTCCCGCCGGTGCTGTGTGGGGCGTGCACCGCTGACGCAGGTACCCACCTGTGCAGGAAGTGCAGCTTGTGCATGGCGGCCAGCCCCGCGGCGACCTCGCACGCCATCCTCTGCAGCAGCATGGTCTGTGAGTCCCCCCGCATGTGCTCCTGCTCGCTGCGCAGATACGCCTTCAGGTCACCCTGCAAAAGTCAGCCCGTGTGAGTTTCCAAACGAGCCACAGGAATAAAGTGAGCGCTTAAATACGTGCCTCGGTGAACACTAACTGTTAAGATTATTTATTAGAAACTTCTTTTGTTCATACTTAAAGAAGTTCCAACCCAATACTGCGAAAGTATAGAACACTATTATGCTTTTAGGAACATTCTAACTAGTTAACATCTTTGTCACATAAACACATGGAACACAAAACAGTTTAAAAAAAGATAGTTTTGCAATGATGCACATTTAAACTAAATGCTGTGTAGAATTAGAGAAACTCCCAGGTTACCTAGGAGATGACACGGAGAGTGTAAGAAATGGTGCCACTCACACTGCCTGTTCTATGGACTCCAGGCGGCCCCTGGGCAGTGAGCGCTTCATCACGAAGGCGCCGTGGTTACTGCCAAAGCTTGGAGGAGCAATGGAGCGGGAGAGAAGGAAAGAAAAATGGGTGGGAAAGGAGAAGTCCAGGTAGTGCAGCAACAACTGTTTCAGGTCTCCCCCAGCTTCCCCAGGACCCTGGGCTATCCTGAGACGGTGAAGAGAAAGAACATTTCAGCCACTCCAGAAAAACTCACCACGTTAACAAGCCTACTCTTCAAAGGGGAGCAACCTGAGCAGGAAAATAAACAAACTTACAGTCAGATGCCCAGCACATGGCCATGACACTGCAGGGCTCCCCAGGCCTCCTCCAAGACTTCCCTGTGTTACGCTGTCTTTATTTCATGATTTTCATTTAGGATACTATGTTTTTGGGAGTTTACCGTGTATCTGTTATGGGGAACACCTTCTGAGGGAATAAAATCTTCCATATTCTCCTTACCATATGATTAAATATTTATTGATATGATTTCATTCCAAATTAAAGTTTCCTCGAATCAGTTAATAAAATTTAGAAAGCAAGCCAATAGCTTTCAGTGTTCTTTAAATCTGAGTCAAGAAAAGACGGCTGGAGGCGGGGAGCGGGAAAAAAAAGAAAAAAAAAAAAGACTCCTGAGGAAGGGCATTTTCCTTGACCAACTAAAGAGTACATGTCTTGTAACTGTTACTGAAGATAGCCAATTTATCAAATACCTCCCAGAATAAAACCTTAAAACACAGTATTCCTTTACAAACATTTACCCACATTTAATACTGAGTACATTCTGAGGTAACTTCTAGGTCCACTCCAAGAATCTAAATTTGTTTCCATTCCCAGTTTCCAAGATCTTTACATGAGTGATAATGTTGATATTAATAGTTGCCACCATTTGTGCTTTGAGCCCTGAGCCAAGCGTTATGTTAGGAGTTTTTGCACTTGTTACTGCAAATACAATATGAGATGTTTACCAGATATGGAACTGAGGCTTAGGGAGGGTAAGAAATTTGCCCAAGGCCACAGAGCTAATAAATGGTAGGGCTGTGCTTCTACTTTTCGGCTTACCAACTAGTCAAGAAAGGTCTATTTAGCAAGTGAATTAAATCAGTATGCAGACAACATCAATGTATTTTATAAGAATGAACATAAAATAACTGAAGGTCAATCCTATCAATCTGCTGGGGTCTCCCAAGCGTCATGTGACTGCTCTGCCAGGGGAGCAGTGGTCTTCCCTCGGTGCCGTGCACCTGGCATTGCTGTCCTTCATACATTTCCTTCCAAACGTGGTGCCTTCTCCTTTGTTTCCAACGAAATTAGAAGCCACTCCAGAGGAGAAAGAGAAAACTTTTTTTTTTTTCTTGTAAAAACATATGCCCCTCCATTCAGATTAGGCTCTGTGGAGCTTGGGAGTTGTAAGGATAACAAATGATTCAGAAGACAATTAAATTCACCCAGAAAAATTCCAGCAAAAAACTCCAGGACTACAGGCAGCTGGGAGTTTCATAAGGTAGCCCATAGAGAAAGTAAACATGAAAAAAGCTTAAGTCTATCTACATTACCAATGAAATGGTAATGAAATTCTTCTGCCTAACCCCTCCGCCACCAATACCCATCTAAGGAAAAACTTACTCTCACACGAAAACATGGTTTTGCTGGGCTGAATCTGGCCAATCCTAAAACCAACAGCAGCTGCTGGCAGGCAGTGAACTGCCACCCCAGCCATGAAGGCAGAGGAAGCGCAGAGCGGGCGTGGCTGCTTCTCAAGGGTATCTAAAGTATATTCACCACACTCACTGTTCTTAAAATGTCTTCTCTCCATAATAGCCCACTTCCCAAATTTCACTCAAAGACAGAATATAATCAACAGAAAGGGATTTTACTTAAGAATAGATAAAATCAGTACATTCCAGGCAAAAATATCTTTAACCCAGGAATAGGGAAGAACATCAAAGATTACTGGAGGCCCCTGGTCATGGTTCTCATGGTTGAGACTTGTCATGGATTGTGTAGGATCCAGGGTTAGTTCTATGTTTCAGAAAGGTCCATAGAGCTCTCCTGGTACCACAGTTTAAAAGAAAAAATCAACATAAAATCTTTAATTAGAGTAAAAATGTTTATGTTAAGCAAGTACTAAAATTTGATTCATTCTATCCAAAACAGACATATTATCTGATTTATTTGTACTTTAATGGTGCTTAGTGAATAGACATGATTATTTTGGTCCATTATTTAAAGAAAAAAGCTCACCAAGAATAGCAATGTATTCTGAATTAAAATAAACATTCCTTTATCCAAGTTTTAAAAATTTCTCAGCTTCCCAAAACCCCCCAAAAAACTCCCGAAGGAAAACTTAGGACACTAGATGGCAGCAGAGCGCTACACCAAGCTCTCCATCAGCAGAGCAAGTGACCTGCAACGCCCTGGTAGAATGAGTCATTCAAACACCTGTAAATAGGTTCCTCGCAAGCCCGCTCCTCAATGCTGACATGAATGGCCAGGGAGGGCTTTATATAGCTTTTCTGCAGGACACTAGGAGCAATTAATTAATTTCAGTACTGTGTAAAAAGTCAACAAGTAAATAGCTTTAGAACTGAAAAATTAAAGTCATTTATATGTTTAATAGGATGATTCTGGGGAAAAACATAATCTTCAATAATTTTATTGAAAGGATGAAAGAATGATATAGACAGCGCAACACCCCCGCTTCTGCTAATGAAATAGAAGACATGCAGACTGGGGCAGCTGACGCCGCCACGCCTCCGCGAAGCCCGGGGCCTCGCTTCCCTCCCAGCAGCTCTCTGCCTGTGTCTATTTTTTCTCAGCACCACTGGTCCCCCCGCCCACTGGCATCCATAACCTTATACATCATCTCCTCTTTGGTTGCCATGGATTCTTCGTCTTGTGCCTTTCTAAGCTCAGTCCTCTCGAGAGTCCATCTCTTCTCTCTGCTCTGGCCCCAAACACCTCCCAGGTAAACCCAGCCCTCCCCTCCCCAGCCCTCCACTTCTTTCTCCTTTCCGTAGTTAAACTCCTCAGAAGCCTGGTCGGTCCTGGCTCCTTGTTCAGGAACCCCTTGCCACCATCAGAAGCACTTGCATCCACCATTCAGTGGCAGCTGCTCTCGCCAGGCCTATCAAGGAGTGACCTGCCCACTTCTCCCCAAGCACAGCTGGTCGGGTCTCATCTCACCAGCATTAATGGAGACCGGCCCGTTCTTTCCTTGCTTAAACATGTTCTTCACCAGCCTTCGGGCACCGCAACCTCCTGCGTTTCTTCTTATCCCACTGGCCGCTCCTTCCTCGGCCCCCCCACTGGCTCTCCCTCCTCTCGTTGATCCGTAAGGACCCTGGAGCTCCGTCCTGGTCCTCAGTCCTGGGGGCGCTCCCCGACCAGGGGTTTCAGCCACCCCATGGCTTGAAAGCCCATGCCTCACGTACAGCTCTCTGGCCCAGCCCCTCATCTCCTGACTCAACTTCCCTCCCTGTATGCCTAAGAGCCCTCTGGCACAAACCTCTGCCAGTCTCAGTAAGTGGCATCGCCGTTTTCCAAGTGCGTCAGACCAAAAGTGAAGATGTCATTTGTGAGTTCTGCCTCTAGGCAGCCACATCCAACCCGTCACCAAGTTCTGGGTCTGTTTTCAAACTACCTCCCATGCCTCCGCTGCTGTGGTATTGGTCCCAGCACCACCCCACCTTGAGGACACACCTGCGCCAGTCTCCCTGCGGCCTCCCTGCATCCATTCGCCTGAGCAGCCAAAGCCAGTCCCTGAAAACATAAATCCAACCGTGATAGCCTGGGTTCCTCCCTGCTGTTTTATTTCCTTGTCTGTCTCTACCACTAGAAAGCAAGCTAGACATGGCTAGGACTCCGTCTAGTTCCCTATTGTGTCTCTAAAACCTAGAACAGTGCTGGGCACACAGCATGTGTTTAATATTTGCTTAATGAATGGGAGAAAAAAGAAAAAACACTTAGGCAGACATTCTAAATGATGCCCTACAGGTTAAAGTTGGGACAACTGTTTTCCCAAAGCCGCCCC
Source organism: Homo sapiens (assembly GCF_000001405.40). Lineage (NCBI taxonomy): Eukaryota > Metazoa > Chordata > Mammalia > Primates > Hominidae > Homo > Homo sapiens. The sequence continues at coordinate 98,167,127 of NC_000007.14, read as the reverse complement.
ACCCTATCATTTCCATTTAATAATCTAATAAGAATGAACTTAGGAGTAAATCTGAAATTTCACATTTTTACTGGGCTTTTAAATTTATTACTTCATTACTCTGGACATTAAAGCTAGCCAAAGACACTTAATTTGGGAAAATAATATTCTTTAAGTAAAATCTGATTCTCTTTGAAAGTTTATCTTTGTATAGTAAATGTTACTTTGAGAACAGAGAGTCTAAATTATTCCAAAATTCTGTTAAAATACAGTCGTGTGTCACTTAACACTGGGGATGCCTTCTGAGAAATGTGTTGTTAGGCAATTTCACCATCGTGCAAACATCACAGAGTATACTTACATGAACCTAGATGGTCAGCCTACTGCACCCTGAGGCTACAGAGGGTGGTTTCTTGCTACAGCCTAGGCTTCAAACCTATAGAGCATGTTACTGCACTGAAAACAGTGTAAGCCACTGTAACACGATGGCAAGTATTTCTGTATGCAGCCTTGACCTCCTGGGCTCAAGAGACCCTTAGACCACACTAAATCTATATAAAAATTTTGTCTTTCTCAATAATATACCTTAGCTTACTGTAACTTTTTTACTTTTTAATTTTTTAAAACTTTTGAGTCTTTTTGTAATAACACTTAGGTTAAAACAAAAACACATTGCACAGTTGTACAAAAATATTTTTCTTTATATCCTTATTCTGTAAATTTTTCTATTAAAAGTGTTTTTCTTTTTAAACTTTTACAGACAACAGTGAGGCCCCCATCAGCCTGCCCAAGCACCATCGGAGGGCGCCAGAGAACCTCTGCTGAAATCACAGCTGCCACTCCGTGTGGCTCCAGCGCTCCAGCTACAGGTGCACACCTTGGTTATAAGCAGCGATGACCTGTCACTGCAGCAACAGGGGAGAAAGAAGACAGCACCTAGGAGCAGTGTGGCCACACACATGGGGAAGCAGTGCTGATGGAGGAAATGCAGGGGAGGGAGAGCAGGCACCAGGGAAGACCGGAAGGGCCTGGCCAGAGGCAGCCGAGGCAGACTCAGCAAGGGCCAAGGCCGTAGTGCCCGGGCTGCAGCCAGGCGTGGGGAGGGCCAAGGCCATTGGCAGGGCCCCAGCACAGGGCCGGGCACTGGAACAGGGCAGACGCAGGGACTGGGAACGTACCCCCGACCCAATCACCCCCACACCTCAACCCATGCGGTTGTCCAGCACAGGCCTCCCCTCTGCTGGCTCTGGTCAGGGACCCCATCCACCTGTGCCCCCAGCTCTCCTCACGCCTGTTCCACCGTGACTCTGTGTCCCCTCTCCTCTACATGAGCTCCTTAGGGGCAACGACACGTCATCCATCTTGGTGTGCCCGGTGCCTGAGGAGAAATTGCTGAACTGAGGTGCCCTGGTGCATGGGGCTTATTAATAACTACATTCATAAAGAAGAGCTGCCCATTAATTAGGCATTTCTGCACCAAAGAGGCCAATTCTAAAATGGAGGCCTCCCGCTGGTAGTGGCATTAAACCACCTGGTATAAAAGTACACAGGGCCGGGTCATTCCAGCACTTTCGGAGGCTGAGGTGGGAAGATCACTTGAGACCAGGAGTTTGAGACCAGCCTGGGCAATATAGTGAGACCCCATTTCTATTTTTAAAAACAATAGAATAAAATTAGAATAAAATCAAGCCACCCGTAAACACACTCACTTTGGCACTGGTAACTCTGCACCCTCAGGCAAGTCCATCACCAACCCTGACACACGCAGCCTGGGTCTGATTCTTCAGCCAGTCCCTTCCCCTCTCTCGGCCTTGGTTTCCTCATCTGTAGACTGAAGCTACTGCTATGGGTCTCACAGCGTTGTCAAGACAACTCACTCGATGGGAACATACATCAAATGCCCAGCACTGGGCCTAGCCCAGAATGCTCAGAGCTTCCTCATCGTACTCCCCGTTGTGGGCAGTGGCCAAGGTTCCTTCCAGGTCTAAGAGCCCATGGGTCTAAGCTCCTCTGATTCTGCCCCCAAGTCACCGCTCTTCATGAGAAACAGAAGAGCCCAAGTCCCACAGAGCAACGCACTACTGTCAAAGGACAGCCAGCGGATGCCCTCCCCTTCTCCACTGCGAACTGCCTTCAGAAACAGTGGACATCCTTCCCCTTCTCCACTGCGAACTGCCTTCAGAAACTGACTCCATGTTTTACTGGCTGAATTTAGTAAAGGAGCTCAGGATACAACATTCAAGAACACAGTATCATCTGCTCCGGGGCCAGGTGATGGAGCTGAAGAAATTGCTGACCAATAAGAAAGACTAGGATGTGGCAAAGGTTAGTCTACATCCTCCTTTTTCTCTCCCGGCTGGCAGCCTGGTCTCCAGCGTGCTTTGTTCTCTGTCCTTACCCCTTCCACTTGAGCCTTCCCAACAGACCCAGCTGGCCTCGCCACCAGGGCACAGCATCCCCTGTCTCCACACTGCCTTTACAAAGCCTTCCCCAGTGATCCTGGTTAGGACTCCCGTACTTCTATACGCACTACCCAAGCTTTTATTTAATAATTAGAATCAATCAATTTTAGTAACTAAAAATGGCCACCACTTACTGAGCATTTTCCTTGTGCTCGGTAATCTCATCCATCATCTTACTTAATGGTCAGGGCAGTTCTAAGGGGAGACAGTATTACTGCCATTTTACAGAAGAGGTTAAGGGATTTTCCAAGGTGATAAACCAGTGAGTGGCAGAATGAACATCCGAGCAGGCAAGTCAGGGGCGGGGCTTATTCACTTCTGTGTTCCTTAAAGCACCAGGCAGCTCCCGGCACTTCGAATTTGCTCAATCCATTTTTGTTGAGTGAGTGATCCTTAATCAAAAGTCTCATTGCCTTGATATTCACGTGAGAGCGGCGTGTACCTGCCATGGCAACAAGTTCTATAAAACACCCTACAGTCATCTCTCGGCTCCTCTCATAAACATTGTCACCGTCAGCATTGCAAATCTGTGGCTGCAGGCCAGCTACAAAATGCACTCAGAGGAGTTTTCATTTACTTTCATAAAAATTCCATGATTAAGTGCCTTTTAAAAACAGGCTGGTTAATTCCATCTTACAAGGAATTAAGTAAGTGCAAAAATATTTTCTCCTTTCTACTTGGGAGATGTTATCATTGGGCATGATGACTGCAGGATGACGACTGAAAAGGCCACTGTTCATTCAATCGCTCTTGACCTGCTAAGACAGGCAGCGATAGCCGGTCCTTCACCGTGGCCACAGCAGCTTTTTACAGAGCCCAGACCGCTGCCCTCTGTGCCCTTTGTGCCCTTTGTATTGCGGCCAGGGGGCAGGTCCTGCCTTGGGTTATGCCCCTCTGATCAGAAAGGCCTGTTTCTGGGCAGGTTTTGGGTCATCCAGGCTGGGAGCTGGGCTCAGTGTCAAAGAGACACTTTGGTGTGTCCCATGGGACAACCCTCGGTCCCTTCAAGTAGATGCCCTCTCTGGCTCCCTGGGCTGGTGCTACCTGACCGTTCTTGCCACACGGTGGGAGCCCGGAGAAGCTGGACTTCAGTGCCAAGAACCCTGTCAGGCCCCTAGTCCTTGCTGCTGGAAAACCTGTTCCTTTTCAAGTTTACGAGAGCCCAGAAGTGATATGTACGAAATTGCCCAAGGAAACAATGTGACCTCCCACTGCTGGACAAGTTGGTGGCACCCTGTGTTTATGACCTTGACTCTGATATATGACTGGCCACGCCAAGTGATAACCAAAGATTTCCAAAGGGCATCCTAGCCTCCGAACATAGGTAGCACCTGACATGGCACCTTAAATTGTGGGAGGTAATTATCCATTTTTTTCTACTGGGGTAAAAAAAAATGCATAAAATACCATTTGGCATTGTAACCACGTCTAACTTTACAATTCCAGAGTTAAGTACATTCTTCTTGCTGCACAACCATTACCACCAGCCCCCTCCAGAACTTGTTCAACTCACAAAACTGAAGCTTTGCATCCATTAAACAACTCCCCATTTCCCAGCCCCAGCCCACCCCTGGCACCCACCTTTCTACTTTCTGTCTCTAGGAATCTGACTACTCTAGGTCCCTCCTGTAAGTAGAATTACCCAGAACTTGTCTTTTTGTGACTGGCTTGTTTCACTTCCCATAATGGCCTTAAGGTTCATTCATGCTGTAGCCTGTGTTGGAATTTCCTTCCTTTTAACAATCCTCCATTGCACAGAGAGAGCAGATTTGGTTTATCCATTCACCCATCGATGGACACCTGGCCACTTCCACCTCCCAGCTACTGTGAATAGTGGTTTCGATAATAACCCATTACTGTGAATAACGTGTGCAAATATCTGCCTGAGGGCCTGCTTTCACTTCTTTTGTATATATCCCCAGAAGTGGAACTAGCTGGATCATATGGTAATTGTATTTTTAATTATTTGAGGAACAATGATGGCTTAAAAAATTTTATTGATCAATGTACCATTAGGTGGGACGCTTAAATTAAACAAGCTATTAGCTCTGCACTGCCAGTGGAAGCTTTTGATGGCGACCAGAGCTCCTCGGGATGTTCAGGAGTGACCGTCCCCGAGTGACTTAGGAGGGTCACATAAAATGTGTTTCATGAAGTCACATCTGCTCATTCTAGAAGGCTGTATGCATAATATTCACCCCAAAGTATAAGAGCCAATCAAATTTAGGTAAGTTAATATGCTTTGAATACTTAGTCTAAGTATTTGGATAACATGTATTTAAGTCTGAGCTCTAAATTTGTTGGGGAAAAAATTATAAGGATGCTGAGTTAAAGAACAGATGTATTTCTTATATTTTCATAAAGATGTCTGTACAATGATAAAGATACAGAAATACTCTAGATCAACACTGGGTCATTTATGGTAACATAAAGGAGTTATTCCACCATGTTTTTGTGTTTCTTTATAAAACTGGTTAAATTACTAGTCCCAAAAAGGACAGCTGCTATAAAAAATACATTAAAATAGCATTAAAACAAAGCCCATCTTCTGAACCCATTCAGAAGAAAACATGAAGCGGAGTGGACAAGGTCTTTGACCATTGTATGAAAAAACTAACATTGTCTACTGGAACTTTCAAGAACGCATGCAGAAGGGCAAAGAAGAACTGGAAAATGCTAAAATATATGAGATAGTTTTCCAAGCCACCTCCATCAGCCGGGAAACGGGCAATTGTCAAATAGATGCTGCCTCCGGCTCTATTTCTGTGATGGTCACTCACAAAGACTATGCCTCAACTGTTATTTATAATTAATATAAGGAGCTTAGGGACCAAAAAAGGCAACATGAAACAGCTCAGAATAGCGGGCCTCTGACGAGCAGACTTGCCTTGTCACCTGAGGGCGCATCTCTGTGTCCTAACTTTTTTTTGTTGATGCTGTGTCAGTGCCAAAATCACCTTCCATGGGTCACACAGAGCTAGACTAAAAGGAAGCTATTTTTATATCACAATAACCTAAGATCATAAATTTTATAACTCTGATCATATCGAGATCATCAAAACCGATTATATAATAATAAGCAATAACACCCTGAGAAATCCCAGCGAGAACTCCTTCCTCTTAGTTCTCATGCCTCTACTAAATAATTGATCCTGTGTCACCTCTCACTGGGCGACCTGGAGGACAACGAGCACACTGAGTCTCGGTATCTCCAGGTGCAGCATGCTGCCTTACTTCAGTTAAGTGCCCAATGAATAAGCATCCTCCACAATGGCAGAGAATATGGGGTGGCCCAGAAAAGTAGGTTTAATTCCAGTTTTCCTTACATGGAGAGAGAGCTCTAGGAGTTTCCAGCTCCTTTGGGGCAGGATTAAAATATTAATTTTAGACTTTGTTAGGTTAAAAAATGTGCATGCTGTAATTTCTAGTGCGACCACACAAAAAATTAAGAAACAAATATCTCAAGTCCAGACTTGTAGATGGGGAAAATTGAAACAAACAAAAAAAATTGAGAATCCCAAAGAAGAACAGAAAAAAAGCAAAAAAGAAAAATTGTAACGGGTACAAAAAAGAATACCAAATAGGTAGATAAAATTACAAATATCTCACTAATTACAAGAAACGTAAATGAACTACATATTCCATTTTAAGTGACCACGATTGCAAGATTTAAAAATTTTTTAACAACAAACTATTTACAAGAGGTGTAAACCAGAGAAGAAAAGGATTGACAGAAATATAATTTGACAGGCAAATTCCAACCAAAAGAAAGTTGGTCTAACTATATTAGTATCAATAAAACCAGACTTTATCTTTATTAATGCTTTTAACCTTAAAGAGAGCCCCTTCATAATGATAGAAGGTTGAAATTGTAGGAAATTATACCAACCTTAAATGTTCATGCCTACATAACAGGGCATCAAAATGTAAAAACAACCAGAATTATAAGGAAAATCTTTAACTAGAGCCTCTCTCAGTAACCAACAGAAAACTGACTCAAACCCCCTCCACACTCCTTCCCCCAAATCAGAAGATATGAGAGATTTAAACAACCTCACAAACTTGACCCAGAGGCCATGAAGAATGCTTTAAGGAACAACATCAGAATACACTTTCTCTTTTTTTCTTTTCCAGCATCTACAGGCACGAAAAAACACTGATCCTAGAGTGAAGATGAATGCAGCCCAGAAGAGAGCCACAGTTGACTCAAAGCCAACACCTAAGATGAGTGAGAACTACTTTGTTGCAATGAGCCACAGATATTTGAGGGTAACTATTACATAATCCAACAAAAGCTAATGTTATCAAGTTTATTAATCAACCACCTCTGCCAATGAGAGAAATACTCGAATCACACTTAGGAATTAAAACAAAAAATCACGATGCTTACTGTTCTTTATTTAAACAGATGAAAATATTATTTGAATTAACTGGGAATTTGTTTTGGGGTACTCCTATTTTTCTATGCACAGCCATGGAAGTTTCAATGTTCTGAAAACTGAGATGATGCAAAGAAATCAATTAAAACCTGACTCATCCAATTAACAGCTCACCACTGTTTTTGGAAGATAACAATTACATGCTAAAAATGGGCTTTTAAAAAAGATGAAATATTCTGCATGCGGGAAAAGATGTTTAGAGGAAATTTCACATAGAAATTACTACTGAAATTATTCATGAAACTGCACAAAGAACAATCTTTCCAACTGTCCAATAAATAATATTATCATGCTAAGAAATAAGGTTTTTAAGAAAATAAATCTAACTCTTTAAACATATAAATGTCACATACGTTTGCTATTTTCAGATGCTGACGGATGAGGAGTACTCTAGGTAAAGCGATTCTTGGGCTCTCTCAGGGGGTTAAAGTGTTTCAAGATGTTTCAAGCCTGGTTCACGCTCTTAGGAGGGCACATCTAGACCCAAGCTCTGGCTCTGGCTGTGCTACACACTTGATCCACACCATGGCCATCACATGGAAAGTATGGACAAATATTGGTACCTAACTCTGGAGTTTGTTATCATTAAGTGTGGTAAGGCAACTAAATAGCTTAGCACAGGGACTGCAGTGTAACAAACCACTATGTAAGTGTCAGTCAACACTATCACCATCACCAAAGGGAATAAAAGTAACTCATCATAAAGTTCTTCAAGTGGGGGACAGACATGAAAGCAACCCCTCATCCAGCATGTCCATCTGTCAAAAACACTTGAATACAACCTCTGGAATACTCGAACTTGAATTCCTTCAAGGAACTTACCAAGTCACAGAACTCAAACACCAGGAGGTAGGGAATCGCTTCTACGCACTGTCCAACACACTGAAGAATATTTGGATGCTGAAGAATGCTGGGAAAAATAAAAGCCATAATATTGTTCATCAGGAAGCATGATAATAACATTATTCAAACAAAAGCATACTAATAAAATTATTCAAATAGTAATCCAAATTTTTTCATAATAATTTATATAATATTTACATAAATGACAGGCTAAAAAGATCACGAAGATTATACTTAAAAGGTGTATACTAAGTTATCTAGCAAGTAATTCAAAGCCAATCAAGTGAATATTTTCACAAATTAAAAAAGAAATCTTAACATAAGAAACTTTAAAAATTTTTTTTCAAGAGACAGGGTCTCGTTCTGTCACCCTGGCTGGAGTGCAGTGGTGCAATCATAGCTCACTGCAGCCTCCAACTCCTGGGCTCAAGTGATCCTGCCACCTCAGCTGGCCAAATAGCTGGCATTACAGGCACGTGCCACCATGCCTGGCCTCAAGAATTTTTATCTTTAGTAATTTAAGTTAGGAGATAATATTTTAAAGCAGCATTTAAAAGAGGGCAGACTATACAGTCATCCCTTAGTACCTGCGGGAGACTGGTTCCATGAATCCCTGAAGATACCAAAATCCAAACCAAAGATGCTTAAGTCTCTTACATAAAATGGTGTCATTATCTACACATAACCTACGCACATCCGCCCATATAAATAGTCTCTAGATTACTTGTAATACCTAATACGATGTAAATGCTATGTAAAAAACTGTTATACTGTATTATTTATATTTTTTTTACTACTGCATTATTTCTTTCCATTTTTTTTTTTAATATTTTCCATCCACCATTGGTTGAATCCATGGACACAGAACCTGTGGATACAGAGGGCCAACTGTATATACAAATTCAGTAAGTATTTCAGCCAGGACAAAAAAGGGAGACCAGATCTGTACAAAAGACAGAAAAACTAATTGGGTGTGGGGACGCGCAACTGTGGTCCCAGCTCCTCGGGAAGCTGAGCCGGGAGTATTGCGTGAGCGCAGGAGGTGGAGGCTGCAGTGAGCCATGACTACACCACTGCACTCCAGCCCGGGGGACAAAACAAGACCCTGCTTCAAAACAACGACAACAACAAAACAAATTCAATATGTATTTCAGTCCAGATATTAAATAACTCAGTTTCTCCTTCAGGCTATCTAGCTTATACATTCTTTTCCATAAATTTCCACAGTATATGCAAACTCCTTTTGGAAAATATTGTGTCCAAAAGAAAATATAGTTAAATAAAAGGTATGCCAAAATAATTTTTTAAAAAACCCTTTATTTTGATACAATTATGAACTCACAGGAGTTGCAAAGACAGCAGAGAGAGGCCTGGTATACCCTTCACCCAGTTTCCCCTGTTGGTTACATCTGACACAATGACGTACAGTGCAACACCCAAACCCGGGAACTGCCACTGTGATAAAGTGTGTGCAGGGCTCCATGCCAGGTCTGCACGTGCACAGATGTGTGTAACCACCACCTCAATGGAGACTCAGAACTATCCCATCACCACAAAGATCTTCCCGCCCCACCCATGTGTACCCCTGGCAACCACTAACCTGTTCTCCATTTCTAGAATGTTCTCATTCTAAGAATATTATATAAATGGAATTGGTATAGTATGTGACCTTTTGAGATTGATTTTTTCACTCAACATAATCCCCCTGAGGTCATCCAAGGTGTTCCATGTGTCAATGGTTCATTTTTTTTTTTTTTTTTTTTTAATGTGGGAGCAGTGCTCCAGGAAATGTGTACTGCTTTGCTGAACCACTCACCTACTGACGGACATGTTAGTTTTTCCAATTGTTAGCAATTACAAATAAAGCTGCTATGAACAATCATGCAAGGGTTTTTGTACGGAAAAAAGTTTTCACTGCTCTGGAATAAATGGCAAGGGATGCAACTGCTGGGCTGTATGATGTGACGGTTAATTTTGTGTGTCACCTTGGCTGGGCCATAGTGCCCAGGTATTTGGTCAAATATTATCCTTATTATGTTTCTGTGAGGGTGTTTTTTGATGAAATTATTGCCTGTCTGTATCTATCTATCTATCTATCTATAATCTACCTACCTACCTACCTACCTACCTACCTACCTACCTACCTACCTACCGAGACAGGGTCTCACTCTGTCATCCAAGCTAGAGTACGGTGGTGTGATCATGGCTCGCTGCAGCCTTGAACACCTGGGCTCAAGTGATCTTCCTGCCTCAGCTTCCTGAGGAGCTGAGACTACAGGTGCGTGATGCCACCATGCCCAACTAATTTTTCTGATTTTTTCTACAGACAGGGTCTCACCACATTGCCCAGGCTGGTCTTGAACTCCTGGGCTCAAGCAATCCTCCAGCCTCAGCTTCTCAAAAGGCTAGGATTATAGACCTGAGGCACCGTACCCAGCGGATGACTATTTAAATCGGTGGACTTGGAGTAAAGCAGATCCTGCAACAATGGTGGGCCTCATCTATCAGTTGAAGATCCTAACAGAACAAAGACTGACCTCCCCCACAGAAGGAAGAACTCTGCCAGCAGACAGCCTTCAGCCTTAAACTACAACATCGACTATTCCCTGGGTCTCCAGCCTCCTGGTCCACCCTGCAGACTCTAGACTTTCCAGCCTCCGTAACTTCATGAGCCAATTCCTTTAAAAACATCTCTCTTTAGATATACATGTACATACACATCCTATTGGTTCTGTTCCTCTGGAGAATGCTAATATATAACTAATGCTAATATATAACTTAACGTATGTTTTGTTTTTTTAAGAAACTGCCAAGCTATTTTCTACAGTGGCTCTATCATTTTACATTTCCACAAGCAATGTATGAGGGATCTAGTTTCTCCACATCCTTGCCAGCATTTGGTATTGTCACTATTTTTTCATTACAGCTTTTTTTTTTTTGGAGACGGAGTCTTGTTCTGTCGCCCAGGCTGGAGTGCAGTGGCGTGATCTCGGCTCACTGCAAGCTCCACCTCCCAGGTTCACGCCATTTTCCTGCCTCAGCCTCCCAAGTAGCTGGGACTACAGGCACCCGACACCACGCCCGACTAATTTTTTGTATTTTTAGTAGAGACGGGGCTTCACCGTGTTAGCCAGGATGGTCTCAATCTCCTGACCTTGTGATCCACCCGCCTCAGCCTTCCAAGTACTGGGATTACAGGCGTGAGCCACTGCGTCCGGCCATTACAGCTTTTCTAATAGGTATGAAGGGATCTTAATTCATTACTTTAGTAGCTCATGACACTGAACGTCTTTTCATGTGCTTATTTGCTATCCATGTTATCTCCTCTTCGGTGAAATGTCTCTTAATGTCTTCTGACAATTTTTGAATTAGGTTTTTTTTTTCTGTTGAGTTTTGAGAGTTTCTTATAAATTCTAGATATGAGTCCTATGTCAGCTACGTGGTTTCCAGCTATTTTCTCCCAGTCTGTGGCTCGTCTTTTCACTGTTACCAAGGTCTATCACAACGCAAATGTTTTTAATTTTGATGATACAATCAGCCTTTTTAAGGAAGTTCAGCCATATTTTTGTTCTTTTCTGATGTTCCAAGACGCCTCCTTTTATCATTTCTTTTCTGTTTAGAAAACTCATTCTTCTAAGGCAGGTTTGCTGGTAATAAATTCTCTTAGTTTTCTGTCATCTGAGAATGTCTTGATATTCCCCTTCATTCCTGAAGGATATTTTCTCTGGAGAAAGAATTTCAGAGTTCTTTTCTTTAGAAAAGTGACAAACGTGCTGATTCCTTCTGGCCTCCAGGTTTCTGATGAGAAATCGGCTGTCCTCCACATTGCTTCCCGCTATAGGTAAAGTGCTGTTTCTGTCTCCCTGCTTTTAGGATTTTTTGTCTTTCATTTTCAGAAGTTTGACCATGTGTCTTGGCATGGATTTCCTTGGGTTGATCCTGTTTAGCATTTTCTCAATTTCTTAAATTTGTAGGCTTTTTCTTTTCCAAATGTAGAAAATTTTAGCCTAACTACTGCTTTGAATCCTTTTTCAGCCCCATCCTCTATCTCCGTTCCTTCTGAGACATCTATGACATGAATAATGCTGGATCTTTTGTTATATTTCCCCATGCCCCTGAGGCTGTAACTGAAATGATGAGTTCCTGTATTTCTTAGTCCTGAGGTTTCCATTTATGTCTTCTTTATGTCTTCTATTTCTCTGCTGAGACTATTTTTTTTGTTTTAAACGTGATGCAATTGCTCACAAAGCATTTTTATGATGAGTGCTTTAAAATTCTTGTCAGGTAATTCTAACATCTCTGTCATCTGTGTTGGAATCTGTTGTCTTTTCTGGTTTAGGCTGAGTTCTCCTGGTTCTTGGAATGCTAAGTGATTTTCAGATGACGCCTGGACATTTTAGGTCTTATGAGACCTTGGAACTTACTTAATCATGTATGTTACAGGCAGAAATCCCACAGTAGTTTTAAACACCTGACCTTCAACAGACCACAGACTAGTCTTACAGAACACATGACAAGGTTTACTTACTAGTAAGGTTCTCCATTTTTCAAAAAAGTATCTTGTTCCTTTGGGTTGGCACTTGCTTTTAACTCCTTCACGATGACTCTTGCTACGCTAGTGCCCGTGTAAATCTCTCCCAAGAGAACCTAAAATCAAAGAACAGTTTTTTGTGTCATTTCCATCAAAATGATAAAGGAGTCTGCTGCATTTACCGGGAAATGGAACACAGGTGAACAAGTTAAGCAATAAGCAGGTGACCTTCTATTCTTTTACTTACCACCTCACCAAAAGCTTGGAAAACTCAAATATTTTTCTTCAGTAAAAGGACCATTTTAAACCATTCACCAGATAGTTACAATATTCACATATTTATGCATATTTCTTTTCTATTTATTTTAAAATGTATTTATACTTATTTGTGTCGATTTATTTAAAAATGTATTCTACTTCAAGGAAATTCACTATGACTTTACAGAAGTGCAATTTATAAGTTCAGTTCCAACATAACTCAAATGTTCCTCAAAAACACTTCCACTAAGTTTTGTTATTTAGTCTGCTATACATATGAGAAAGTAAACTGACGAAAGCTAATTACAATCAATCATTGCCCTGAAACTTAAACACCCATCGCACTCCATCCAATGATACCCGGCCTTGATCTCCTACCAAATCTCCATTCAAAACACCCCACTGAAATCAGCAGAACACGAAATGAGAATCTGCTGCCTCACATGAGAACTAGCTACAAGGGAAATGCTAAATATAAAACAGGACAATGCCAAGGTATTCCAAAGTGCAAGATGAAAATGCGAATAAGGGTTTTTATTGAACTCTAGAGAATGATTTTTAAAAAAAGAGAATGATCAAAATAAAAATACTTCTTTTAAAATAGTTCCTTTTAAAATAGATTAATTTTAATGTCCTGAAAATACAGTAAGAACCAGAACAGAACTCAATGTGTTTATTAGAAATATAAGGACAGAAAAATGGAGAACAAGAAATTCTGATAATTAACTAAATCACCCTCTCTTTTTTTTTTTGAGACAGTCTTGCTCTGTCACCCTGTATGGAGCACAGTGGTGCAAATATGGCTCACTGCAGCCTCGAACTCCTGGGCCCAGGTGATCCTCCTGCCTCAGCCTTCCGTGTAGCTGGGACCACAGGCGTGTGCCATCCCACTCAGCGAATTTTTTTTTAGAGATGGGGTTGTGCTATGTTGCCCAGGCTGGTCTCAAACTCCTCGCCTCAAGTGATCCTTCCCACCTGGGCCTCCCAAAGCACTGGAATTACAGGCGTGAGCTACCGCGTCCAGCCTATTGCTCCTTGAGGAGTAAAACTCTTCAAGAGGGTTGTCTAAATGCACCGTCTCCTCTTTCTCTCTTGAATCCATTCCACGCAAGGATGTACCATCACCATTTCCCCCTGAACAACTTCTTTCAAGGACGCCAAGGAACTTATGCTGCTGAATCCTCATTCTCCCAGGCTTCATCTTACTCCATTTGTAAGCTGCAGCATTACTGCAATTAATCTTCTTGGAACTTTCAGAAGACTCCTGTCTCCTGGGCTTCTCCCTCCTCACTGCTTCTCCCTGACTGCACTGGCCTCTCCCTGCTGCAGAGCCTCCCCCTGGTTTCCACTTTGAAATTCTCCATGACTTCACCTAGTCTCCTAGCTTTGAATACACTCTATAAAACGAGATCACTCGGATTTACATGTCCAGCCGGGACCCTCTCTCCTTCACTCTTGCTCTGCATTTCCAGTTCAGCTACTTGGTGCCCCCACTGAGTTGTCTAACGGCCAACTCACACCTGACATAGCAAAGATGAACTCCCGACTTCCTCCTGCCTCTCCTGCAGTGTCTGTTGCATTTCAGTTGACAGCAACTCCATTCTTCCAGTTCATCAGGCCCTCAGCAGTCAATCTGACTGCCTCTTCCTCCACAGTCCATGTCTTATCCCCTCTAAGTCTACACCCGCATGCTCTCGTCTGAACATCTGTCTTGGGTCCTACCACTTCTTGCCACCTCCACCGCTAGCATCCAGGTTCAAGCTGCCTGGGCCTGCAGGAGCCTTCTAGCCCATCTCCTCCCTGCTTTCACCTTCCCCCTCTATGACTTCCAGAGTGATCCTTTTAAAAAGGTAACTCAATTACATCATGATCTCTCAAGCACCAGAGTATTTCCCCGTTTCATTCCGAGCAAGGCAGTCTCTAGGCACACAATATCCCAGATCACCTGCCTGCCCTCTACCTCTCTGAGCCCACCTCCCACAATTGACTGTTTGCTGTGTGACCCTCCCAACTAGATATCTAAGCCTTGTGAAGACAGGGTTTTGTTTGATCTCTCATACAGGACTCCACACAGGTCAAGGTTTGACCCATCTTCCTCCACATCGTGCCCCTAGCACCAAGAACAATGGCTGCTACGTAACAGGTTTTGCTGAATGGTGCAGAAGAGAACTCAAACAGTTGGGAGGACATGAAAGATACAGACAACGCTGAAGGGAAGGAGAAGCAGCAGCAGATGGCTGACTACTGGGAAGTGCATCCTCCTGTTGTAAGCATCCTGCTTACGATGTAATCCCTACTCCATTAGGAACCTCTTGCAGAGCACGACTGCAGTACTGTGGAAATGGCTGTAGGAGATTACTCCTTCTGAGCCATCTACGATAAAAAAATCAACAAAGCATTGTTACTACAGGCCACTTGACGGGCTATGAGAGAAGACTAGTTGTTCATGGTGGTCTTCATTGTAAGACTGTATTTACAGTTCTAAAGTGGCTTAAGTGCTATAAGGGGAAGGGATTAAAAAAACAATCTAACCTGAGAAGGATACAAAGCTGAAGCTGCTAAGATTCCAGGTCTCTTTTCCCTTCTTACTTTCTTATGTCAACAATTAGAAAAGTCTCAGATACTTTTTTTTTAAAGGCCTTTGTTATGATCGAAATGTCTGTGTCCTTTGTCCTGCCCAAATCCGTAAACTGAAACCTAATGACCAATGCGATGGAGAGGAGGAAGGCCTCTGGGAGGGAAAGGGATTTGCATCCCTCCAAAAGAGGTTCCAGAGAGCTGCCCTGCTCCTTCAACCACGGGAGGACGCAGCAGGAAAGTGCCACCTTCACCTGATCCGGATTCAGCCAGCACCTTGATCTTGGACTTCCCAGCCTCCAGGATTGTGAGAAATAAATTTCTGTTGTTTATAAGCCACCCAGTTTATGATATTTTGTTATAACAGCCTGTATGCCGTAAGACATCCTTTCTGGAAAAGGCTCGACACACAGCAAGGCTGAAGCTCACGCCCCCACGCTGCCACAGGGGGAATGGGGAAACTCAATTAGTAACGCAGGGCCCACAGGGCACGTGGAACTCCACACAACACAATTCTTCATCAGCCCTGCACTGAACACAGTATCATTCAGAGGAAAACAAATGCAAGTGAAGAGCATCTTACCTTTCCAAACCAGCCATTTCCAATTTCCTGTATGTAGTTTAGACTGTGGCGGGCAACTTGAGACTTCAATCCCTCTGTAGAGAAAAAAACATTAAAAATGAAATATAAGTATCTAAATATTAAATATATAACCTATAAAGTATGAACACTAACATAAAGGCTTGTGCAAATAAAGGTAGGAATAAATACATAAAACACCTCTTTTAAACGAATCATGCCAAAACAGTTTTAGGCTTTAAAACTGACAATATTTTTTAATGAGTTTCCTACCAATTCTTTAATACCTTGCGCATTGTTTTTTTTCCGATCCAGCTACTCTCATGTAACCACCAATCACCAGGCCAATGGCCTTTACTTAGTCTTCATTTTCATCTCTCTTGAACAGCTCACCTAGACATATGATTAGCACTCTTAAACTACTCTCCTTAATTTTTAAAAAGTTTTACTGAAGTATAATCAATATACAATAAAGTCCACATATTTAAAATATACACTTTGATACACTTTAATATTTGTAAGCACCTGTGAAACCATTACCTAAATAAAATACGGAACATCTCCATTACCCCCAAGTCTTCTGATACCCTCAGTAATCCCTTCCACCTGCCCCCATCTCTACACAACCATTCACGTGCTGTCTGCACTATAATTTGCATTTTCTAAAATGTTATGCAACCAGAATCATATGGTATGTACTCTTTTTTCGATGGTATGGCTTACATAAATTATTTTAAAATTCAATCAAGATCTGGAGTGTATCTAGAGTTTATTCTTACTTTTGTCACAGAAGAGTTTTCCACTGAATGAATATACCACAGCTTGCTTGCTTATTCACAAGTGGACAGACATTCATGTCATTTACAGGTTGAGGCTATCACAAATCAAGATGCTATAAATACATGCATGCAAATCTTTCTAGGGACAAGTGCTTTCATCTCTCTTGAATAAATATGAAGGAGATCATATGGGAGGTGTCTCTAACTTTTCAAGAAGCTGCCAACTGCTTCCTAAAACATGAGTAGCACACAAGGGTTCCAGTTGCTCCGTCTCTTTGCCATCACTTGGTGTAGTCAGTCTTATTCATCTTAGCCATTCTAAAGGGTATGCAATCTTATTTTAGTTTTCATTTTTCCTTTTTTTTTTTTTTTGAGACAGGGTCTCGCTCTGTCACCCAGGCTGGAGTGCAGTGGCGCGATCTCAGCTCACTGCAACCTACGCCTCCCGGGTTCAAGTGATTCTCCCGCCTCAGCCTCCCGAGTAGCTGGGACTACAGGCACCTGCTACCACGCCCGACTACTTTTTGTATTTTTAGTAGAGACAGGGTTTCACCATATTGACCAGGCTGGTCTCAAACTCCTAACCTTGTGATCCGCCCGCCTCGGCCTCCCAAAGTGCATTTTTATTTTCTTAATGCCTAATGATATCAAGTCCCTTTTCACTTGCCTACCTGCCATCTGTATATCTTCTGAGGTGACATATCTATGCAAATCTTTGCCTCATTTTTATTGGCTGTTTCTTATTATTGAGTTTTGAAAGTTCTTTCTATCTTCTGAAACCAAGTCCTTTAACAAATATGTAATCTGCAAATGTTTTCTCCCAGTCCACGGCTAGACTTTTCATTCTCTTAACACTGTTCTCCAAAACACTTTAAATTTTAATTTTAATTTCCAAAAAGCTTTTAATTTTGAAAAGGTCCAATTTATAAATATTTCCTTTTGTGAATGATGCTTTTAGTGTCCTATCTAATAAATCTTTGTCTAACTAAAGATTATAAAGAGTTTATTCTACAAGTTTTATAATTTTAGGTTCTAAATTTAGGTTTATGATGCATTCTGAGTTAGTTTTTACATATGGTGCAAGGTATGGATCAAAGTTCATTTGTTTGCCAATGAATATCCAGTTGTTCCGGCACCATTTAACTGCACCTCTATCGAATTAACTGACAGCAGTGGAAACGGTGACAGCAGTGGAAATGGTGGAGCAGAGATGTCTCCTCTGGCAGCCGTCCCTTCCAAGAAACACTAAAAGACTTTTTTTTAAACTGCCAGTGTCAACCTTATAAAAACTCTAGAAGATGGTCAAAGGTTTACAGCAACCAAAGTGAGCCAGGAGAAAGTCCACTGAGACAGGGTAGAATATCTTTGTAGCTTTAACTTACCCTGCTTCTCCAATCTCCCTCCCCAGTGCAGCTGCAGTCTTAAAGATGACCTGTGTTCCCAGGTGGGTACCAGGGTCCACGGGGAGCACAGTGGACCTTATTCCCAAGGAACTATGTTTAACTTGACCTAACTGGGGTTGTCCTGAGGAACTGCCACAAGTGGCTTCTCTTTGTTTCACGTAACTCACAATTCTATCAGGATGGAGTGGTCACATATTCCTCGAAAACAACGAAAGGCAAATGAGAACAAGCTACTGCCACCTAGGGCAAAAACAACAGTTGAGGCCAACAGTGCACATGCTGAAAGTTTTGGCAGAAAAGCCGGGGAGTGAGATTTTGGAGGAGAAAGGGGGCTTTGGAAAGCTCCCATGTAGATGGGAACCTAGACAGCCACGTGTATGCTCAGGGCAGGATGCGTACTCAGAAAGGCTGAGGAAGAACACAGGCTTTCAGCTGGAGCTGGTCTTCAGGCCCAACACAAGAAGGAAGTGAAGGCTAAGTCAGGGTTATAAACGGCCTGGCTAGGTGTTGAAGGAGTGCCCCAGCAGAGTCAATCTGCAAAGACCTAGACAATATTTTTTGTTTTCTTTCTTCTACTTCTCTTTTGCACATCACATTATTCAAAACGTCCAGTTTCCAACAAAGAAATTATGAAACATGCAAAGAAACAAAAATTGGCCCATTCACAGGTAAAAATGAACAAACGGAAACTGTCACTGAGAAAACAGACATTGGACTAATTATTAGACAAGACTTTATTTTTTATTTTTATTTATTATTATTATTATTATTTTTTTTTTTTTTTGAGACGGAGTCTCGCTCTGTCACCCAGGCTGGAGTGCAGTGGAGCAATCTTGGCTCACTGCAACCTCTGCCTGCCAGGCTCAAGTGATTCTCCTGCCTCAGCCTCCCGAGTAGCTGGGACTACAGGCAAGCGCCACCATGCCCGGCTAACTTTTTTTGTATTTTTGGTGGAGACAGGGTTTCTCCATGTTGGGCAGGCTGGTCTCGAACTCCTGACCTCAGGTGATCCACCCACCTCAGCCTCTCAAAGTGCTGAGATTACAGGCATAAGCCATCACACCTGGCTTAATTTTTTTTCTTTGAGACAGGGTCTCACTGTATCACTCAGGCTGGAGTGCAACAGTGCAATCCCGCACTGCAACCTCTGCCTCTTGGGTTCAACTGATTCTCCTACCTCAGCCTCCTGAGTAGCTGGGACTACAGGCACAAGCTACCACACCTGGCTAATTTTTGTATTTTTTTGTAGAGATGGGGTTTCCCTAGTTGGCCAGGCTGGTCTCGAACTCCTGACCTTGGCCTCTCAAAGTGCTGGAATTACAGGTGTGAGCCACCACGCCCGGCCTAGAAAAGACTTTACATCAACTGTCATGAATATGTTCAGAGAGCTAAAGGAAATGATGGACAAAGAACCAAAGGAAACCAGGAGAATGAGTTTCTCCCAAATAGAGAAGAATTTCTCTAGAAATTCTAGAAGAAGCTTGACCTGAAAAGCACAGTTAAGTGTTCCAACAACAAATTTGGGCAGACAGAATCAGTGAATTTAAAGATGGATCAAATGAAATTATCTAGTCTGAAAAGCAGAAAGGAAAAAGGATGAAGAAAAAGGAACAGAGCCCAAGGAACTTGTGGGACACTGTCAAATAAACCAAGAGACATATTATCAATTGGAGTCCCAGAAGGAGGTGAGAAAGAAAAGGAAACAGAGGGCATGAATCTACACACTCAAAAAACTCCAAGTAAGATAAACTTGCCCAGGCACAGTGGCTCATGCCTGTAATCCCAACACTTTGGGAGGCTAAGGTGGGAGGACTGCTTGAGCCCAGAAGTTTGAGACCAGTTAATTAGGCAACACAGTGAGATGCTGCCTCTATAAGAAATTAAAAATAAATTAGTCAGGAGTGGTAGCGTGCACCTGTAGTCCCAGCTACTTGGGAGGTTGAGGTGGGAGGATCACTGGAGCCCAGGAAGTCGAGGCTGCAGTGAACCATGATTGCAGCACTGCAATCTAGCCTGGGTGACAAAGTGAGACTTAAAAAAAAAAAAAGTAACATAAACTCAAAGAGATCCATACTGAGACACAAACTGTAGAAAACCGAAGACACAGAATCCCGAATGCAGCAAGAGAAAAGCAATTCATCATGTACAAGGGATCCTCAATAAGATTAACAACCAATTACTCAAAAGAATCCGTGGAGGCTAGAAGGCAGTGGGATGACACAGAGAAAGTGCTGAAAGCAAATACCTGTGAATTCTATATCTGGCCAAACTATCTTTTAAAAATGAAGTAGAAATTAAGACATTCTGAGATAAACAAATGTTTAGGGAGTTTGCTGCCAGTATACCTGCCCTACAACAAAAGCTAATGGGAGTCCTCCAGGCTGAAATAAAAGGACACTAAACAGTAACTCAAAGCCATCTGAAGAAATAAAGATCTCCAGTAAAGGTAACTATGTAGGTAAATACGAAAGCCGTTATTACTGTATTATTGGTGTCTAACGCCTCTTTTTATTTCCTACACAATTTAAAATACGAATGCATTAAAAAAATTATAACTCTGTGTTAATAGGCACAAAATGTATAAAGATGTAATTTGTGACAACAACATAAAGGGATGGGACTGAGCTGTACAGGAGCAGAGTTTGTGTGCTGTTGAAGCTAAGCTGGTATCAATTCAAAAGTGTTATCAATTTGGGATGTTAATTGTAATCATTATAATCACTAAGAAAACATTTAAAAATATAATCCAAAGGGAATGAGAAGGGAATCAAAATGGTACATCAAAAAAAAAATTCCTTGATTACAACCATTACAGATTATTTTGTTCCTTCTCCACTCCCACTGGTTCACTTGACTAGACTAAAATAAAATAAAATAAAATAAAATAAAAAAACTATCAGAATCCCAGTGGCCTGTTTTAGAGAAATAGGAAGGCTGATACTTACATTCAGTTGGAATTGTAAGAAATCCCAAATAGGCAAAAGGATTTTGAAAAATTAAAACAAAGAAGACTCATATATCTTGATTTCAAAACTTACTATAAAACCAAAGCTACAGCAATCAAAATGGTGTGGTACTGGCACAGGGACAGACATACAGATCAAGAGTCTGTATCAAGATGGACATACAGCCGAGAGTCCAGAAATAACCCCAAAAAATATAGTAAACTGATTTTCAAAAAGGGTTCCAGGACAATTCAATAGGAAAACAACAGTCTCTCAAACACTGTTAAGTGAGACAACTGGATATCCACGTATACAAGAATTAAGGTGGATCCTTACCTCACACCATATAAAACAATTAACTCAAAATAGATCAAGGAGCAAGAGCTAAAACTATAAAACTTACAGAAGACAACATAGAGATGAATCTTCCTGACCAGGGATTTGGCAATAGTTTCTTAAATATGACACCAAAAGCACAAGCAACAAAAGTAAAAAACAGATAAACTGGACTTCATCAAAATTAAAACGGAAAAGTTTTATGCGTCAAAGGACACTATTAAGAGAGTGAAAGAGAACATATAGAATTTGAGAAATATTTGTAATTCATGTTATTATGACATGATTATGATTAAGAGAATGGTATTGGGAAAAGAAATACACAAATTAATGACAGAGAATAGAAAGCCTAAAATAGACCTATACACATATGGAGGCAGAGAGAAAAGAAAAGATCAGTGCATGAATGAAGCTGAAAAACCACAGCAATCTATAAGGAAAGCTGAAGTTGGATTTCCTCCTAACACCATCCTCAAAAATCAACTCAAGATGGGTTTTAGATCTAAATGTCAAAGCAAAAGCTTAAAATATTTTTTAAAAAGGTATTATTTTAATCACAGAATAAGAAAGAATTTCTTAAGACCACAAAAAGTTCTAACTCTAAAAAGGGCTTAAATTTCATACTCTAAAAAAAACTGTAAAATTTACTATATTAAAATTAGGAATCCTGTGCATCAAAAATCCTTTTTTGTATGTGTGATTGATTTTTTTTTTTTTTAGTGTACCATTTTGATTCCCTCTTCATTTCCCTTTCTGTAAATTTTTTAGTGGTTACCATGGGGATTACAGTTAGCATCCTAAATTTATAACAATCTAGTTTGAATTGATACCAATTTAGCTTCAAAAGCAATGGCATTTACCATTAGATACCCAACTGGCAGGAAGATAAATTGGTCGACTCCTGCAGAGGGTAAGCTGGCAAGACCCACCAAAATTATAAACACATGTACTCTTTGACCCACTTTAAGAAATGTATTCTACGGATACCAGTACAACAACCACCTGCAAAACAACACAGATACAAGCTTTATTTGTTTTCGCATTAGAAACAAGCCAAATATCCATCAACAGGGGGCTGTTTAAATAAACTGTGCTAAACTATACAATCTACATAGTACGAACCTAGAAGCAAGAATACATACGCTTTAATGATATGGAAAGATCTGCAAGGTATGTTGGTAAGTGAAAAAAAAGCAAGATGCAGAATAATGAATTTACCATGACACCTTTGAGTAAAAAAAAAAAAAAAGGAGGACTATGCATGTGTGTGGGTGGGGACATAATAGATATGTCTGTACTTACCTTCCTCTAAATTTTCCCGTGAACCTCAAACTTCTCTATAAAAAGTCTTTTAAAAAACAAAAAATTAAAAAATTAAAAGTAAATGTGAATGGGAGTGAGGGGAGATACCTGCATCAACAAATTCGAGAAAGGTGTATGAAAAACCAGAACCAACAGTGCAGCTGTTACTTAGGGAAGCCAGCAGTGGAAAATAGGTCACATTTAAATACCACAGGGAGACTTTTCAATATATATATATTTTTTCTTTCTTTTTTTTTTTTTGAGACAGAGTCTCGCTTTGTCCCCTAGCCTGGAGTGCAATGGTGAGATATTGGCTCACTGCAAGCTCCGCCTCCCGGGTTCATGCCATTCTCCTGTCTCAGCCTCCCGACTAGCTGGGAATACAGGCGCCCGTCACCATGCCCAGCTAATTTTTTTTTGTATTTTTAGTAGAGACGGAGTTTCACCGTATTAGCCAGGATGGTCTCAATCTCCTGACGTCATGATCCACCTGCCTCGGCCTCCCGAAGTGCTGGGATTACAGGCATGAACCACCGCTCCCAGCCTAAACATATATATTTTTTGTAATGTTATGGTTTTTGAACCAAGTGAATATATTATCTATGCAAAAAATAAAATACATTTTAAAAATAGAAAAAAAGAAAAAAATGGTAGAACTTGTAGAATTGCTTGTATGTGGTATATCTTTTTCATGTACTATATCACAAATATCTTTCGTAGTCAAATACAGTTCACCTTGATCCTTTTATAGGAACACATAAATCGCCACTGTATTGATTGACTATAATTTAGCAAATTGCATATTGACAGACATTTAATCTGTTTCCATCTTACCCTGCCAAACAACGCTGCAATAAATTCCTTTGTACATGCATATTTGCACACTTGCCCAATTAGTTCCTAAAGATAAATTACTAAAAGTGGAACTGCTCGATCAAGAGTCAACATGTCTCATATTTTGATACATGTTGCCCGACTACCCCTCCAGAAAGAACATCTTCAGCAATTTATAGCTGCACTAATCCTAGTGGATGAGACTGCCTGCTGCTCTCCACATGCTCGCCAATCACTACCTGGTGTCATTTCTTTTCATCTTTACCTATCTGCTCTCAGCTTAAGTCAGCATTTCTTTAATTAATAACGAGGTTACTATGTTTATTGGCCATTTGAGATTCTCCTTTCATGTCCTCAGCTTATTTATTCTAGTAGCGTGTTACTTTTTATCCTGCATTTGTTTGTACTCTTGATATGTAACCGTTTTTAATACTGTTTGTAGTTCACAAATATTTTTTGCGACTCTGTCAATTTGTGTGTGGTGTCTTTTTCTATACAGAATATTTCATTTTTGTAAATCAGATTTGGCAGTATGTTCCTTTATGGATTCTGGATTTGGTGCATGCTTGGAAAGGCCTCTCGTATCCCAAGATGATAAAAATATTCTGAGGGTATTCTACTCAGAGAAATTTAAAATAATTTCTTCCTACGGAGAGGGATATTAGGGTACAGGGCTTCAGTAAAACAGAAAGGGGTGTGTATATAAACAAAATTACAATGGCTGCCCAGGTCACCATAATTTCTCTTCTGCCTGCATCTGACTGTGCTCCCATCCATCCCCAGTAGATCCTGAAGAGAAGCTGTCTGTCTGTCCCCACCTTCCTGACCAGTGATGGCTCTGCATCCTGTGACTTAGGTGAAGACAACCAGAATGTCCCTCCAAAGGGTTTTCTTTCTGGTCCAAGGAGAGAGAGAAAGAAGCTCCTTTCCTCTATGGTTATAAAACTACAAGGGAATGGGTGTGGAGCTGCTGGCAGCCAACCTCCCTACTGAGCAGAGAAGCTGCCTAAGAGATTCAGCAGATATGCAAAGAGAAGAGAAAATCAGAAATGAATTAAAATGCTGATGATGTTCCAGGCCCTGGTTCTAGCTGTCTCCAAGGTCAGCTGAACCCCTGTTCTTCCTACGGTCTGGGTCCATGTGTCAGAAAATTCTCGTTTCCACTTAGGCTGATCTAATTTGGAATTCAGCTACTTGAAATGAATCCACCGGGGATCGACTATGGGCCTGTAAAAGCTCTGAGAAGTCTCTCCAGGTTTTTCTTAAGTATAAAGGAAAGCAAATTATCAAACAAGCAACAATAAAATATTTCCATTTAGAGTAAGTATACTTAAGTTATCCCAAGAATATATTAGACCTCCTTTTAAACTTCATTATTTTGGTTGGAGTAGGGGTATTGTTATTTACAGCAATTAAACACTCCAGGTTGTTTTTTTTAATGCTGCAAAATCTATAAATTTAAATATATTCTTACTTTACAAATATTTAAATGAAATGCACCAACTATGTCACGTTCCATCTGGCTTTTTCTTATAGTCATGCCTGCCTGCAGTGGCATCAGTTCGGGGGTTTATTCTGCCCTAGGCAGAGCCCACAGCGTGTGTCACACCAGAAAAGGTAGTCCTAGCATCTACAGACTTACACAGCCTTCTTGCGGCAATCTCAGAAAACCCTACTTCTTGAACCTACTTCTTTGGTCAAAGCAAAAGCTTAAAATATTTTTTAAAAGGTATTATTTTAATCACAGAATAAGAATTTCTTAAGACCACAAAAAGTTCTAACTCTAAAAAGGGCTTAAATTTCAAACTCTAAAAAAAAAAACTATAGTCACATTCTATTTTTCTAGTCACATTCTATTTTTTCACAAGACATCAACTAACACAGAACCAAACCTCTGTCTGAAGAAGCTTAGAAAAGTCAATCTGATTAACATATCCAAACTTTCCTCTCCTACCCAAATGCAGGGCATCCCAGTGGAAGCCAGCAGAGTCCTACTCAGCAAGGTCAGCCGTGGCCAGAACTAGCAGAGAAACCACCTCCAGAACAGAGCCTGGGAGTTCTGGCCAGGTGTTCAATGTCAATGAATCAAGGAGATTCGTTTTATTCTCATACCAGACCCAGGGTCCAGAAAGCAGAAGACAAAGCTATTGCAGGAATACAATGGGCCTGACCACTAGAATTCAGCTTCACTGGGAGCAGAAGGAAGAGAAATAAACCAAAGAGGAGATGGGCAGTCCAATATTTATGATGGCTAGGCTCCCATTCTCAGATCTCAGAAACAATTCATGAAAACGTGGCATTAGGCTGTATGGTCTTACCTACAGAAGGCTGGAATTGCGAGGGAGCTGGGAGTGAAATATTTGGTACTGAAAGTGTGAAGACCTCTGCTGGGGACTGAACAGAGGGAGTGTCTTCTGCTGGTGGTGTGAAATCTATCTCATCATCAAAATTATCTTCAAATTCCTAAAATGAAAGAGAGCAAGCATTAAAAACCATTGGCTAACATTTAAAATAGGAACATATTTGCACAATGATTTGGAACTTGCTGCCACAATTATTTTTTTCCAGTTTGTACTTAATGTTAAGTAAAAAGCATATGTAATTTTGTTCTCTGACTCCAAACAGCAGAATACATAAGACAGGAAAATAAATTATACATATTTCATGTAAGTTTTTAAACTGTTAGTTTGAAGTTAAATGCAATGGAATTTACACAAAAATAGTTTTCTAGGCTTAAAAATTTACTCTCAAATGACTACAGTTTAAGCAATTCTTTTTTTTTTTTTTTTTGAGACAAGGTTTTGCTCTGTTGCCTGGCTGGAGCACAGTGACTGGAGCACAGTGGCATGATCATGGCTCACTGCAGCCTGGACCTCCAGGAACCAAGTGAGCCGCCTACCTCAGCCTCCCGAGTAGCTGGGACCACAGGCACGCATCACCACGCCCAGGTAATTTTTTGAATTTTTTTTTTTTTTGTAGAGGCAGAGTCTCCCTATGTTGCCCAGGCTGATCTCAAGCAATCCTCCTGTCTTAGGCTCCAAAAGTGTTAGGATTACAGATGTTAGCCACAGCGCCTGGCCAAGCAATTCTTTTAATATTATTACTTTTGTGACATGATTCTTTGCATACTGAATCAAAATAAATCATTTTATTTTAAAGTTGTATATGCATTTCTAATTGAAATGTGATTTCTATCAAAATAAATGTTGAAAGACTCAGAAAAGATATTTTTAAGTGAGTTCTATTTCTCTGAAAAGAGTAACAATGGAAACATTACTAAATTAGCTAAAAAAAATCACCAGGATCTGAACCACAAAGGTCACTAAAAAAACCATGTGACGCATAAGTGTAATTAACATATAAGCACGTCTGGCTTTCTAAAGATGACAACTTTACAACTGAGGATGCAGGCAGGCAAAGTGGCTCATGCCTGTAATCCCAGCACTTTGGGAAGCTGAGGCAGGTGGATCACTTGAGCCCGAGAGCTCTAGGCCAGCCTGGGCAACATGGCAAGACCCTGTTTCTACAAATAATGATTTAAAAAAATTAGTCAGGCATGGTGGCGCAGGACTACTGGAGTAGTCCTGGCTACTCAGGAGGCTGAGGGAGGACTGCTTGAGCCTGGGAGGTCAAGGCTGGGTGATAGAGCGAGACCATCTCAAAGACAGAAAGAAGAAAGAAAAGAAAGAAAAGAAAAGAAAAGAAAAGAAAAGAAAAGAAAGAAAGAAAGAAAGAAAGAAAGAAAGAAAGAAAGAAAGAAAGAAAGAAAGAAAGAAAGAAAGTTGTGGAAACCTTTTACGTGACGTTCGGTGGGAAGCTATCGCAATTCTTCCGTCACCATTCTGGTGAACTGGTATACCTTGATATCCATGTTAATTTACCATAGACACGGCCAATTATCAAGTCATTCATCAAATCATTTGTTCAGATAATTAACATGTATTAGCCCTCCAGGCACCATAACAGAAGCTGGGAACAGATCAGTGAACAAGACTGTTCTCCACTGAACAGTCTATGAACTTTTATTTTCATTTTCTCTACCACCTCTCCTAGCCCCCATCCAATACAAGAAAGAAACTAAAAGTTACAATGGTAGATTTCTCTAACACTTGTGTTTCCATATGCGTGTGAGAAGACATTATTCTCATGTATGTTCTCCAGTGCATTAAAGGACATTATTGCTATTTGTATTGATGGAGTTGGGAGCAAGAAAAATGAGGTACCGTAACTTCAATCTGGGAGGGGATTTTTGAACAGAGGAAATCCTTCAATTTTCTTTTGGACATTCCTAAATAGGGCTCTCTCTGTAAAATGATTTTGTCCATCACTCCTACCTTAAAATAATGCCATTCAAAATTTGGCAGCAGCATGATGTACCACTAGATATACCAACAGATGATTCTAAAGATTCAGACCAGGTAATGTAGTATAAAAATAAGAAAAATGGCCAGGCCCGGTGGCTCACGCCTGTAATCCTAGTACTTTGGGAGGCAGAGGCGGGAGGATCACTTGAGCCCAGTAGTTCAAGATCAGCCTGGGCAACATGGTGAAACCCTGTCTCTACAAAAAATACAAAACTTAGCAGGGAATGATGGCGTGTGCCTGCAGTAACCTTAGCTACTCGGGAGGCTAAGGTGGGAGGATTGCTTGAGCCTGGGAGGTTGAGGCTGTAGTGAAGTGTGATCCAGCCTGGGTGACAGAGAGAGACCCTGTCTGAAAAAAGAAAAGAAGAAAAATTAGATAAGCCTGGGTCACTTTTAAAGTTTTGCTGCTGGCTATCTGGATGAATGTCGGCAAGTCACCTGTGTTACCAGACTGTAGCTTCCTGGTCTGTAAAATGACTTCCACGGACCATCAGCTCTAAAACTGCACAGCTTTAAATCTAGAGAAAGCCAATAAATCACAGATGGAAATACTCTTTACACAGTCACACAGACTCTAGAGCTGGAGAGTCCTCTAAGACACTGCGGCCCCTGCGCCAGCATCTCCGGGGGAAGCTTGGTAACAACACAGATTCCTGGCTCTCAAATGAACTCCCGCATTCAATCCTGAGATTCAAAAAGCTTTGCATGATCTAAGGCAAGAATGAGGCATCATGAAATGTGAGATGGAGACTGGATTTCAGTATCAGCAACACTGATCAGGCTTTATCTTTGTCCTGAAATGGCCAGGTTTCTGTGTAAAGTCCCACAGCAAGACTAACAAGCAAGGGACACAAACTGTCCACCGACAACTGTGCCCCTACTACTAGTGCCGTCAGCAGGCGCCATAGCAGTGTGTGTAGGGGTTCTAAGGCCTAGGGACTGATGTTGTGAGTAAAACCCTACAGGTCTGGGGCAAAATATTCTAAAGGAACTGATCTCCATTAGTGTTTTCCAACCACCCTCCTGTGTTCTCAGCCCTCTGTGTGTATACGGCCAGTGCTGACCCAAGAAAACAGCACATCTGTGTGTCTCCTCAGCGCTACTAGAAGGCTTGGGGTAAAGACAGCACACAAAAACAGCCATGAGGTTCTAAAGACCAGGGCCCCATGTCCAGGGAAAACAAGGCTTTAGCCAGAAGACGACCTTTTTTTTCCCTCAATTTGAACCACTGGACCTCCAGGCTCCTGGGCCAGCCCTGCGCGGTCAACAGGGAGTGACATTAAGGACCATTTTCTCTGCACGCCACATTCCTTCCTTCTCCCCCCCATGTATTCCTTTATAACAAGTATTTACATAGGCCGAATGCACTCCAGCAGGCATGCAGTAAGTTCTAGAGGCCTTCCTGGCTGGTTCACTGGTCCATTCCACCGTCTGCTGCTATAACCAGATCTTCTCTATTACCCTCCCTGGCCAGGACTTTACAATCTGCAGCCTCCTCCTCCCTGTTAGGGAACTTGAGGTTTCAATGATCTTCCTCTTTCACAAAACACACTGGGGGATCCCTCTGCCTCAGTAATCTCAGTGACCACAAATTCACCAGTCTACAGAAGTTTCGGGGTGGAGGGGAACAATCATCTTGCTCTTCCTCATAGCCCTTACGGACAACAGTGAATTCAATCACCACGCTTCACTCCTCACTCAGCAAGAACCTCAACTCACCACAGGCAAGTGGTTATTGTCAATGACAGAGGCGGAGCAAACTACAGCTGATGCACCAAATCCAAACCTCCTATTTGTGTAAATAAAGTTTTATTGGCACAAAGCCATGACCATTTGGTAACAGTGTCTATCCTGGCAGAGTTGAGCTGCTGTTTTAGAGACTGTATGGCCCACAATATTTACTATTCACTAAGGTAGAAAATATTTACTATTTGGCCATTAGGGGAAGAAAAAAAATCTGCTGATCCTGTTCCCAAAGGACTGTGCTATCCAGTTATTCTATTGAAAAACATATTGGAAGACCATTTTAAATGTTCCTACCCTCTGTGCTCACCTTAAAGTCTATTTCTGGGTCCTTACAGCAGGATACACAGTTTGCAATTAACACTATTAATATTATTAAACTGCACACACACAGGATCACAAAAGATGAGGAAACTTCTGCAGCAGGTGGCGCCTCCCCTGGAAAGAGAGATAAATAATATTAAAAACATGTACATTCCAAAATCAACTTTAATTAGTGAATCAATATATTTTCCTCTACATACAAATGGGTGTAAGGGTTAATAAAATAATGCTCGAGAAAAAGCTGATGATCCATCCAGGATAAGAAGCTGCTGTTTCTTTGAAATAATTTAGATTTACAGAGGAGTTACAGAGACAATACAGAGAGTTCATATACAGCCTTCACCCAGCTTCCACTAATGCTAACATCGTACATTACCACAGTATGCTGATCAAAACTAGGACAGTAACACTGGTAACAAGGCTATGAAGTGAACTTCAGGCTTTATTCGGATTTTACTGTTTTCTCCACTTTAGTCCTTTTTTCTTTTCAGACTCAATCCAAACTACCAACGTTGCATTTAATCACCACATGCCCCTCAGCTCCTCCAGTCTCTGACAGCTTCTCGTCTTTCCTCGCATTTCATAACTCTTGACACTTTTGAAGAGTGCTGGTCAGTTATTTTGTGGAATGTCTCTCAATCTGGGCCACCCAATGTCTTCTCAGGATTAGACCAAGGTTGTGGCTACCTGGGAAGGAGTTAGAGAATTCCAGTGGGGTGAACTGTCCTGCTTGCACAGCAGGGCGCATGACCTATGCCTGGTGAGGTGACTTTGATCCCATGGGCCAGGTGGCTCCCACCAGGCGTCACCAACCCACTGCAGGCCTACCTTTCCCTTCTCATACTCTATTCCTCGAAAGCAATGCTGGCCCACAGGGAACGGACGTAAGCTGTACTTCCTGGAGGGAGGAGTAGTAGAGTCTGTAGACACAGGTTAAAAACCCTCCAGTAATTAGTAATATCAGGGGAAGAAACTTTGAGGCTATGCAACTGCCTGTTTCTCCTTCAGGTCTTGCACACCAGTTTTCTGCATCTGTCAGGGCATCTTGCCTACAGCAATTACTACTGTGATGTTTGGAAGGTGATTTTCTATTTCCCTCATTTCTTCTACATTTGTTATTTGGAATTCTGTAAGGAAGATTGGTCCCCTCTCCTCCCCTTATTTATTTTATTCAGTCATGTATATACTTATGGACTCACGGATATTTATTCTCCGGGCTGTAATCCAAAGTCATCATCACTTATTTTGTGGCTCCAACGATTCCAGCCTTGTCACTGGGAGCTCTACCAAGGTGACTACTGGATCTTTTTGGCATGCCCCATCCTTCCCTTTTTCTCCAACTCTTCCTTACTTCCGGGCACGACAGGAAGCTCCAGGCTCCTCATATTTTCCCTACTCTGCTTGAGAACCAGCCATTGCTCCAAGGAGCTCTGGTCATGATAAGCAGGGAGGGAGGCGGCCTGCAGACTACAGCCTGAGGCCTGCTGTTGCGTGGGGGGCCTCCCCTGACTCTCCAGCAAAGAATGATTTCTACATCTTTAAGGGGCTGTTTAAAAAAAAAAAAGAATATGCCAAGGATACTGCCTGTGAGCCACAATGCCTAAAATATTTTACCGCCTGGCCTTTTCCCATCCCTATCTAGAGCATAAAGATTTTTACATCTTATTTTTAGCAAGTTCTTCATTATCCGGAAAACATATTATTCAACTAGGATAGTTGTGAACCTTTTCTTTGTTAGAGCAAACTATTAAAGTCTCAGCTACTGGAGTTTTACTGAGAAATAAACTTTTCCTTAAAATCCTCATCTATGGCAGGCACAGTGAGCATGCCTGTAATCCCAGCACTTTGGGAGGCCAAGGTGGGAGGATCGCTTGAGCCCAGGAGTTTGAGACCAACCTGGGCAACAAAATGAGACTCCATATCTACAAAAAATAGCAATAAAAATAAAAGTTAGCTGGGCGTGGTGACACGTGCCTGAAGTCCCAGCCACTCAGGAGCCTGAGTGGGAGGATGGCTTCAGCCCAGGAGGAGGAGGCTGCAGTGAGCTGTGAGCACATCACTGCACTCCGGTCTGGGTGACAGAGCAAGACCCTGTCTCAAAAAATAAAAATAAAAAATAAAAATAAATCCTCATCTATGGCTAATTAAGTGTTCAAATGCACCAAAAGGAAGGCAGAGAGATAAATTAATGAGGTTATTTTTTTCTTAAATGAAGCTAGGGTACTTGAAGAGAGGAAAAACTAACCCAAACTCCTAGGTGAGCAAAACACATTCTTGAATCTAAAATAAGCTTCAGTGAAGATCAGGGAAGTCTAAAATGAACTGCAAACAGAACTAAGTTCTTTTTCAATAACAAAAGGTCCCTTTGTGAAAGCAATGCTGAAACACCATTGTTACATGCGGGCTCAGTCTGTGCTTAAGAATAATACAGTTAACCAAGGGGTGTTGAGAATCTCCGAGTTCTAAATCAACAAAGTCTAAAACAGAGGAAAGCCCATACATTTAACACAGGAGGTAACTCGGTGCTTCCTCTTGAAACCAATCTGGAGGAAGTCAACTTTCAATGAGAACAAGAACTCCCTAACCACAGACACACTTGTGTCCATTTGGAAAACCTAAACTAAGTGAGGAGCTTGAGGCACTGAGAGCCAATTCTTATGAAGACCAAGAAGGATGATTTTCTTCTCTTCCTCCTTGCAGTGAGCTGTTCACTCATCCAGACAAGAAGCCTGTGCTTCCCCACTGGAATTTCTTCTTCTTTTTTTTTTTTTTCTATTGAGAGATGGGAGTCTCACTATGTTGTCCAGGCTGGTCTTGAACTCCTGTGCTCAAGTGCGCCACCCACTTCAGCCTCCCAAAGCGCTGGGATTACAGGCATGAGCCACTGCGCCAGACTGCTGGAATTATTTCTGAAGAACTGTGCTTCACTCCCGATGCACATAATAAAAATTAAATTTGACTCCTGAGGAAAGCAAAGCGCTTTCACGTACACTGTTTTTTATTGATTGTTTTTAAAGACGCATTTGGATTGTAAGGGAGAATAAAAAGAAAAAATAACACACAGTTTGTCCACTGCATCTCTGAATTTCAGGTGCATCTCACACTTCAAGTTAGCTTAACTGGCAGCATTTCTTCTTTTTAATGGTACAAAACTAAGGGTGTGACTTATCATCAACCTCATCTGACATTTGATAAAATACAGCATTATTTCATTTGGCTGTCACAATACCTCTGAGGTAATACGACCAGCTCCACGTCACAGATGAAGAAACTGATATGCCCATGAACCCAGGTGGGACAGTGGCAGGCCAGACTGAGTTTAGGTGTGCTGGGTGCAAGCTCCCTCGCTTTCCTTGAAACCCCACTGCTCTGCCTCTATGTGGTTAACCTTTAACACTTAAAAACAGCCCACTGTCCTTTGAACCCAAGTCTGTCATTAATTAGGGTAGTTTATACTTCCTCAAACTCCACATAGCTGATCTTGACTTACTTTTTCCTCTCTTGCACCCAGAGTTTTTGTTTTGTTTTTTTAAGCATCACAAACTACTTATTTATTACAGAACTGGATAAGGACTGTATGAATGCCAGCCTAATTATCTGATTCATGAAAGTGTCCTCTGTGAGTCACTAGATAGGTATGAAGAGTATAACCAGGTTAAGACCAATGAACTATGCCACGCTTTGCCCTAGCTCTCTGCTACACTTACTTCTGCTAGGGTCTGCAGGGCACCTACTCTCCCTTAGATTTCCTCAGTGTGAACCACACTTACTCAACCTCAGTATCTAACAGTCCCATTAAAACTACTGCCTCAGAAATTGACTAGGTAGCTTCAAGTAGACATTTTTAGTTACCCCTTTTTAAAACTTTAAAGTATTTTTCTTTTGATGAATCCAAAAGCACTGTGCTATAAAAAAAAACTCTATTTAGCAATGAAAAAAAAAAACTTCCATAAAATGAGGAAATCAAACATAGGCTGGAAGGTGAGATGGGTTTGCAGAAACCACAGAGAGGAAGTAAATTCTAGACTTGAGGAACCACAAATAAAATCCCTATACCGCCGTGGTCAAACTAGAAACCAGTCCCTGACACAGTTCCTGACTGCAGCTGTTAGAACCTGATAAAGAAAGGCAGCTTTAACATGCAGCCTACAGCACTGAGAAGGGCATACGTCGAGCCAGTCATCTACCAAACAACATCAAGAACAGGCATCACCATACATTTAGGCAGCTTTTCCCATCACAAATTGAGAGCAAGCACCACATGAGGTCTGGCGGAATACGTATGCTTTCCCCAAGACACTGATTAAAAAACACCCGGCATGTCTACAGCACATTCTGTGAGTTTTCATTTAATAGTTTTCAAAGCATTTTAATAGCTACCTAGAACTTGATTCAATAAGCAGAAAACTTGAGAAACTCTAAGAGGTAGGTACATATTATCTGTTTTAGAGACAGGTAATTTGGAGAATGCAATTTCTCAGTAATGACTCAAGGTAAGCCAGGAATACCACCTATTAATTCAACCATTATAACTCCAGCCCAATTATCTGATTCACGATCTCTAGAACCTCAGATGAAACTGGACCCATATGTAATTAACTAAAGAGTTGTCTGTGAAGCCATTTTGGGATTCAATTAAAAAAAAAATTAAAGGCCACAGATAAAAAGAAATGATGATCAATATTTAGATCCATTAGGGATTACAAAATGCTGGATATCCTAATGTTGTCATTCCTTGTTCAGTCACTAGTGGATATGCTTTTATAAAGAGAAATTTCCTCACATTTACTATTTGGTTACCCAGTGGTTCAAGTCATAAGGAAAAGGCAGACTAGATACTTCAATCTTTCTCTTTGCCAGTTTTTAAAAAATGAGTTGGTGGTTGGGTGCGGTGGCTCACGCCTGTAATCTCAGCACTTTGGGAGGCCAAGGTCGGGGGACCGCAAGGTCAGGAGATTGAGACCATCCTGACCAACATGGTGAAATCCCGTCTCTACTAAAATACAAAAAATTAGCCAGGCGTGGTGCCGCGCGCCTGTGGTCCCAGCTACTCGGGAGGCTGAGGCAGGGGAATTGCTTGAACCCAGGAGGCAGAGGTTGCAGTGAGCCAAAATTGCGCCACTGCACTCCAGCCTGGGCGACAGAGTGAGACTCCGTCTCAAAAAAAAAAAAGTTGGTTCACTAGCATCCTCTGGCAGTGACCAGTTCAGAGAGCTGCTGTCACTGTTTTGTGGTATCATCATGAGCTAATGGATTTAAAGCACCCACAGGCTTCCATCCGTTGTGGTTGTTCTGATTGACACTCCCATTGTCCTGTCTTTGGCAAGCAGGGCCTCTAAAGCGGTTTGCTCCCAAGCCCTCCCACAGGGTCCCGGCAGGCCTGGGTGGAGTTCTTGTTCCCTGGGTTGTTCCAGGCTCATCTTTTATAGTTTCTGTTTCAAACCTCCTATCAATCATTTCCCCAAAGAGCCCTGGTTTCTTTTAAAGTGAACTGCTAATGTAAAGACCTCGGTTCAGGAAGTAGAGCTGCTTATTCACTGCTGGTGTCACAACTACCTTAGAAAACAATGTATCACAGTTTTGTAACATTGAACTTTGGTACCCCTGTGGTCTAAGCAGCTGCTCTCTTCGGGTAATAGGGATCAGGAAACTGTGGCCACTGGGTGAAATCCTGCCCACAGTTTTTGTTTTGGTATGGCCTGAAAGCTAAGAATAATTAAGAATTCACGTTTTTAAATCGTATTTTTAATCCAAAATAACATTTTATGACACATGAAATTTATATCAATAGCTGATAACACAGAAAGACAGACATTATCTCCTGACAGAAAAACACATCACCACCTATGCAACAGTACTGCCCAAAACAAGCAAACAAAAACAATATCAAACCTGAATCTAATCAACCACCTAGATCCAAATGTCAATGTATAGGAAACATTATGAATAGCGAGACATGTGAAATACCACCACAAGAATGTAATCAGCAAAACACAGGCTGTGAAAAACACTTGGGGAGAAAAGCCTAGGAAAATGTAAAAAAGAAAGAGATGAAGAGAGGGAGAGTGGCAAACATTAAAAGACTTAAACGACCTACCCACCAATTCCAACATATGGATGTTATTTGAATCATGATTCAACCTATTTTAAAAACTATGACATTTCAGGCTATTGGAAATCTGAACACTAACTGACCATATTAAGAAAATGTAATTCATTTCTCCTTGGAGTGATAATGGTCATGTGCTTGTTTTTAAATGTAGTCCTTATCTTTTGGAGATAGTGACCTACTTAATGATGTCTGGAATTTGCTTCCAAACAGCACGAGGGCGTGGAGAAAGTGGACGGGGGCAGCATGAAGAAAGATGGGCTGCAGCTAATTCAGGCTGGGTGGAAGCTGTGTGGGAATTCATTACAGTATCTATGTCTTGCATGCTTGAAGCTTTCATTTATTAAATGAATTTAAAAGTTTAAATGGAAGAAAGCAGATATCATAATTTATAATCCATATTCTTGCCTACTCTTGATATGGCCATTAACGTGCTAGGGCTGTCATAATCAAGTATCACAAACTGGGTGACTCAAATAACCAAAATTTATTCTCTAGTTTTGGAAGCTCCAAGTCCAAGATCAAGGTGGCAGCAGGATGGGCTCCTTCTGAGGGCTGTGGTGGCAGGGTTTGTTCTAGGCCTCTCCTTGCTTCTGGCAGCTGGCTGCCTTTTCCCTAAGTCTCTTCCCATCATCTCCCCTCTACGTGTGTCTGTGTCCAAATTTCCTCTTCCTATATATAAGGACAGCAGTCACACTGGATTAGGCCCACCCTCATGACCGCATTTTCACTTGATCATCCCCGTAAAGACCCTCTCTCCAAATAAGGTCCCATTCTGAGGCACTGGGGTTAGGGTTTCCACGTATGAATTTAGGGGGAACACCATCCAACCCATCTCTAGGACAGATGCTTAAATGAAAACAAGGAAAAACAAAGAAGAGCCAAAGACCAGTAGGTGCACATATAACAGCAGCTACCTGCAAGGACAGAAACAGAGTGGCTGGGGGACAGAGTGTGCTATATCCTTTCCTATTTGTTGGTATAGCACAAAGGTGCTATATCCTTTCCTATTTGATGAATTTTGTACCCCCAGCTTCTCGCCATCTTTAACCTAATGGCAAAATTCCTTCATAAGGCTTCAGCATCCAACGTTGCCTGGCTACTTCTGACCTCCCAGCCCCGACTCCATCACTCCCCGCCAGCTCTCTACTATGAGCTATGATGACCCTCTCTCCATCCTTCCAGATGGATCTTCTGCCAATTCATTCTCATATCTTCCACCACCCAGAGACGCTAACATGACATGCTCCCCTGCCCCCACCATTCATTCATCCCTGCCCATCAGAGCTCAACTCAGAAACCATCCTTGAGGCCCGCGGTTGGAGTCCCTGCCTGTGCACCCCCAATTACCGTGCATCGGCCCATGGAATCTGTCACTCCATGTTGCAAATGCCCATATGCCTTCCCCACTAGGCTGCAAGCTGAATGGGGTCACGGGCCAGGCTTGTATAATCCACCAATGACTCCCCAGAGCCTAGCCCAGCGCCTAGCATTCAGGTAGAAGTCGGGGTAAGAAAAAGGGAAAAAAGTTAGAGAGCGATGAAGGGGCATGAGCAAGCGAGGGAAAATAAGCAAGCAAGGGAACGAAACAGGAAAAACAACAACAACAGAAAGAAACCATAACCAACCTACCGGATCACAGAATAAACTTACGAGCTAGGCACAGTGGCTCACGCCTGTAATCCCAGTGCTTTGGGAGGCTGAGGTAGGAGGATCACTTGAGCCCAGGAGTTCAAGACCAGCATGGGCAACATAGTGAGACATCATCTCTACAAAAAGTGTGAAAAATCAGCCAGGTACGGTGACACACACCTGTAGTCCCAGCTACTTGGGAGGCTCACCTGAGCACAGGAGGTCAAGGCTGAAGTAAGCTACGATCACACCACTGCACTCCAGCCTGGACAACAAAGTAAGACCCTATCACAAAACAAAACAAAACAAAACAAAACAAAACAAAACAAAACTGAATAAACTTATGGGCCAGGTACGGCGGCTCATGCCTGTAATCCCAGTGCTTGAGCTCAGGAGTTCAAAACCAGCCTGGGTCTCTACAAAAAAATACAAAAACTTAGCCGGGCGTGGTGGCATGAGCCTGTAGTCCCAGCTACTCGAGAGGCTGAGGTGGGAGGATGGCTTGAGCCCAGGATGTTAAGGCTGCAGTGGTGTGCGATCGTGCCACTGCACTACAGCCTGGGTGACAGCCTGGGTGACACAGTGAGACTGTCTCAAAAATAATAATAATAAACTTACGTTTTCAGGGTCAAACAAATAAGATTATAAGAGAAGCATCCTTCAACAATTTTACACTCTTACTCGGGACATTTTCCCACTGTTGACATACACTGTATTGGAGTGGTGAGATGCTTACTCCCCAGGGCCCCAAGAACTCCCACAAACATGTACCCATTTTGCTTCAGCTGCCTAACTAAGGTGTTTTATTAAGAAATACATTATCTCAAAAAGTGGATTTCCTCCAATTTATGTTCTCCCTCAAAAACAGGTGTTTACCCACACGCACCATGTTCTCGCACAGCCTCATCTTACTGGAGGCCATCAGTGCATTCTACTCAGTGCAGGCAAAGCGAGAATCCAAAGGCAGCCTCTTCCCCAGGGAGCCCCTGGAGCACAGGACTCAGAAGAAAGCCCCACACACGGGCAGAGCCACAGCCCTCGGACCTCTATGCCAACGTGTGTTTAGGAACAAAACAGGAATCTTAATTGGTGCCATCTAAGATGTGATTTAAATTTGTTTTAGTCTGAACACTGCGCGTATCAGTTTGCTAGGGCTGCTAAAACAAAATACTACAGGCTGGGGGTTTCAACAGCAGAACTTGACTTTCTCACAGTCCTAGAGGACTAGGTGTCGGCAGGGCTGGTTTCTCCTGAGGCCTCTCTCCTTGGCCTGTGGACAGCAGCCTTCTCCCTGCATTCTCAAAGGGGCTTTCTTCCGTGTGCATCCCTGGTGTCTCTGTGTGTGTCTAAAGTTCCCCATTTTACAAGGACAACAGTGAGAATGGACTACGGCCCGCCCTCAGGACTCACCTGTTTAAAAGGCCTATCTCCAAATACAGTTATAGTTTGAGGTACATGGAGGGGTAAAACTCAGCCCCTAGCACTGTGTCAATTTACTAATCTTTTCACCTTTTTAATTATTTATTTACTTATTTATTTATTTAGAGATGGAGTCTTGCTCTGTCTCCCAGGCTGGAGCACAGTGGCGCGATCTTGGCTCACTGCAACCTCCACCTCCCGGGTTCAAGCGATTCTCCTGCCTCAGCCTCCCAAGTAGCTGGTATTATAGGCACCTGCTACCGCACCCAGCTAATTTTTGTATTTTTTAGTAGAGACGGGGTTTCGCCATCTTGGCCAGGCTAATCTCAAACTCCTGATCTTAGGTGATCCACCCACCTTGGCCTCCCAAAGTGCTGGGATTACAGGCATGAGCCACCATGCCCAGCCTTAATTTTTTATTTTTAAGTGTACAAATAGGTGTATATATTTATGGCGTATGTGTGACGCTCTGATACAGGCATACAAAGTGTAATAACCACATCAGGGTATTTGGGGTGTCCGTCACCTCAGGCATCGATCATTTCTTTGTGTTAGCAACACTCCAATTCCACTCCTTTAGTTATTTTAACATATACTTGGTCCATGCATTAATTGAAGAAAGCCAATCCCACTGGCAGGGGTCCATCCTTGACAGCACAGACACAGGCATGAGGGCATCCTGCCTTCTAACTGGAAAAGCAAGTGTAAAGCAAGGGCCAGGTCCTTACACATCTCGCCTGTTTTCTGTTTTGCCCAGACCCTCTTGCCTCAGGGAATTTGCATAGGAGAATTCTGTGCCTACTTGAAAATTAACAATGGTGGCTACTTAGACAAAGGTTAGACAAAGAAAACTCATAGAACTGAGGGAAGCTAAGGGCCAGCAACCTTCCAAATGGGCCCAACATAAAGCCCATCTCTAAAACACATCGTTTGGGCCTTTTTCTCCTAGCACGTTAGGACCACTAAGCCTGTCTTCCTCTTCTAACACCCTGACAAGTAGCACTGCAGCCCAGAGACTTAATAAAATGAATCATCATCACACTACTTGGGGAAAAAAATCTGAACAATTATTGCAGATCACACATTTTTATTTAACGCCTCAAACTTACAAACCCATCTATCATCAAGGTTTCCTGTACACAGAATTTTAAGTCACAAAGTGTTTTCTTTGCCATAATATAACAATATATCTATTTATAAGAACATTAAATAACCTAGAATCTCCCTCAGGTATTCTAATATAGGAAAGGAAAAGGGAAATGAAGCGTGGCAGTAAATATACTCAGTCACACACAACAGTAAAGAGTGCACTGATGATCTCGTTCATGAATCAGAGATACCACAAAGACCCTAAGCCAGAATCTCAACAGCCTAGAGAAACAGATCGCTCTGTGTGCTAATCACAGACAGGGAAGAGTTCCTCTGTTCAAAAGTGATTTTCAAGGTCAGCCAGCCCAACTGCTCCCTCACACTTGCAGAAAGGTTATATAATTTGAGTGCTAATTAAATACCTGTGAATGAGATCATTTTATACGAAGCTGCTGGTTTCTCTCAGACTATTCCACTAAAATTTGTTATCAAAGTGCCATTTCATTCCCATTTTAAAACACTAACTAGGATGGAGACTACTACAGAAAAGCTCATCTAAGGCAGCACGGTGTGGCCAAAAGAATGTCGGGCTTGAATGACTTCTGCCAGATGACTGGGCCCCCACACCCCAAGAAATGAAAGGCTGGATATTCCGGAACTGGAACCTTGGTTAAGTTGCTGGCAGAGCTGAGCTATGGCGTCATCCACGGCACTTCCATGTCTTTAACAGCTTTGAATGGTGGTTCCACACTCCGGAAGCCGATGCAGGAACGGGAAGCATCTAGTCCCAGAAGGAGAGACTCAGAGCCAGATTCCCAGGGCTCAACCCCACAACCATCCCTGCAGTGGACCACCAACGTCTAGGGGAAGGATATTCTGTTTTGTCACACAACTTCCCATGTACGTCTGCAGAGATGTGCAGGCGAGTCAATGGCAGTACTAGATTCACAACACTTCGTCAATCCAACTTCTGCACAATACAGCTGAAAGATGGGAGAAGTGGCCTAAATGTCTGCTCCTTACTTCCCATGTAGGACAGACCCTAAATAACCTAGAAAAACATGTCTACTTTTTCTTTCAAATCTCCTACAATCCCTCGATGGAGTCTATGTTCTCAGAGCCCTGCTGGCTTCCTAAAGCCTAACTTAAGTTCTTGCAAATATAACTGAAATGCAATCTTAGGCAATGTGTCCTTCCAAGTTCTCTCTTCAGAGAGGAAGTACCCGGTGCTACTATTGAATATTGAAGCAGGCCTGGCGGTGAGAGACGGCTGGGCCCGGGTATGGGGAGAGAGAATTCATTATGCTCTTCTCTCTACTTCTGCATATGTTCAAAATCCTCTACAATGAAGTTTTGATTTTTAAGTACCATCTTCGAAACTAAGTCAGAAACTGGTTACAACAGTGACCTTGACAAGGTTCTACAGCACACAAAGGCAAGATCATCTAGGGTTTCCTATTTGATAATGCTTCAACTGTTGTCTTTATGTCATACAGAAAAATAAGCCCAAAGACAATTCAATATCTAATTAGGTGCTTCCAGATACTCAGGTATCCAGCCCAAGATAAAATACCCCCAAATAGTTAAGAGGGTTATGGGACAGGGGTGTCACCTACTGAAATGGCTGCGCAGTCACCCTACTGTGAAGTTCACCAGGCAGAAAGACCCACCAACACATTCATTCATTCAACAAACATTTACTAAGCATCTTATAAGACAGGTGCTGCTATAGGTTCTGAGAATAAAGAAGTGAAAAAAACAAAGTCCCTGCACACAGGGCAGACAATAAGCAACTAAGTAAATATATGATACGTCAGATGGCAAGAAGCAATATGGAAAAATAAAACAAAGGACTGGGGAGATTTTTTTTTTTTTTTGAGACGGAGTCTCGCTCTGTCACCCAGGCTGGAGTGCAGCGGCGTGATCTTGGCTCACTGCAAGCTCTGCCTCCCAGGTTCATGCCATTCTCCTGCCTCAGCCTCCTGAGTAGCTGGGACTACAGGCGCCCGCCACCACACCCAGCTAATTTTTTGTATATTTAGTAGAGATGGGGTTTCACCATGTTAGCCAGGATGGTCTCGATCTCCTGACCTCGTGATCCGCCCGCCTCGGCCTCCCAAAGTGCTGGGATTACAGGCGTGAGCCATGCGCCTAGCCTGGACTGGGGAGACTGTTATTTTTTATGGAATGACCAGGGAACACATTTCTGATATTACAACTAAATCATGCAAGAAATGACAGTGATTTGATACCAGGAGGGTTATAAAAATAGTCAATATTTACATGTTGCTTACAATGTTCCAGGCAGTATTCTAAACTCTTCCAATTCCATAACAACTCTTTGAGGTAGGTAGTATCATTAGCCCCATTTTATGTTATTATTATTTTTTTTTTAGAGACACAGTCTTGCTCTGTCACCTCGGCTGGAATCAGTGGTATAATCATAGCTCACTGCAGCTTTGAACTCCTGGGCTCAAGCAATCCTCCCACCTCAGCCTCCCGAGTAGCTGGGACTACAGGTGTGCACCACCATGCCCAGATAATTTTTTAATTTTTTGTAGAGACAGGGTCTTACTACATTGCCCAGGCTGGTCTCTGTCTCTTGGCCTCAAGTGATCCTCCCACTTTGGCCTCCCAAAGTGCTGAGATGACAGGCATGGGCCACCACCCTTGGCTAATTTTTTAAAATTTATTGCAGAGATGGAGTCTCACCATGTTGCCCGGGCTTGTCTTGAACTCCTGGCCTCAAATGATTCTCCCCACCTTGGCCTCCCAAAGTGCTGGGAAACAGTCATGAGCCACTGTGCCTGATGAGCCCCATTTTAAAATGAAGAAACGGAGCACTGAAGAGGCAAAGTAACTTCTCCAAGGTCAGACAGTACATGGTGAGGCTCAGAGTGCAAGCTCTTCCCACTCCATGACAGAGCAGGGGACGAAAGCAGGTGGAGCCAGGACTTGCTGGCAGATGTGAGGTGAAGCTGGAGGGAAAAGGGGACATGGAGCACACCTCCAATCCATTTATTAACTCCCTGCTCTGAAAGAGGAACAGACTTTCAAGTATC
Source organism: Homo sapiens (assembly GCF_000001405.40). Taxonomy (NCBI): domain Eukaryota; kingdom Metazoa; phylum Chordata; class Mammalia; order Primates; family Hominidae; genus Homo; species Homo sapiens. The sequence goes on along the minus strand of NC_000007.14, from coordinate 98,124,117 downwards.
ACCTGACATTTGAAAAACCTCTTAGGTAAAAGACAGTGCCCAACCCAAACAGATATAAAGGAACCTGAGGGAAACAGACAATGCAGGGGCTAAAAAATAATAAAAAACAACAACTATATTCTCAGAAATAACAAGAGACAGTATACTCATGAGAGGAAAGAGGCTATTTAAAAAGTGGGAGAGGAGGCCTCCTGGAAATCAAATGAAATTGAAAAAAATACTTGCACATAGCAGTAGAACACAGACAAAAAGATCAACAGAAGTAAAGTAGAAGCTCATTCCAAAACATCCAACAATCTGCTGATAGAAGCTTTAGATGGAAAGAACAAAGAGAAGGAAGAGAATTCTTCCCAAAAAGTGTGTGCATATATACACATACATGTGTATGTCTGTGTGTGTGTGTGTGTGTGTGTATATATGAAAATTGGCCAGAACTAAAGCACACAACTTTCAAGGTTCAAAGGGCCCATTGTGCATCCATGTTGATGAATGAAATGGATGAAACGAGACTCATACCAAGGCACAGCTTTACAACTGTTCAGATCTAGACACATAGGAAGTCTTAAAAGCTTCAGACCTCTCAAGAGGCTGGACAGCGGCCACAGAGACACCACTGCAAGACTGGCATAGGACACAAGGGTTCCAGGACACAACAGCCAAACACACGGAGAGGAGATTTAAGCTGCTGACAAGGCACCTGGGACGGATTAATGATGTGTTCATAAAAAACTAACCAAAGAACTGTAATCATCACAAACACTATAGGGTCAGTTGTAAACAATGTCTGTAGCCATAAAAATGTAAATAATGAATGCTGATTTAATGGAAAAGTTTAAGTGACTGTGTTGAGAAAAAGGGTGAATGCACGTATGTGTGTGAATATATAAATCCTTGTCATGCATAGTAGAAACTCAGTATCTGATTAAAGCAACAAACAGTGCTACAAGCACATTAGCCCACAATGTGGCTAAAAGAGCTGCAGGGCGTTGCCACTGGGAGCCAGCAGCAGGGATGGGGAGGAACGGGACAGGACAGGGATTCACTATTTTTATGATAAACCCTGAAAAACTATTTAATTTTTTAAAACTATTTACATGCATCATTTGCAAATATAATTTACAAAATAGATCAAGGGGGAAGGAAAAAAAAAAGAGAACCAAGGAGATAAGAAACAACATTTAAGGGAGGGGACAAAGAAACAGAGCTGATAGGAAACAGGAAAAAGGATGTTTCGGAGGCAACAGGGAGGCATACTACCATGGAAGGCAGAGGAGAAAAGCATGTTTAAAAGTGTTATGCAGGCCAGGCACAGTGGCTCAGCCTGTAAGCCCAGCACTTTGGGAAGGGACACCCCAGCCTAGGGGACAGAGTGAGATCCAGTTATATATATACACACACACACACACACACACACACACACACACACACACACACACACACCATGTAGAGTTATTCACTGAACTGTTATTTATTATATAAGCTGACAGCAAGGGTCCAGGAGCAGGAGACAAAGAGGACATAAGTGAGGGATGCTGCAGCTGCCAGGAAAGGGTGGGATGAGAGGCATGGGTCACAATGCCTTGTTTTAAAGAGCTGAGAGAAAGAAGAGGAGAAAAATGACATTTGTTGACTGTTCCACACGCTTTTTAAAATACCTGTCCGTGACTCTTGAAAGGATATACAAAATATCCGCCAATGAGCATTATTCTTGGGACCTACAGCAGTTGCGGATTCCTAAAACCATCCAGGGTTGGAGGAGGGTGAGAACTGGGAAACTGCCTATGGGGTACTATGCTGATTGCCTGGGTGACAAAATTATCTATACACCAAATCCCCACGACATGCAATTTACCCACGTGACAAACCTGCACATGCACCCCCCGAAACAAAAACGAAAGTTGGAAAGGAAAAAAAAAGGAGTCCAGACCTCCACAAAAGCATATAAATCAATGGTGGTGTTTAAAGTATCTTTCATGTTTACAAATGAATGCTTACAAGTTTATGATTACACTTCTTAAAAGTCAGAAACATTTTTATTACCTTTAATTAAATGGTATAATGTCATCTCATAGGTAGAAACTAAATAGTTGTTTTTACAATTTTTTTTTTAACCCGAGACACGGTCTCGACAGTCCGGCTCTGTCGCCCAGGCTGGAGTGCAGAGGTGCGAACACAGCCTAGACCTCTCAGGCTCAAGTGATCCTCCCACCTCAGCCTCTTGAGTAGCTGTAACCACAGGTGCACACCACCACACCCAGCTAATTTTTTTAAAAAATTTTTGTAGCGTCGAGGTCTTGCCATGTTGCCCAGGCTGGTCTCGAACTCCTGGCCTCAAGCGATCCAGCCGCCTCAGCCTCCCAAAGTGCTGGGATTACAGCCCTGAGCCACCATGCCCGGCACAAATTTAAAAACAATATGAATGTGATTTTTTTCAGCCTAATTATGGAAGCTAGCACTTTGGTTTCCTAATTTTCTTTTTTTTTTTTGAGATGGAGTCTGGCTCTGTGCCAGGCTGGAATGCAGTGGCGCAATCTCGGCTCACTGCAACCTCCACCCTCCTGGGTTCAAGCGATTCCTCTGCCTCAGCCTCCCGAGTTGCTGGGACTAAAGGTGCACACCACCATGCCAGGCTAATTTTTTTTTTTTGTATTTTAGTAGAAACAAGGTTTCACCATGTTGGCCAGGATGGTCTTGATCTCCTAACCTCATGATCCACCTGCCTTGGCCTCCCAAAGTGCTGGGATTACAGGAGTGAGCCACCACGCCAGGCTTGGTTTCCTAATTTTCAATATGGCATTTTCTTTAGTACTTCAAGAGGCAATCTTATGATTCGTAGTTTAACATTTCACCCCAGTACTTTCAGAGAATATACAGAAATCAATATCCAGAGAAGTGGCTGGAGTTGGGTCTCCGTGTGTGCATGCGCATCGCACTACAGAGGTTCTTTAAAGCACAATGCGGTTCACCAGGGTGAACGGGTGGCCTGGACCTTAGGACCCTCACTCTTGAATCGGACCTGCCCCTAACTGGCGGTGTGAGACTGACTGCATCTGTAAAACTGGCATTTCAACTCTAAAATTCTACAGACTAGGATTTACGGTCCCAACATTTTCTAAGTCTACCGGGTGCCTATACGGTTAATGTTGGTGATCAGCTCTTTATTAAAGTGAATTTTCTTTTCAATACAGAAAACTAAGTTAGATGACAGATTCCCGAATTGTACTGCTGTGGCAGGCCTCTGGGAGAGTGTTCCCAGGGGGCTATTTTGGTAAGTTGGTTATTTTTCAGTGCCTTACCAGCAATCAGTGTCAGGGTGTTGCATTTTAATAACAGTCTGAGGTAAGAGTCAAGTGGGGCTCTGCTCAGTAACTGACAGGCTGGATCCGGGGAAGCAACCGCTGCTGCCTAGATAGGGAACCCTTCTACAGGGGCAAATTGCCAGGAAAGAATGGGGACAGGATATTTTTTCCTCTTGAAAGGGGCACAAGTTTAATTTATTGAGGGTTCTGAGAAGAATCTGCGATGAGAAAAATACTTTAAACTTAAATTTAGTGGCTAATCTGAGAGGCCACCAATAGATCACAACACTTTAGTTTTGCAGTAAAAAGCTGCAACTACAAAATTTTATAATTACTAGTTGGTTAAAACAGATATTTTAAATGTGCAAAATGATTGCAAACTTCTCCTCCTTTATCTTCTAAGTCCAAGATGTCTTGGGGATTTACTTCCTATAATTAAAGGTTGCAATTATACCATGTCAAACTCAAGTCCCTTCCTCAGTCTAGCAAAAACAGGGAAAACAAAGTTTGGGGATGGACTGAGAATATGAGCCTGAAGGGGGAAAAAAAAATAAGCCTTTTAAAATTATAGTGGTTTCACTTTTAAATAAGAGCAGCTCCTCTCTCAAAAACCGCTATCATAGATGTAACTAAATTCTTTTCTCCCACCCAAGGCATACATGTTGTCAAAAAATAGTCTGTACTAATACAAGAGCCTATGGTGTTCTTCATCAAACCCGACTGATGATTATACAATCATTATAATGTAGCAGCTTCAGAGACAGTTTACTTTTTTTAGCTCATCATAAGAAAATTTTGTACAGATCAATCATCCACAGCAAATATATCAAAATATAACAACAAACAGCTTTTAAAAAAAAGTACCTATCAAAAAATATGAAATAGGCTACAAATCCTAGGCTACACCTAAATGAGTTAGCTTAGAAAAATAAACTTTTTAAAAGCAAGATGCTAACAACATATTATCCTAGCAAAACAAAACACCCTGCAAGTTACCGTATAGATTACGAATCAGGGGTTCTCACGTTACAGCACACCCATTTATCACCAAGGGAATTAAGAATGTCACGGTTTTATACCTGCTCTCAAAATTTCCCTACGAGTCACCTGCCACCCTGACTCTAGCTGCAGTGAGCTGAGGCCTGGTGGTCCAGGACTGGCACCAAGATTCTCAGCTCACGGTACCAGCATCTGATTGTCGGACTACCTGCTGTTTTCCCTGATATTTATACATGATATTCGTAAAATGTAAAGAAGCTATTATTCATACAGACATCTAGAGAAGGAGTGAAGTTTTTAAAAAAATAAAAAAATACTTATTTCAAGCTTTAGCTGTGTTCTGCCCCGGAGTGCTTGAATTCCTTTGTGGTGATGGCATATGTACTCACAGGGAGATATTTACACGTGGTGCTCAGGATGAGTGAGCTCTTCAGATTTCAGGTGTTGGCATTCATTTTAAAATCTCAAGTTTTTAATCAAATGGAATGTTTTCCTCCTTTCCTTGATTCTCACTAGTTACACAAGTCAACAGATTTCCAGTAAATAACTGGTATTATTTTGTACGTAGTAGAAGATGAAATATGTGTGTTGTGGCAGTGAGGGGATGAGGGGAGAAATAACCAGAAAACTATTATAAATGCAGGATTCCAGCCCAGCCTTCAGCATTTTGATTCAGCTGGTTAGTTTGGGACCCAGAAATCTGCATTTCTTTTTTTTTTTTTTTTTTTGAGATGGATTCTCACTCTGTCACCCAGGCGGGAGTGCAGTGGCACTATCTTGGTTCACTGCAACCTCCGCCTCCCAGGTTCAAGCGATTATCTTGCCTCAGCCTCCTGAGTAGCTGGGACTACAGGCACCCGCCACCACACCTGGCTAATTTTTTGTATTTTTAGTAGAGACGCGGTTTCACCATGTTAGCCAGGACGGTCTCGATCTCCTGACCTCATGATCTGCCTGCCTCGGTTTCCCAAAGTGTTGGGATTACAGGCATGAGCCACTGCGCCCGGCCAAAATCTGCATTTCTACAAATACCTAGGTGATCTGCACGCAAGCCATCCTGTTTTATAAAAACACACTTACTTCTTCCTGAAGCATTTTCAGCTGCACTGATCCGTCACTGAGATTTACATCAATACAACAAAGGCTAGGGCAGAGGGAAGGGTAAAGGTGAAACAAGATGAATCATGAATGAAAATACTGTGGATGCTGGGTGACGGGAACACGAGGGTCCACTATACCACTTCACTCTATTTTTCTGTATGTTTGAAATTTTCTATAATAAAAAGAAAAAAAAAGCAAAGCAAAGCTCAGTAAACAGATCAAAGCAAGTCTACAGCCCCATGCTCTTCAAGAGACTCGCCAGTAGAAATTTCATCTGAACTTTTACCAATTCAAGGAGTTGCCTATAAACCTTTTCAGCAATTCCAACACTGAAAGACCCCCCAAAATAATCCTCTCTAACTAAATTCTTAAGCCAAAGAGGTTTCGTTCATATTCTCAGAGATTAAGCTGCTCTTGGAGGAGGTAAATCGAATCTATTTTTCATATATTTATTACTCTAAAAAGAAAAATAAGATTCTGCCAATATCATTATAATGCAGTTAGTACCACAAACATGGTATTTAGAATGTTTATGGTGGTATTTAATAGTTTAAGTGACAGGGAGAAAACATGGACAGAGTCCTTCCAGCTCATCTGTCTCTAAGAGGTCCCAAAGTTGCTCTCTCCTCCCCTCCCCACAACCCCAAAGATTAGGTACAGGAAGCAGAGGATCAAAAATCTATTAAAAATGCCCAGAAGCAATGAGCAAACCCAGCACCCAGATCTTGTTTTTTTTGTTTGTTTGGTTTTTTTTGAGACAATCTCACTCTGTCACCCAGGCTGGAGTGCAGTGGTCCGATCTCGGCTCATTGCAACTTCCATCTCCTGGGTTCAAGTGATTCTCCTGCCTCAACCTCCCGAGTAGCTGGGATTACAGGCGCACACCACCACACCTGGCTAATTTTTGTATTGTTAGTAGAGACGAGGTTTTACCACGTTGGTCAGGCTAGTCTTGAACTCCTGACCTCAAGTGATCCGCCCACCTCGGCCTCCCAAAGTGCTGGGATTACAGGCATGAGCCACTGCGCCTGGCCCAGATCTTGGTTTCTCATATCACTCTCCAATCAGAGGAACCAGAGCTCCTTGAAGAAAAGGCTGATTCTAGGACTGGGGCAGGGAATATACAAGATGAACCTGTAGCTTCTTGAAATGCCAGAAAATAAGGAAATGCTTAAAAAAAAAATGAGGATATGTCAGCGGGGCACCCAGGAGCTAACTGAAAGAGCTCTCGATGGCCAAAGCTGGTACAATGTAAGAACAAATAAACAACACTGTGGAATCAACTCGAAGTATAAAATAAATATCCATGCATCCACACTGACATAAGTAAATGCTTGAATAAAGAAATAAACAGAGGATCGCATGGGCCCGGGAGTTCAAGGCTGCAGTGAGTCATGACTGTGCTACTGCACTCCAGTTTGGACTACAGAGCAAGACCTGTCAAGGAAAGGGAAGGGGAAGAGGAAGAAAAAAAGAAAAGAAGAGAATACGCGAGTCTCTTCAACAGAACTCCAAAGAATGTCTACAGACACTTCCTTGCAAAGAGGTGGAGCACAGCTTGCCACTCATTAAGTGTTGACCCTGCACTCGTACACCATGGGGAGGGGAGGACAGAGTAACTTTACAGGGTGAAAGCTGACAAACACTACTCAGCCAGGTGATCAAGTGACAAGTCATGCTGTGTGATGTTGTGTGCACACACCCTTGATGTGATGTGATGAGAATGGCACTTTAACTCTGTGGTCTTCCTCCCAGAAACCCACACCCCCAGTCTAATCGTGAGAAAAACATCAGACAAATCCCAGTTGAGGGACATTCTACAAAATATCTGACCAGTCAGTACTCCTCAAAGCTGTCCAGGTCACTCTAAACAAGGAATGGACTGGGGGAGCCCAAGGGGCATAACTACTAAATGTAATGTGGTTTCCTGGAAGAGAAAAAAAGACACTAGAGAAATATTAAAGAAACTGAACAAGCTGTGGACTTATTTAATAGCAATATATTAATACTTGTTCCTTAGTTGTGACAAATGTACTACATTAATATAGGATGTTAACAACAGGGACTGGGTAAAAGATACACAGGAACACTCTGTACTATCTTTGCAATGTTTCTGTAAATCTAAAATTGTTGTGAAAGAAAAAGGTTTTAATAAAAAAAAAACTATAAATGGCCTCATCCCAGGTGAAGGTCTGTGGCTGCATGGGAAGTCAAGTCCGCAAGAGAATGAGAGGCTTCAGCTCATACCCTCTCCTTCACACACACACACGCGGACACAAACACACACACACACGCACAAACACACGCACATGCACACACACACACACAGACACACACTGAGGTACTGGTTTGGAGAACTTAGTTCTCTAGTATCATCTTCATCATCCTCAGTTACAAATGCTGACAGAGCATCTACAACCTGTGACATACCATCCAAACACCAATCCCAAAAATGTGCTATCCCAAGGATATAAGACACGGTCCTTGCAAACTAGGTAAAGAGACAGGACTTAAACAATGATGTAGGCCGGACACTGTGGCTCACACCTATAATCCCAACACCGTGGGAGGCCGAAGCCAGAGGACTGCTTGAGGCCAGGAGTTTGAGACCAGCCTGGGCAACATGGCAACTTTACTTTTGTAGACCATCTCTACAAAAAGTAAAAATTGGCCAAGCATGGTTACATGCGCCTATAGTCCCAGCTACTCAGGAGCTGACATGGGAGGACTGCTTGAGCCTAGGAGTTCAGGGATGCAGTAAACCATGACAGTTCACTGCACTCCAGCCTGGGCAACAGAGCAAGACTTTGTCTCTTAAACAAACAAACAAAAAACCAATGATATGAAGATATAAAGTGGTATTTGGTATTTATTAAGTGCAAGTAGTAGACTGGTATGATGAAACCAAACCTTTCTTTTTTTGCTTTTTTTGAGATGGAGTCTTGCTCTGTCACTAGGCCTGGGCACAGTGGTGCGATCTCAGCTCACTGCAACCTCCGCCTCCCGGGTTCAACCTCAGCCTCCTGAGTAGCTGGGACTATAAGTGCCCGCCACCACACTCAGCTGACTTTTTAGTAGAGACGGGGTTTCACCATGTTGGCCAGGATGGTCTCAATCTCTTGACCTCGTGACCCGCCCGCCTCGGCCTCCCAAAGTGCTGAGATTACAGGTGTGAGCCACAGCACCCGGCCCAAAACCAAACCTTTCTTGATTTCAGCCAGCAGTAATTTCTCTCTCCTCTCTCCCGCCCTCCCTTCCTTCTTTTCTTTTTTTCTTCTCTTTCTTTCTTCTTTCTTTTTCTCTTTCTTTGAGTCTCGCTCTGTCGCCCAGGCTGGTGTGCAATGGCATGATCTCGGCTCACTGCAACCTCTGCCTCCTGGGTTCAAGCGACTCTCCTGCCTCAGCCTCCTGAGTAGCTGAGACTTTAGGAGTGTGCCACCATACCCAGCTAATTTTTGTGTTTTTTAGTATAGACGGGGTTTCTCCGTGTTGTCCAGGCTGGTCTTGAACTCCTGACCTCACGTGATCCACCCACCTCGACCTCCCACCGTGCTGGGATTACAGGCATGAGCCACTGTACCCAGGCAGTACATTTTATGTTCTTTCCGTCCCATGTCATTTATAAATCAAAAAATGTGTTAGTGTACCACACATTCTATACCTTAAAACATCACATAAGTTGACCTTTTAAGAGGATGAAATGAGAATAAACATCAGTTCCAATGTTTTCGTCTGGCACCCCATGAAACATCTTGCTCCACAGGTATACACTCTCAAGTTCACCAAGGGAAGGAATCTCTAAGGGCTGGGCCAGGATCAATAACTCAGTAGGGAAGGTGGGTCCGCAAAGAGGTTTTAAAAAAAATAAAAAGATGGCAGCACTTACAGAAGCAGGAAAAGAGGCAATTGCAAACAGGGAGAATATATGGAGAGCCAGAAGATGGGAATTTGCATGGAATATTTTGCAAGCGATAGGCAGATCAAGTTAGCTCTGAAAAAAGTGCTGTGGAGGGTGGAGGCAGGAACAACAACAGATGCGCTGCAGCAGACACCCCGATGCGACCGTCTCCCTTCACCAGATGCAGGGAGACAGGGGCTACTTTAGCCATAGCACAAGGTCCTGCACACCTAATTTGACCTGATGGTAACTCAAGCCTTTTAAAATATTAAAACTACCCAGGTGCAGTGGCTCATGCCTGTAATCCCAGCACTTTGGGAGGCTGAGGTGGGAGGATCACTTGAGTCCAGGAGTTTGAGACCAGCCTGGGCAATATAGTGAGATCCCATCTCTATAGAAAAAATATGTTTTACATCAGTCAGGCATGGTGGTATCCACCTGTAGTCCCAGCTATTCAGGAGGCTGAGGTGGGAGGATCGTTTTAGCCCAAGAAGTAGAGACTGCAGTGAATATGACTGCACCACTGCATTCCAGCCTGAGTGACAGAACAAGACCCTGTCTCAAAAAAAAAAAAAAAAAACTTTAAAAAAACACATATAATAAAATGCAAAACCTACCTACCAAATTGTCAAAAATTAAACAGAAGGTTTACCACCACCACCCCCTCCTACCAAAGGCCCAGGTGGGCAGAGGAATACAGAGTCACTCTTTTGTGGTTGGGGAAGGAAAAAAAGGCAGAGAAAATGAAAGATACTGATCAATGCTGTGGCTGCGGGTACCTGAGACATCTGGCATAAATAGTGCTCACTTTTCCCACCTGAATCACAATACAATAAATGACATTTGGAATCACTGCACTGAGCTAACTTTTGCAAAAAAAAAAAAAAGAATTTAATAATGAGGTTACTTTTCTGATATGCCTGCTCTTTGTGACAAACAATTGTAATGCCAAGGCAGGGCTCCGAATTAGCCACTTGCTACAATTTTAAAAGACATCAATCCAATATTTTGCTCTGCAGACATGCTAATTTTACCATAACTTCCCCAGTTTTCTGCAACAGTATCTTCATAAGAAGATTCAAAGAAAAGCTGATAATGGAATCTAAAATCCCTAGAGGGAGCAGTCTTCTAGATCAGAGATGGTTGTCCAGCATCTCCTCCGAGAATATTCCTTCCCTCATTTTAGTAAATACAAAGTTTTAAAACAGTAATAAAGCACTGCTAGTCGACTATAAAAGCACATGATTTTAAATGAGAAAGGGCCAGGTGCGGTGGCTCACACCTATAATCCTACCACTTTTGGAGACTGAGGCAGGAGGATCACTTGAGGCCAGGAATTTGAGACCAGCCTGGGCAACACAGTGAGACGCCAGCTGTATTAGTCCATTCTTACAGTGCTATAAAGAATCGCTCAAGACTGGGTAATTTATCAAGGAAAGAGGTTTAATTGACTCACAGTTCCACATGGCTGGGGAGGCCTCAGGAAACTTATAAACACGGTGGAAGGGGAAGCAAACATGTCCTTCGTCACATGGCAGCAGGAGAGAGAAGTGCCAAGCAAAGGGGGAAAAGTCCTTACAAAACCATCAGATCTTGTGAGAACTCATTCACTATCACAAGAATAGCATGGGGGTAACCACCCCCATGATTCAACTATCTCCCATGGGGTTCCTCACACGACATATGGGGATTACGGGAACTACAATTCAAGATAAGAATTGGGTGAGGAAACAGCCAAACCATATCACCATCTCTACAAAAAAATAAAGTGGGCATGGTGGCACACACCTGTAGTCACACACCTACAGGTAAGTGTCTGTAGGTGACACACACCTACTCAGGAGGCTGAGGCAGGAGGATTGCTTGAGCCTGGGAGTTTGAGGCTACAGTGAGCTGTGATTGTGCCATTGCACTCCAGCCTGAGTGACAGAGCAAGACTGTTTTTCCCTGAAGTCTCTTTCTTCTGTTCTGCAGTGGGGAGCTGAGGTTGTGCTACCTCAGTTCTCATCTCTTCACCAGCAAAAACTCCACAATTATTTTGTCTTTTCTTCTTTCTTTTTTCAAAGCCCTCTTCTCACTTCCCTCACCCTTGTAATGGGCCTAGATTTGGGAGTTCACGAAGAATCAGGATCATGATCATAATTATAATCACAGCTGGCCTTACATGTCCTAACCAAGGACTGGGCACTGTACCTGCCTCACACCAGCCCTGTCCCACAGAACCTTTTTCCATAATGGGAAGTTCTCTTCTGTGCTGTCCAATGCCGTAGCCACCAGCCACCTGCAGTTATCAAGCCCTTAACTTGTGGCCAGTGCCACTGAAGAACTGAAGCTTTCGTTCTAAAACGTTTACATTTAAGCATCCACAGGGAGCTAGTGGCTATTGTACTAGACAACACAGGTTTGGACCTTCACAAGACTGTAACTATTCTCTCCGTTTTACAGATAAACCAAGTCTTGCCTGGTGCAGTGACTCATGCCTATAACCCCAGCACTTTGGGAGGCTGAAATGGGAGGATCTCTTGAGGCCAGGAGTTGGAGGTTGCAGTGAGCTATGATCGCACCACTGCACTCTAGCCTGGGCAGCAGAGCAAGATCCTGTCTCTTAAAAAAAAGAAAAATGAGAGGGAGAAAGAAAAACGTCAGTCACATTCATCTCTCTGGTTTCTAAGAGAAAGCATCAGCTCTGGGCTTGTTCTACTACAACCTGGGTTAATCAGGGATGCCTCATGACAATACACAATTGTGTTTAAGATCAAGAAAAACTTTCAAGTGCTCATGATTCCTTTAAATAAATTAAAATCAGCATCTGTTCACATGCAAGAGCTTTAGTCATCTTCCACTTTAAAAACAGGTTTATTACATAAAAGCAGACTAACCCAGATGATCCTAAAAATTTCCAGCATAGTTCTCCAACACTACGAATTTCAAGTAGTAACAATACCAGCTTAGACTTAAATAAACCAGATTTCTCTCTAAAGCATCTCCATCCACCATAAAAAAGTTATTTTGAGCAACAAAGATTTTTTAAATCCAGTAAATTCTAGACATGCCATGTTACGCAGCTACCACTTTGAGCTCCTGCTTTGATGCCATACCACCTGCCATTAGTCAATTTGATGATAACCAAATTTACAAAGAAATCTGAAACAATGAAGCAATCTAGTGTGAGAGGGTACACCACTGTGCCCCCCACAACCCTTTGGGTAAATATTGTCATTGCCACCCTTTTTAATGATGGAGTTCTAAGCCCAGAGGTCGAGTAACTGACCCAGGGTCCTTAAGCTATTCCAGCGGCAGCCAAGGCTTCACACCCAGATCTCACTACAAAGCCCAAGCTCTTCCTACAACACTCTGTTCCAGCTAGGATTGGTTCATGAATTTTACTCTCAACTAAACGAAAAAGTTGGATTATTTCTATATGTCCATTTACAAGAACTTTTTTGAGGACTCATTTGTTTACTGTTTCAGAACCCTGGACGTCCCTTATTTATATGACAGTGTCTTTTTAAAATTATATCTACAGCTGTTATCTAAGTGACACAATACACAGGGGCCAGAGAGGGCCCAAGGACTCTAAATTTTTAAGAGAATTTGCAGGAACACTCAGCACACTGATTATCAGCAAAACTGTAAGGATTTGATAACTTCAGTGCTAATCAGCTACAAAACTGCAGACGGACTTCCTATTACTGTTCAAATGAGCATATTTAGTTAACCCCAAAATATCACCAAGTAAAAGTAATTGCAGCAATCCCAACCAAAATCAAATTTCAAGATTTATAGCTATAAATCCTAAAATAATTTGCATAGAAAGCCTGTTGAAAATAATTTTCCCAGAGGCTGTTAAACACAGTAATTCATACTTTAGAAAGCATTTCCTTTACTTTAGAAATCTTTTTCAAAATACAAGTCTGTTTGTTTAATCTAAAACGAGAGGCTCGGTTTCACAAGCTGCTGTTTAATCAGTAGCTGAGTCCCACTGGCTTCACGGGCTTCCGTGAGGTCCTTTATCTGGAGCTGCTAAAAGCTTCCTCTGTACTCTGTGACCTAATATGCTGCAGAACAATAGAACTGGGTTTCCTTGTCTCACCACTATCCTAATATTAATAAGAAAGTGTGAGCTTAGAGAAATTCGTTCACATATACAAGATCTTTCTTTATTTCTAGTCCCCGTTTATGATGTGAATCCTGAGAATCTTAGAAAAGGCGCATCCATGTTTTCTAAGAGAAGAATGATCTGATAACTATGATCTGGGGAAAAGAACTGAACTGTAATCTTAGTTTGGCAATTTAACTGGGTGTGAAAACAGTGAACTTTCTCCCTTTACATAAAAGCTTCCTAGAGAGGACCAACAAGTCTTAGTCTACATAACAACAAGGGCCCTTACAGAAACACAGATTCTCAGGAAAAGAGGCTCCTAGACGGGGCGGGCGTAGGGGGCAAAACGGCATCCCAGCTCAAAGAAGAGGCCCAAAATAAAGTTCAACCAAGAAATGCCTTCTTGCCTGATGGGCAAGTGCAATCTATATATTTACATAGCTTTATTATGACTGAATAAGAAAATATCTTTTTCAGCTTCTGAGTCTAGCAATGAATCTAGATGATGAAGACACCATAGATAAATGATCTTCAGTTTAAAAGCTGAATTTCAGTTAACTGCATGCTTTCTCTAAGGCACCATTAAACTGGATAGACTGATCAGGCTTCAAGCAGAAAGAAGAACAAGGAGGCGAAAGACCCTATGAAATGGGTCTATCCTTATTTGAAAGTGTCTAGCTCTATCTTCACAAGGAGTGCAGGCTCCTAGATTACCAGAAGCTTTAGTTAGGTTTTTGGCGTGTAACTGCTCTTTTATCTACCATACATGGTCAAGCGGGATTCCTCTTTTTTAACCAGCGAGCTCACTAGTCAGGATTAGCTTAAAGGTTTTTTTTTAAACTTGGTCTAATATATCTTGGTCAAGAACCCACCTCAGCTAACGAGGATCAATAAACTCTTTTGGATGGAGAGACAAGCCCCTGAATATCTATGTCTGATTGTGCATCTTCCTTTCTTTTTTTTTTTTTTTTTTTTGAGACGGAGTCTCACTCTGTTGCCCAGGCTATGATGCAGTGGCACAATCTCGGCTCACTGTAAGCTCCGCTCCCTGGGTGCAAGCAATTTTCCTGCCTCAGCCTCCCAAATAGTTGGGATTACAGGCTCCCACCACCACGCACGGCTAATTTTTGTATATTTAGTAGAGAGGGAATTTCACCATGTTGGTCAGGCTGGTCTCGAACTCCTGACCTCAAGCAATCCACCCACCTGGGCCTCCCAAAGTGCTGGGATTACAGGTGTGATCCACTGCTCCCGGCCTGACTGTGCGTCTTTTCCACAGACTTTAACCCTAGGTACCCATTATTCATATGCAACACGTCAAAACATATACACCTATCCTACAAAGATCAGAATATGAAAGGAAAATTTGTAGCAAAAGTTGCTACAAATTACCAAATATTTCCTTATGCTATATGTATGTCAAGATTTGATATCTCTATTTACAGATTAACTTTTCTGATTGCTTTGTTCTACAACACCCCAACAAAATTCATTTTATAATTCATGACACCATAAAATTGTAAAAGAATGGAATAAAAACCGTGTAAGAAGTGTACAGGTGGCCAGGCGCGGTGGCTCACGCCTGTAATCCCAGCACTTTGGGAGGCTGAGGCGGGTGAATCACGAGGTCAGGAGTTCAAGACCGGCCTGGCCAAGATGATGAAACCCGTCTCTACTAAAAATACAAAAATTAGCCGGACATGGTGGCAGGGGCCTGTAGTCCCAGCTACACAGGAGGCTGAGGCAGAGAACTGCTTGAACTCGGAAGGGGGGGGTTGCAGTCAGCTGATATCGCACCGATGATGCACTCCAGCCTGGGTGACAGAGCAAGACTCCGTCTCAAAAAAAAAAAAAAAAAAAAAGTGTGCAGGCAGACATAGGTTCCTATAAAGAATCGATACTTCAAAATATATAAAAATCCAATTAAGTGTAAAGTCATCTGGAAATTTCTTGAATCCCCATCATATAAATACTCTTTACCTACTACACTATACTAGTGCTAACTTTCAATATCAATATCTTTAAATATCAACATCACCATCCTTCCACATAATCTTTCATTATTTCCCAGGCATTTCCTGTGACTCTTTCCGGGGTTGCCTATACACATCTGATAACATTTACTCTTCTTATCTATCGGATCAGAAAACAGAATTCACCTCACAAGTATTTGATCTAAGGCAGTAACAGAAATTTAGTGCTACATTATACGGTACAATGAGGACATTTAACGTTCAACTAAAGGGCACTCAATGACAAACCCTGATGTAGCTCTGGAAGCAATTACATGTAGCTTTCATCGTAGATTTGTTTGAAAAATATGTCTTTACTGGAGACAGTACATCCACATTCTGTACCCAATTAACATTATTCCAAAATAACTCTTGACCTCGAGAGTATTCCAAAACAGTTACAAGACTTAAAAAAAATCATACAACTAGGGGTATCTAAGACCTGGCTTTGGGGCTCTGCCTACAACGAAGCTGTGTCACCCTGGGTAGGTCATTTGACCCAACATGCCCAGTATCTCCTACTACGTAAAGAAGAAATTGGTCTAAATTTTCTTTAAGGTCTCTTCTAACTCTAACATTCTATGAATGTATGAAATTTCAATCTTTCCCCATTTCAAAGGTAATGGCGGCAGTCAATAACGCCAAGTTAGCCTAGATTTTTTTTTCCTTTTTAGAAAAATGACCCAACTTGGGATGTTTTCTTGGGTTGAAGTTTTATTTAGGAAAATAAACCCCAAATAAAAACGATGTTGAGAAAATGGGCGGGGGGGGAGAAAAGAAAATCATACACTGACGTTAGCTAAAATAGAAACTTCCATCACCCTTAAGCCAGTTTGTCAATAGTTATTCAACGCCTGCTACTCTAATCACTGGCTTCCTAAAATAGAAATATTTATAGTTGTTTCCTTCTCATCCCCGGAGATACATTCCGAATAAAAAGCACAGCGTCTAAAATCAATTTACAACTTCAGAATAAGTTGCAAGGAGCGAAAACAAACTCCGCACAGCTCGCCAAGTCATTTGCATTTAAGTATGATTAGGGCTAAGAAACGGTTCTTATGAGATGCGAAAAAAAAGCACAAGAGGCAGGTGACATCTGGAAAGGGAAGCTGAACTGCCAGGAAGCGATATAAGCTGAGGATCTTAAGGCAACAGGTCCAGGGCCGGCACCGCAGCCTATCCCGGGAGGGGTCGGTGGCTGCTACCTCGCCCGCCGCCCTCCCCAGCCCCAACGACGTCGCCTCGCTCCCGCCCCCCCAAATCCCACGCCCCTGCGGCAGAAATCTCCCTAATCACTCGCCTCCCTGGGCTTCCCGCCCCCGGCAGGCCCTCCGATTCCTCGGCGCCGAGGCCGGCCCGGCCCTGCCGCCCCCTCCCCTCCACGCCGAAGACCCCGCAGCCCCGTCCCCGCCGCGGGCCCGCTCACCTGCACCTGTTTGCGGAAGTGGCGCGGCCCCAGCACTGCCGGCGATCAGGAGGACCAGCAGCAGCAGCAGCAGCCTCCGCCGCAACGCCGGCGGCCCCGGCATCTCGCCCACGGCGCGGCTCCGGGGCCGGCCCTCGAGTCGCCTTCCGTCCGTCCGTCCGTTCGCCCGTCAGTCGATCCTGCCTCCCTCCGCTGCCTCAGTGGCACCCGCGCCGGTTGCTCCCGAGCACACGTTGCTTCTGCCAAACCTCGGTCCGGCTCCCGGTCCGCACCTGCCGCTCCAGTCGCAGAAACACCATCCTTCCCGCCCGCCTGCGCCGCCGCCGCCGCCTCTCAACAGCAGCAACGCCAGCAGCCCTGCGGAGCGGCGGGCCTGGGAAGCCGCGCTCCCGCCGCCATGATGGGCTGCGTCATGTGACGTAGCGCGGGGGCGGGATGTCGTGATGGACAGGGCGGCCAGCCACTCGTCAGTCCACACCGGCCCAGGAGGCCCCGCCCATCATCCTGAAGGAGTGAGCGGTGGCGGCCGGTGCGCCCCCTGCAGACGGAGGAGTGCGTGGGCAGCAGGTAACACCAACAATTATTTTAAATTGAAAAATACAGGAAAATGTAAAGAAGACCATGACAATCATCCTGATATTTTTTTCTCGGTGTTTTATAACATGCAAAAATAGGCCTGTCTTGTCTTCTGCCTTTTTTTTTTTTTTACTTGTCAGAGCTGTTTTAGGCTCTTCTCCTTAAGTTGACCTACACATCCTCTCAGCCATCAAACAGCTTTGGGCTTTTCACTTGAATTGATCAAGAGAATGCCTCTCTCGGCATCACCCACTGACTCACCTCCTGAGCTCAAGCTGTTGCCTCTTGTCCACCTGGCAGACACTCTTCCTTTCATCTGTCGAGACTCACCTGACATATGACTTCATCTATGACTCTCTAGGAGAAATGACTGTCATCTCCTTAGTGCCCCGCCCTGGCCCTGTGTGGACTGCTATCCTAGCTGCAGTATCCTATTGACCCGTGACTGTAAGCTCCCTGAGGACAGCAACTGTGTCTGATTCAGCTGGTGGGAAATCCCTGGTGCAGGACCTGGGTCGGAGCAGGTGTTCTCTAAAGCAATGGTGCATGGCCCTGGTCCCAGGTACCAGGGCAGAGCAGCTCCCAGGGGTGGCCTTCTCCCCACCAAGAGGTGAGGTGAGAACACAGTCCTGCAGAGAGGATAGAGAAAGCACTCTCCAGACACAAGTAATATAGTGGTCAGAGGCATGGGGGTTGGGAAAATGCTAAGCTTTTCTGGAGAGGCGCTATGGTTCAGTGTGTGCATGAGAGGAGCTGATTTCAATCTTATCAGATGAGACTTTGCCACCTGGCAACAGTGTAACCTCCCCAATTCTCCAAACTCCCCAAATGTCCATCCTAAATGCCAGCTGTCGATGATGTTAACACAGCACTGGACACACAGATGATGCCCAGGGAATATTTGTTGGATGATTGAGGCAAGCCAATAAATATCTAAGGAGACAAATACCTGGAACGAGAAACATTGAATTTAAAAGTCCATGGCTTGGCTGGGCACGGTGGCTCACACCTGTAATCTCAGCACTTTGGGAGGCCAAGGTGGGTGAATCACTTCAGACCAGGAGTTCAAGACCAGCCTGGCCAACATGGTCATACCCCATCTCTACTAAAAATACAAAAAGTATTAGCCAGACACGGTGACGCATGCCTGTAATCCCAGCTGCTTGGGAGGCTGAGGCAGGAAAATTGCTCGAACCCAGGAGGCGGAGGTTGCGGTGAGCTGAGATCACACCGCTGCACTCCAGCCTGGGCGACACAGCGAGACTCTGTCTTAAAAAAAAAAAAGTTCACGGCTTTCTGCTGATTATATGCAGAATTGGTAAGGAAGGCAAAGGTCTAGGAAAGAGACACAATCACCCTGTTGTACTTCTACTTCTTTTTTTTTTTTCTTTGAGACAGAGTCTGTCTCTGTCACCAGGCTAGAATGCAGTGGTGCGATCTCAGCTCACTGCAACCTCTGCCTCCTGGGTTCAAGCGATTCTCCTGCCTCAGCCTCCTGAGTAGCTGGGACTACAGGTGCCCGCCACCACACCTGGCTAATTTTTGTATTTTCAGTAGAGACAGGATTTCACCATGTTGGCCAGGATGGTCTCGATCTCTTGACCTCGTGATCTGCCCACTCCGGCCTCCCAAAGTGCTGGGGTTACAGGCATGAGCCACCGCGCCTAGCCTATACTTCTACTTCTATCAGGAAGCTTCTCACTTTGAGTTCAGAGAAGCCAGGGACACCCACACTGTGTACTGCAAGGAGGCTCGTGACTGCCTGCTGTAGTGCTGGCCTAAGGAAGGCCTTACCTGATAATCCTGGTAGTGGTTATTTACAACTAAAGTGCACTCCAACAGCACGTTGGACCACAATCCCAAAGTAGATTTTGCTATTATTTGAGCAAGCCCAAAAGTTAAAACAAACAAACAAATAAACAAACTTCTTTTCCTCTTTCACAGAACAGGGGTTACAGTGCACATCCCCCAGATGATGTCTAAAGGCAGCCTTTGCCCCACCACCCACCTCACCGTGTATGCCTTTACTCAATACTTGAAGACTTCCAGTTAGAGATGTTATTAAACAAACAAAAACCTGTTGGCTTTGTTTAGTTTCACCCAGAAGTCAGAAAACAGCCTTTAGCACAATTTGGAAATCAATACCTAAGATTAGAAGCAATATCTTTCAGTGTTTTACAGCCATTCTTTTTTTTTTTTCTTTTTTGAAACAGGGTCTCGCTCTGTCACCCAGGCTGGAGTACAGTGGTGTGATCTTGGCTCACTGCAACTTCTGCCTCCCATGCTCAAGTGATTCTCCTGCCTCTGCCTCCTGAGTAGCTGGGGTTACAGGCGCCCGCCACCACACCTGGCTAATTTTTGTATTTTTAGGAGAGACAGGGTTTCACCATGTTGGCCAGGTTGGTCTTGAACTTCTGACCTCAAGTGATCTGCCCACTTCGGCCTCTCAAAGTGTTGGGATTATAGGCATGAGCCACCACGCCCAGCCCTTTACAGCCATTCTTGCAAGTTTTCCTTCATGCCAAGCCTCTTTCAAGTTTTCCTTCATGCCAAGCTATCGCTTGGAAGACCCTCCTGCCAGTGTCTGTCCTGCCAGCAAGCTCTGGCTGAGGCCTGGATGCTGAAGGATGTGGAGTCAGCTTAGTATTGGATGAGCACTTCTGGAGCTCTGGCACCTAGCAGATACTCTAAAGGTTCACAGAGCTCAGCTGGATCAAATGGGGCACCCAGGAGGCCTGTTGGTGGGGTCCTGGAGCTGCTGGTGCCAACTCATGAAAGCCAATTGTTAACATGTTCAGGAATTATGCGCATTGGTTGTTCAACACAGCCATTGTTAAAATTTAAGTTATAGGCAGTGGCTCACGCCTGTAATCCCAGCACTTTGGAAGGCCTAGACAGGTGGATCACTTGAGGTCAGGAGTTCAAGGCCAGCCAGGCCAAGATGGCCTGGGCATGGTGGCTGGCACCTGTTATCCCGGCTTCTCATGAGGCAGAGGCAGGAGAATCACTTGAACCCAGGAGGCAGAGGTTGCAGTGAGCTGAGATTATGCCATTGCACTCCAGCCTGGGCAACAGAGTGAGACTCCATCTCAAAAATAAATAAATAAATTATATAAATGTATAATTAAACAAATTATTTTAAAAACAAAGGTCATGAGGGAAGCATTTGGATACGATTTGGGCTTGTGTTCCCACCCGGTCTCATGTGTGGAGATGTAATCCACAGTTTTGGAGGTGGGGCCTGGTAGGAGGTGATCGGATCATGGGAGAGGGTTCTCATGAATGGTTCAGCGCCATCCTCTTGGTGCTGTTCTTGTGATGGCGAGTGATCTTTGACGAGATCTAGTTGTTTAAAAAGTGTGTAGCACCTCCTCCCTCTCTCTCTCTACTGTTCCCACCGTGTGAGATGCCTCGCTCCTCCTTTGCGTACTGCCATCATAGTAAGTTTTCTGAAGCCTTTCAGAAGCCAAGCAGATTCTAGCATCATGCTTCCTGTACAACTTGCAGAACCATATGCCAATTAAACCTCTTTTCTTTATACATTACCCAATCTTAGGTATTCCTTATAGCAATGCAAGAATGGACTGATACTTGAAGAATGGAAGGCAAGAAGAGCACTAGCAAAATTGTCCACATAAACTTCTTCAGAACTCTAGGAATTTGCCAGAGGTTTGCAATATCATGAGTCAATTTGTTAAAGAAAAATGGCTGAGGCCAGGTGTGGTGGCTCACGCCCGTAATACGAACACTTTGGGAGGCTGAGGTAGGAGGATCACCTGAGCCTGGGAGTTTGAGAGCAGCCTGGGTAACATAGTGAGACCCCAATCTCTACTAAAAATAAATAATTAGCCAGGCACAGTGGCACATGCCTGTAGTCCCAGCACTTTGGCAGGCTGAGATGGGAGGATTGCTTCAGCCCAGAAATTTGAGGCTGCAGTGAACTGTGATTCCACCACTGCACTCCAGCCTGTGCTACATAGTGAAACCCTGTCTCTTAAAATAAAGAAAAGGAAAATGGCCAAATCTCATAAGAATAATGAGCTTCATGAAATTTTTACTTGCCCTATTTCCATTCTTCTCTCCCCACCTCTGTGATAGCCTTGAAAACCAGCAACTTCACCACCATGGGAACTGTGGAAATAAGCAGGCTAGCAGCTACCAGAGGGGGCAGAATAGGTTTGGAGCTCCCCCAAAACCTGTATCCCCAAAGAACTGTGACTATCTGACCTGTCTGGCAGCTCCTTAGAAAGGCACTATTTTCAGGGCTTTTCTTCATTTGATATGACTCAGAAATGCCTCAGTGAAAATAGTCCTATCCTGTTTGTTGAAAATAATCAGTGACAACTGTTTAACATTGCAATTGCCTGAGCCAGTGATACCAGTTGGCTGATGAGAAACTTAAAAGAAAAATCTAGGGAATAATATGTCATTGGGAGCTTTGAAAAGATCCACCATATTATTGGAAATCTAGAAAGCCATGTGCATGTACAAGGCTATGAACATGGCTAGGAAATACATGAGAAGGCCCTCGTTTCTCATTCCTAGTTGATCATGAGGCTGTGCAAGCACAGTAAGGACTGGGGCAGAATTTTAAACTGCCAGAGCATCAGATGCATGCTCCAACACACATACAGAGACTCTTAGCAAAACCAGGGAGACATATTGGCTCAAATAATTTAAGGAGGCCAGGCACAGTGGCACACGCCTGTAATCCCAGCACTTTGGTAGGCCAAGTTGGGCAGATCGCCTGAGGTCAGGAGTTTGAGACCAGCCTGGCCAATATAGTGAAACCCTGTCTCTACTAAAAATACAAAAATTAGCTGGGCATGGTGGCACGCGCCTGTAATCCCAGCTACTCGGGAGGCTGAGGCAGGAGAATCACTTGGACCCAGGAGGCAGAGGTGGCAGTGAGCCGAGATCACACCACTGCACTCCAGCCTGGATGACAAGAGCAAAACTCTATATCAAAAAAAAAAAAAAAAAAAAAAAAAAAGAATTTAAGGATATCTCTGTAGTCATTAGCTGACCACTAAGCTAACTAAACAGAGACTTTGGTGGCCATTCACAAATTTTTCAAAATACAGAATTAGACCAGGAAAGGCCCTTTAAAAATGAATGATGGCAGCAACAGCAATAACAAACAGCACCAACAATGCAAACCCTGTGGAAGGGGAATATCAGGGAAAACCTATTCCAGAGTTTCCACATTATGCAATTTTAAATGTCCAGTTTTCGAAAAATTGTTACAAGACAGAAAAAGAAACAAGAAAATATGCTTCATACACAGGATGAAAAATTAGACAACAAAAACTTTCCCTGAGGATTCTGTATTAGTCCATTTTCATGCTGCTCATAAAGACATACTCACCAAGACTGGGCAATTTACAAAAGAAAGAGATTTAATGGCCGGGTGGAGCGGTCATGCCTGTAACCCCAGGCCTTTGGGAGGCCGAGGCAGGCGGATCACGAGGTCAGGAGATCAAGGAGACTATCCTGGCTAACACAGTGAAACCCCGTCTCTACTAAAAATACAAAAACAAAATTAGCCGGGCATGGTGGCAGGCGCCTGTAGTCCCAGCTACTTGGGAGGCTGAGGTGAGAGAATGGTGTGAACCCGGCAGGCAGAGCTTGCAGTGAGCCAAGGTGGCACCACTGCACTCCAGCCTGGGAGACAGAGCAAGAATCTGTCTCAAAAAAAAAAAAAAAAAAAGATATTTAATTGGACTTACAGTTCCACATGGCTGGGGAAGTCTCACAATCATGGCAGAAGGCAAGGAGGAGCAAGTGCTGTCTTACATGGATGGCGGCAGGCAAAGAGGGAATGAGGAAGACACAAAAGTGGAACCCCCTGATAAAACCATCAGATCTTGTGAGACTTATTCACTACCACAAGAACAGTATGGGGGAAACCACCCCCATGATTCAATTATCCCCCACCAGGTCCCTCCCACAATGCATGGGAAGTACAATTCAAGATGAGATTTGAGTGGGGACACAGAGCCAAGCCATATCAGATGCTGAGAAGTTGGACTTAATAGACAAAGACTTTAAATTATAATTATTACAATTAAATAATAATAATTATTATAAATATGTCTAAAGAATTAACGGTTGATTGAAAAACAATAAAGAAGACCTCAATAAATGGAAAGACATCCCATGTTCCTGGATCAAAAGACAATATTGTTAAGGCAATACTCTCCAAATTGATCTATAGATCTAATGTGATTCCCATCCATTCCCTCTGGATTCTTTTCAGAAATTGAGAAGCTGATCCTAAGATTCATATGGAAATTTAAGGGCCCCAGAATAGTCAAAACAATCTTGGGCAGGGTTCAGGAGACAAAGTTGGAAGATTCACATTTTCTGACTTCAAAATATATTCCAAAACTATAGTAATCAAAACAGTGTGGCACTGACATTATACATCAAACAATATAATTAGGGGTCTACAAATAAATCTTAAGATTGACAGTCAATTGATTTTCAACCAGGGTATAGGACAATTCAATGGAAAAGAATAGTTTCTTAACAAATGCTGTGAGACAGTGGATATCCACATGCTAAAGAATGATGATGATCGGCCCCTACCTAATGTCATGTACAAAAATTAACTAAAAATAGATCAAGAACCTAATGCAAAAGCTAAAACTATGAAAATCTTACAAGAAAATGTAGGCATAGATCCTTATTACTTTGGATTAGGTTTGTTTCAGAGATAGGATACTATAAGCACAAGCAAACAAAGAAAAAATAGATAAATTTGGCTTCAAAATTTAAAACTTTTGTGATTCAAAAAGCACAACCAAGAAAGTAAAAAGATAACCCACAAAATGAAAGAAAATATGTGAAATCCATATATATGATAAGTTACTTGCATCTAGAATACAAAAAGAACTCTTACAAGTTGGGCACAGTAGCACATGCCTGTAATTCCAGCTACTTGGGAGGCTGAGGCAGGAGGATTGCTTGAGCCTGAGAGTTCAAGACCAGCCTGGGCAAATAGAGAAACCCCATCTCAAAAAATAAAATAAATAAAAAATAAGAAAACAACAAAATACCTCCCAAACCAAACACCAAAAATTTAAAAAAAAAAAAATTACAAAAAGAAGTCTTAACAACTCAATGACAAGAAGACAAATAGCCCAATTAATTTTTTTTTTTTTTTTTGAGACAGAGTCTCACTTTGTCATCCAGGCTGGAGTGCAGTGGTGCAATCTTGGCTCACTGCAACCTCTGCCTTCTGGGTTCAAGTGATTCTCCTGCCTTAGCCTCCCGAGTAGCTGAGACTACAGGCATGTGCCACAACGCTCAGCTAATTTTTGTATTTTTGGTAGAGACAGGGTTTTGCCATGTTGGCCAGGCTGGTCTTGAACCCCTGACCTCAAATGATCCACCCCCCCTCGGCCTCCCAAAGTGTCAGGATTACAGACATGAACCACAGCACCTGGTCAGCCTAATTAAGAACTAGGCAAAAGGGTATGAATACACATTTCTTCAAAGAAGATATACAGATGAACAATAAACAAATGAAAAGATGCTCAACATCTTTAGCCATCAGGGAAATGCAAATCAATGCCACTTCATGCACAATAGGATGGTTTTAGTTTATAAAAAGACAGGTCTAATTTTTAAAATATGAGACACAAGACTGGTGAGGTTGTAGAAAAGTTGGAACTCTCATGCATTACAAATGAGAATGTAAAATGGTATTGCTGCTTTGGAAAACAGTCTGGTAGTTCCTTAAAATGTTAAATACAGAGGTACAATATTACCCAGCAGTTCTATTCCTGGTATATACCTAAAAGTATTGAAGATGTATGTCTATATAAAACCTTTCCCACAAATGTTCATAGCAGAATTATTTATAATAGCCCAAAGGTAGAAATAACCCAGATGTCCATCAACTGATGAATGGATTAGCAAAATATAGTATATCCTTAAAATAGAATATTAGTCACCAACAAAAAAGGGAATGAAGTATTGATATGTGGTACACCATGGGTAAACTTTAAATATATAATGCTTAGTGAACAAAGCCAGTTAGAAAAGACCAAATATTGTATGATTCAATTTTTATGAAATGTCTAGCATAGGCAAATCCATACAGACAGAAAGTAAGTTAGTGTTTGCCAGGGGCTGAAGAGGGAAGGGAATAGATTAGTAATTGCCTGGGGCTGACAGGGTGGGGAAGAAATGAGGAATGACTGCTAATGGGTATGGAATTTCTTTGGGGGATGATGAAAATGTTCTAAAATTTTATCTGTAAATATGTTTAAAGCTATTGAATTATACTTCAAAAAAGGGAGTTCATTACCTGTGCACACAATTACTTAAAAAAAGAGAATATTGACAAAGAGACAGCAGTTACTTTAAAAAGAACCCAATAAAAATTCTGGAGTTGAGAAGTACAATAACTGACATTTAAAATTCACTAGAAGGACTCAATAGCAGATTTGAGCTGACAGAAAAAAGCATCAATGAACTTGAAAATAGGTAAATTGAGATCATCCAGTCTGAGGAGTAGAAGGAAAACCAAATGAATAAAAATGAACAAAGTATAGTGTGGGGGTGGGGGGAGTAGTTTTACCAAAGTGTGGAGAAACCTGACAAGGTCTGCATCAACACTGTTAAGCCATGTTGATACTATGTATTTTTGATATGATGTGATGAGCTGTGGTCTTCATCCTCAATGTATAACATTAGTCCAATCAGACAAATCCGAATTAAGGGACATTCTACAAAATACCTGACCAGTAGTCTTCAAAAATGTCAAGGTCATTTGTTGCAAGTATTTGGTTATTTAAAAAACATTTTTTTTAATGTCAGGGTCATGAAAAACAAAGAAAGTCTGAGAAATTGTCATGGCCAAGAGGAGTCTAAGGAGATATGATAACTAAATATAATGTGGTATCCAAAATAAGATCTTGGAACAGAAAAATGACATTAGGTGAAAACTAAGGAAATCTGAGTAAGATATGGGCTTTAGTTGGAATAATATATCAATAGCAATTCATTAATGATAACAAATATACCACATTAATGTAAAGTAATAACAGGAAAAATTGGGTGTGGGATATATAGGAATTCTCTGTACTAGCTTTACACCTTTCTATAAATCTGAAACTATCGAAAGCTTATTTTAAAAGAAAAAAATAACAAAGCCTCAAAGCTCTGTGGGATGCCATTGAGCATACCAAAATACATAAAGTGGGGGATTCCCAGAAGGAGAGGATAGAGAGAAAGGGAAAAAATATGTACATTTGAAGAAATAATGGCTGAAAATCTCCCAGATGTCATGATAAGTGTTAGGCTACACATCCAAGAAGCTGAAATAACTCCAAGTAGGATAAACTTAAAGAAATCCACATCTGGGCACATCATAACCAACTGTTCAAAGACAAAGACAAAGAGAGAATCTAGAAAGCAACATGAAAAAGAACCTCATTATATATAGAAGTTCCACAATGAGATTAACAGCTGACTTTTCATCAGAAACCATGGAGGCCAGAAGGTTGTGGGACAACAAATTCAAAGTGCTGACATGTTAAAGAGCTGAAAGACAAAGACTGTCAAACAAGAATTATATGTCCAGTAAAGCTTCAAAAATAAAATAAATATCAAGACATTTCCAAATACACAAAAACAGAGTGAAATTGTTGCTAACAATGTTTACTACAAGAGATACTAAAGGGAGTCCTTTAAACAGAAATAAAGTCACTATTCAGAAACTTGAATTCACATAAAGAAATAAAAAACACCAGGAGAAGGAAACTATATCACTAAATATAAGAATATAAATATAAATGTATTTTTCTTTATAACTTTCTTTTCTCCTATCTGATTTAAAAGACTACTACATAAAGCAACAATTATAAAACTGGCAGAGGGACTTATATAAAGATATAATTTGTATGACAATAATAGCACAAAACATGGATGTGGGAAGAGAGCTATACTGGAGCAACGTTTTAAACACTATTGAAATTAAGCTGCTATTAATCGTATCTAGCTTGTTTTAGGGTATTATGTTAATTGTAATTTCTAGGGCAACCACTAAGAAAACTCGAAATATATATTTAAAAACAAGTAACAAGTGAATTAAAATTGTACACTAGAAAATATCTACTTTAGACAAAAGTGGGCAGTAATGGAGGAATAGAGGAATAAAAAGCACATAAGACATATAGAAAATACATAGCAAAATGACAGACATAATCCTATTTTGCTGATGAGCAGCACAGTAACTCACACCTGTACTCCCAGGGATCTGGGAGGCCAAGGCAGGAGGATCACTTAAGCCCAGAGTTTGAGACAACCCTGGGCAACATAGTGAGGCTCCATCTCTACAAAAATTGTTTAAATTAGCTGGGTGTGGTAGCATGCAAATGTAATCCTAGCTTCTCAGGAGACTGAGGTGAAAGGATTGTTTGAGTCCAGGAGTTTGAGGCTGCAATGAGCTATAATTGCACCACTGCACTCCAGCCTGAGTGACAGAGTGAAACCCTTACTTTAAAAAAATTAGTAAATTATCATCATCATCTTCATCGTATCTTATTGATAATTACATTAGATGGAAATGGACTTATCACTCTAATCAAAAGGTAGAGATTGGCAGAATGAATAGGAAAACATCATTCAACTATATGCTGTCTACTAGAGACACATTTTAGATTCAAAGCAAAATAAATTTAAAGTGAGATAAAAGAAAACCAGGAAAAAAGCATCTAAAAGAGAGGTTGAGTGGCTATACTAATATCAGACAATAGAATGTGAAACAACAAGAAAAAGAAGGATATTTTATAATGATGGTCAATCTATCAAGAAGATATTACAATTATGTAGAAGCATGCGCCTAACTACACGGCTTCAAAATACATGAAGCAAAAACTGACATAATTGAAGAAAGAAATAGACGATTCAAAAAATAATACTTTGGACTTCACTACCCCACTTTTGGTAATAGATAGAACAACTGGGTAGAAAGCCAAGGACACAGCAGACTTGAACAACACCATAAATCAGCTAGACCAACAGACATCTATAGTACACTCCAGTCAAGAACAGAAGAATATATACTCTTCTCAAATGCATCTGGAACATTCTTCAGAATAGACCATATTCAGGGCCACTTTTAAAGCCTCAATAAATTTAAAAGAATTAAAATCTAATAAAGTATGTGTTCTCTGACAAGAGTAGAGTGAAGTTAGAAATCAACAATAAAAGGAAGTTTGGGGAATTCACAAATATGTGGAAATTAAGCAACACACTCTTACATAACAAATGAATCAAGAACTCACAAAGGGATGGAGTGCAGTGGCTCACACCTGTTATCCCAGCACTTTGGGAGGCCAAGGTGGGTGGATCATGACGTCAGGAGTTTGAGACCAGCCTGGCCAACATGGTGAAACCCTGTCTCTAGTAAAAATACAAAAAATACCCAGGCATGGGTGGTAGGCGCCTGTAATCCCAGCTACTTGGGAGGCTGAGGCAGGAGAATTGCTTGAACCCGGGAGGTGGAGGTTGCAGTGAGCCAAGATCATGCCACTGCACTTTAGCCTGGGTGACAAAGCTAGAAAAAAGAAAGAAAGGAAGAAAGAGAGAGGGAGGGAGGGAGGGAGGGAGGGAGGAATCACAAAGGAAATTAGGAAATAATTTGAGATAAATGAAAATGAAAACACAACATACAAAATTTATAGGATGTAGATAAAGTGGTGCTTACAGAGAAATGTATAGCTTTAATCACCTAAAGTATAAAAGAAGAAATATCTTAAATTAATAACCTAGTGTTCCACCTAAGAAACTAGTAAAATATGGAGCCAAGTGTGGTGGTATGCACCTATAGTTTATAATCCAAGCTACTTGTCAGGCTGAGGCAAGAGGATCACTTGAGCCCAGAAGTTCAAGACAAGCCTGGGCAACGTGAGATCCCATCTCAAAAACAAACAAATAAAAAAAGAAACTAGGAAAAGAAGATCAAACTAAACCAACAGCTAGGAGAAGGAGGAAATAAAGATTAAACAGAAATAAATGAAGTAATAGAGAAAAGACAACAAAACCAAATGTTTATCCTTTGAAATGATTGACAAAAATGAAACTTTTAGCTAGACTGACCAAGAAAAAAAGGAGATAAACCTCAAATTACTAAAATAAGAAATGAAATACAGGATACCACTACCAACCTTACCGAAATAAAAAATAATTATAAGGGAATATTATTAACAGCTGTATGCCAACAAATTAGGTAACCTAAATGAAATAGACAAATTCCTAGAAAGACACAACTACTAAAACTGACTTAAAAAGAAATAGAAAGCCTGAATAAACCTATAAAGAGTAGAGACAGAATTAGTAATCATAAAATTTTCCACAAAGAAAATCCCAGGCCCAGACAGCTTTATTACTGAATACTTCAAAACATACATTAATAGAAAGGAATGACACCAGTCCTTTACAAACTTTTCCAAATAATAGAAAAGGAATCCTGTCTCATTCTATGAAGCCAGCATTGCTCAAGAAAACTATTTACTGATATCCCTTATGGATATAGATGCAAACATCCTTAACAATACACTTGGAAACAGGATCTAAAAGCATATGAAAAGAATTACACACCATGACCAAGTGAGATTTATCCCACGAATGCAAACTTGGTTTAACATATGAAAATCAATCAATGTCAACATATACCATATTAGTAGAATAAAAGACAAAAAACACATGATCATCTCAATAAGCATGAAAAAAGCATTTGACAAAATCCCTTTGATGATAAAAACACTCAACAAAATAGGAATGGAAGAGAACTTCTTTAACATAATAAAGCACATCTATGAAAACCCTATAACAAACATCATACTTGCTATATGACTGAATGTTTCCTCCTAAGATCAGGAACAAGACAGGGATGTCTACTCTTGTTACTTCTATTTCACATTATATTGGAGATTATAGCCAGGCAATTAGTCATGAAAAAAAATGAAAGGTATTCAGACGTAAAAGGAAAAAATAAAACAATCTCTGTTGACCAATAACAATATCCTCTTGTATGTAGAAAATACCAAGGACTCCATTAAAATACTATTTGAACTAAGAAATGAGTTCAACAAGGTTGCAAGATACAGCTCAATACAAAATCAATTGTGTCTGTACACTAGCAATGAGAAATCAAAAAAGAAATTTAAACAATTCAGTTACAATAGCGTCAGAAAGAATTAAGTACTTAGGAACAAATTTAACAAAATACTTAGGAATAATTTATACTCTGAACACTATAAAACATTACTGGAAGAAATTAAAGATCTAAATAAATGGAAAGACATCACATGTTCATGGATTAGAAGATGTAATGTTGTTAAGACAGCAATACTCCCAAACTGATTTACAGATTGAATGCAGTTCCTATCAAAATCCCCAAAAAGCTGCCTTTTTGGCAGAAATTGAGAAGCTGATTCTAAAATTCATTTTGAGTTCCAAAAGATCCACTATGGACAAAACAATATTGAAAAATAACAAAGTTGGAGGACTCACATGGTCTGATTTCAAAACTTACTACAAAGCTACAGTAATGAAAACAGTGTGGTACTGCATAAGAAGAATTAAGATAGATATAGATATCAATGGAATAAAATTGAGAGTCCAGAAATAAACCCTCACATTTACTGTCAATTCATTTTATGCAAGGTTGTCAAGACAATTTAATGGAAATAATGGTTTTTCAATAAATGGTGCTGGGACAATTCACATGGAAAGAATGGAATAAACTCCTACTTTACACCATATAAAAAATTAACTCGACTACTCTGGGCATGCTGCTTATGGGTTAGCCGTGATCTGCAAGAAGCAGTTTAAAAAATTTACTCAAAATGTCCTAAATGTAAGCGCTAAAACAATAAATCTCTTAGGAGAAAACCTAGGTATAAATCTTCATCACCTTACATTAGGTAATGTTTTTGTAGAAAGCACATCAAAAGCACAAGCGAAAAAAAAAAGATTGGACTTCATCAAAATTAGCCTTCATCAAAATTAAAGACTTTTGTATTTGAAAGAACACAAGTGAAAATGCAACCCACAGAATGTGAGAAAATATTTTCAAATCATGTATCTGATTAAGGACTTGTGTTCAGATATATAAAGAACTCTTAACTCAATAATAATATAAATAAAACTAATTTTAAAATGAGCAAAGGATTTTTTTTTTCCTTTTTTTGAGACAGAGTCTCACTCTGTTGCCCAGGCTGGAGTGCAGTGGCACAATCACGGCTCACTGCAACCTCCGCCTCCTGGGTTCAAGCGATTCTCCTGCCTCAGCCTGCTGAGTAGCTGGGATTACAGGCGCCCACCACCACACCCACCTAATTTTTGTATTTTTAGTAGAGAGGGGTTTCACCATGTTGGCCAGGCTGGTCTTGAACTCCTGACTTTGGGTGATCCTCCCAACTTGGCCTCCCAAAGTGCTGGGATTACAGGCATGAGCCACTGCACCCAGCCAAATGGGCAAAGGATGTAAATACACATTTCTTCAAAGAAGATGTACAAATGACAATAAGCACATGAAAAGATGTGCAACATCATTAGCCATGAGGAAAAGGCAAATCAAAATCATGATGAGATACCCCTTCACACCCACCAGGATGGGTATAATAAAAAAGACAGACAAGTATTAGGAAGAATATGGAGAAATTGGAACCCTCACTCATTGCCCATCAGAATACAAAATGGTTCAGGTTAGCTGGGCACAGTGGCTCACGCTTGTAATCCCAGCAATTTGGGAGGCTGAGGCAGGAGGATCACTTGAGGCCAGGAATTCAAGACCAGCCTGGGCAACATAGTGAGACCCCAATCTCTACTAAAAATTAGACCAGTAAGGTGGTGCACACCTGTAGTTGCAGCTGCTTGGGAGGCTGACGCAGGAGGATTGCTTCAGCCCAGGAGTTTGAGGCTGCAGTGAGCTACGATTGCACCACTGCATTCCAGCCTGAGGGACAGAGCAAGATCCTATCACTTTAAAAAAAAAAAAAAAGGGTTCAGGGGTATTGAAAAACAAGCAGTTCCTCAAAATGTTAAACACAGAGTCACTATATTGTCCAGCAATTCCATTTTTAGGTTTATACCAAAGAGAAATGATAACAGACAGACATCCCAACAAATGCTTTTTCATGAACGTTCATGACAACATTATTCATAAGAGCCAAAAAGCCAAAGCCCCCCAAATGCCCATCCACGAATAAATGGATTGACAAAATGTGTTATATCCATACAATGGAATATTATTTAGCAGGAAAAAAGAAATGAAACACTGATACATGTTATAACATGCATGAACCCTGAAAACATCATGCTAAATCAAAGAAACCAGCCACAAAAGGCTACATCATCGTATGATTTCATTTTCAGGAATTTAGAGTAGGCAAACCCATGGAGACAGGAAGTAGATTAGTAATTTCCAGAGGCTGAATGGAGAAAGGAATGGGGAATGACAGTGAATAGGTATAGGGGTTTGGTTTGCTTTAGAGTGGTGAAAATATTCTAAAGTTAAATGATGGTGATGGTTGCACAATTCGGTGACTATACTACAAAATTCACCTCTGTCAAGGGGTGAATTTTATAGTCTGAGTTATCTCTCAATAAAGTTGTTATTGAAAAAAACAAAGATAATAAATGCTTAAAAGTTATTGATGCCTAATTATGTTACCTATGCTCTTAAGGTTATTGACTTTTTTTTTTTTTTTTGAGGTGGAGTTTCGCTCTTGTTGCCCAGGCTGGAATGCAGTGGTGCAATCTCGGCTCACTGCAACCTCCTCCTCCCGGGTTCAAGTGATTCTGTAGTCCCAGCCTCCAGAGTAGCTGGGATTACAGGTGCATGCCACCACGCCTGGCTAATTTTTGTATTTTTAGTAGAGATAGGGTTTCATCATATTGGTCAGGCAGGTCTCGAACTCCTGACCTCAGGTGATCCGCCCACCTCCACCTCCCAAAGTGCTCGGATTACAGGCGTGAGCCACCGTGCCTGGCCCATCTTTTTTTTTTTTTTTTTTTTTTTTATGGTGGGAATTATAATACTGTACCTCTTCCCACCTTCAAGTTCAGTGACATCATGTCTATAGCTTGAATAAGCCATGATATGAGTATTTATACCACAGGTAATTGGCAAACACTGTTAATTGGGGCTCCTTTTACCCAGAAAGTCATTTTTTAATTGTTTTATTATTTACTTTGATTATTATTATTATTTTTCGAAACAGAGTCTCACTCTGTTGCCCAGGTTGGAGTGCAGTGGCACGATCATAGCTCACTGCAGCCTCAAATTCCTGGGCTCGAGTGATCCTCCTACCTCAGCTTCCTGAGTAGCTGAGCTGCAGGCATGTATCACCATGCCTGGCTCATTTTAACATTTCTTTCATAGAGATGGCAGTCTGACTGTATTGCCCAGGTTGGTCTGGAGCTCCTGGCCTCAGTGCCTTGGGAGGCCAAAGTGGGTGATCACTTGAGCCCAGGAGTTCAATTCCATTTAGACAACATAGGGAGACCCTGTCCCTATTTAAAAAAAAAAAAAGCAAAAACGCTTTTCTTTTTTTTTTTTTTTTTTTTTTTTTTTTTTTTGAGGCAGAGTCTTCTTGCTCTGTCGCCCAGGCTGGAGTGCAGTGGTGCAATCTCAACTCACCGCAACCTCCACCTCCCAGGTTCCAGCAATTCTTCTGCTTCAGCCTCCCCAGTAGCTGGGATTACAGGCACGCACCACCACACCTGGCTAATTTTTGTATTTTTAATAGAGATGGGGTTTCACCATGTTGGTCTGGCAGGTCTCGAACTCGTGACCTTGTGATCTGCCCTCCTTGGCCTCTCAAAGTGCTGGGATTACAGGCTTGAGCCACTGTGCCCAGCCTAAAAAAAAAAAAAAAAAAAAAAAAAACCTTTTTTAAAAAAAAGAGAGTGGATACATGGATGTTTAGTTACAGGGTGCACACTGCCCAAATGACAGGGGGCCCATGTGTTCTTTGATACACTTCTGTTTGTGCTTCTGATACATGGGCACCTCCAGCACAAGAACCCTGGGCAACCCTCCCTGCCTATTCTAAGGGCAAACTGCTCTCTGAGTGTATTAGTTTACATGGGCTGCCACAAAAAAAATGCCGTAGACTGGGCGGCTTACACAACAGAAACTTCTTGTCTCACAGCTCTGGAGGCTGGAAGTCCAAGATCAAGGTGTTGACCAGGTTGGTTTCTCCTGGGGCCTTTCTCCTTGGCTTGTAGATGGCTGCGTTCTCTCTGACATGGTCTTTCCTCCGGCCACATGCATACCTGGTGTCTTTTCCTGTCTTCTTTTTTCTATTATTTATTTATTTATTTTATTTAATTAATTAATTTATTTATTTTTGAGATGGAATCTCCCTCTGTCACCCAGGCTGAAGTGCAGTGGCACAATCTCGACTCACTGCAAGCTCCGCCTCCCGGGTTCACGCCATTCTCCTGCCTCAGCCTCCCGAGTAGCTGGGACTACAGGTGCCTGCCACCACACCTGGCTAATTTTTTGTATTTTTAGTAGAGACGAGGTTTCACTGTTAGCCAGAATGGTCTCGATCTCCTGACCTCATGATCCTCCCGCTTCAGCCTCCCAAAG
This sequence comes from Homo sapiens, assembly GCF_000001405.40. Taxonomy (NCBI): domain Eukaryota; kingdom Metazoa; phylum Chordata; class Mammalia; order Primates; family Hominidae; genus Homo; species Homo sapiens. The sequence continues at coordinate 98,089,084 of NC_000007.14, read as the reverse complement.
TGCTGGGATTACAGGCATAAGCCACAGCACCCCGCCTATTTATTTATTTTTTTTGAGACAGGGTCTTGCTCTGTCGCCTAGCTTGGAGTACGCAATGGCATGACCATAGCTCACTGCAGCCTCGACCTCCCCAGGCTCAAGTAATCCTTCCACCTCAGCCTCCCAGGTAGCTGGTATTACAGCCATGCACCACCACGTCTGGCTGAGTTTTTTTTACATTTTTTTGTAGAGATGGGTTTTTGCTGTGTTGCCCAGGCTGGTCTCCAACTCCTGGGCTCAAGTGATCCTCCCACCTCAGCCTCCCAAAGTGCTGGGATTACAGGAATGAGCCACCGCACCCAGCCAAGAGCCACTTGTTAACCCCTAGCCGGCACATCAGTGGCCTCGCCATAGGACACCCTCCTGCGGGTCTTTACGATCACCTTTGCTTGACTTGAATCCCTGTCATGGTTGCGTGACTTTAATTCAGCATTAGGCAAATAAGGAGACCAAGTAGGTTAAAAGTCATTTGACTCTCCCTAGTTCTCTGCCAATCAAAGGCTGTGTGCCTCATTCTGGATGATAGCCGACTTTATCTGCATAATGATGTGTGGTATATCATTAATGCAAATGATACATCAATTACCAAACTGGGCAATGATGAGATATCATGATGGACAATTGGCTGTCTTTCCAAATGCCTTTGTGCAAAGTCCTTACCTGTTGTTGCCTCTAAACCTGTGTAACTCAGGGACAGCTCACCAGCTGCCAACAGAGCCTTGAGCCACCACCCATTTTTGGAGGGGGTGCGGAAACCACCCAATATGGTAAAAACGTGCTAACACATTTAAGTCTAACAAATTAACACTTTTAATGTACATAATTTATACAGCTATATAATGATGCTATGCACAAAATAATTACAGCAGGATTGATAAAAAGTACACAGCAGATAGTGAGATTCGGGAATGAAATACCATTTTAAAATTGTATTATGAACATTTTTTTTCCAAGCTCATTAGTATTCATGCCTTCCTTTCGAGGTAAGTTTTATTCGACAATGACTTGCAGATCACTTTTGATGTGTCAGACACTGCTGTAAGCACTTTATAAGTAATAACTCTTTAAGCTTTATCTAATTTTAGAATATTTTTATCACCCACAAAAGAAACTCTACCCGTTAGTTGTCATTCCCCATCCATTCCCCCTGGTAACCACTAATCTACTTCCTGCTTCTATGGATTTGCCTGTTCTGGGCTTTTTTGTTTTTATTTTTGGTAGAGACAGGGTCGTGCTATGTTGCCCAGGCTGGTCTTGAACTCCTGGCCTCAAGTGATCCTCCCTCCTTGGTCTCCCACAATGCTGGGATTACAGGCAGGAGCCACTGCATTCAGCTGATTCTTGACATTTTATATAAATGAAATCATACAATAGGTTGCTTTTGGTGATTGGCTTAATCTATCCTTATTCCCATTTTGTGGATGAGGAGACAGAAACAGAGAAGATAAGGACCTTGGCCAAGGTCACATAGCTAGTAAGTGACAGAAGCAGGGTTCACACTCAGGTAGCCTGGCTCCGGCATCCTTGCTAAGTATCAGAGTCAAAACCGAATAACGTCAAAAGTGTACATTGAGGCCCGTCTCATGCCTCGGTGCCTCATGCCTGTAATCCCAGCACTTTGGGAGGCTGAGGTGGGAAGATCACTTGAGACCAAGAGTTCAAGACTGCCCTGGGCAACATAGCAAGGCCCCATCTCTACAGAAAAAAAAAAAAAAAAAAAAAATTAGCCGGCATGGCTGCGCACACCTGTAGTCCCAGCTACTCAGGAGGCTGAGGCAGGAGGATTGTGATCACTTGAGCCTAAGAGATCAAGGCTGTAGTGAGCCATGATTGAACCACTGCACTCCAGCCTAGGCAACAGAGCAAGATCCTGTCTCAACAACAACAAAGTATACGTTAAAAGCTTTTTGCGAAGATGAGGTGTGGACCAAATTGCTCCTGGATACCCCTCAGGTGAGAGACCCTGTTAAGGTTTGCTTTCTGGTGAGATCGGGGCTGGGGAGTAGGGTGAAGAGCAGAGGTGGAGAACAAGCTCTACCCTGAAGTTAATAGTTGCTGAGTAAACCTTTGTCCTTAGAGAAGATAGACTCAATACAATTACATGTATTTTAAAACAGTAATATTAAAAATTAGCTGGGCATGGTGGCACATGCCTGTGGTCCCAGCTACTCAGGAGGCTGAGGTGGGAGGATCCCTTGAGCCCCAGTGGTAGAGGCTGCAGTGAGCCACGATCACACCACTGCACTCCAGCCTGGGTGACACAGCAAGACCCTATCTTAAAAACAAAAAGAAAAAATTTAAAAAAGAAAAGAATTGTAAGTTTCTGGGGACCACGGGCTTCTCTTGCGCAGGGCACATGTTCTGCTCACATCTGCTCCTTACCAATTCTTTGACAATTATTTCAACACACACAGGAAGTGCCCGTGATGTGTCAGGTTATGTTCCAGGGAGGCACCAGGGTAAACAAGAAGATGACTTGTTAGACTTCTAGGACAAGGAGAGCCCAGGCCGCTGTGGAAAACTCTACCTGCCTCAGCCACTCTGCTGGCCACACGACTTTTGCCCCAAGCCCATAAAACCGAGGGAGTCACCTGCTGCGTCAGTTTCTACCAGGCCAGCTGGAACAGGCTGGGCGAGTTGGTGCCAGACTGGCACATGGGCAGGTAGGGCAGGGCCCGTTGTCTTCCCAGGGATTAATCAGCTCATGCAGCGTCATCCTCTGTCCCTTCCTTGGCATTGGACCAGAACGGGGACTGGAGCCTTCCAGCAAAGGGAGTCCTTGGGGAGCTCCTCCAGCAAGACCCGCCTGGGACTCTCCACCACCCCATGCAATGCCACCCTGTCTCATCCACGTATCTCAGTGAGGGGCAGCGGGAAAGAGGAATAGGGGGAGCTTTTTCTCTGTCTGTCTGATTGTAAGCCCCTACTTCAAGATACTCTAAGGAGTCGCTTCTACCTTCCCCAAATCGCTGGGGAGCAAACGCTCCATGTGACCCTATAAGGTGAGAAGTGAGGAAGTGACTCCCCTGTAACCCAGCAGTCCAGAATCCCGGGTCCAAGGTCACCCAAATCAACCATCTCATCACTGTTTGCAGTTGCTCTCTGGGTCTGCCTTTGGCTTCTTTTTGGGTTCAGAGCCCAGCAGGAAGCCAGGCCTCACCAGCAGGCCCCCACTCCCACTGCTGGGGGGCCTAGGCTGGGAGGCCCCAGGGAACTTCCTGCACCTCCCTCTGCCACACCTGCTTGTACCTGAAATTGTTTATTAGGGCGGTTCCAACAGCCACCAACAGGCTTGGCCGGAATTTGTGGTTCTTTCTGTGTAACACTCAATGGCTTTATTATTTAATAGCAGAAGGAGTTGTGGCTACTTATTTAATTGCCAAACTTTGTTAGAAATGGGGCTTTTCGCTGGGCATGGTGGCTCACGCCTGTAATCCCAGCACTTTGGGAGGCCAAGGTGGGCAGATCACGAGGTCAGGGGATCAAGACCATCCTGGCTAACACAGTGAAACATTGCCTCTACTAAAAATACAAACAATTAGCTGGGCATGGTGGTACATGCCTGTAATCCCAGCTACTCGGGAGGCTGAGGCAGGAGAATCGCTTCAACCCGGGAGGCGGAGTTTGCAGTGAGCTGAGATCGCGCCACTGCACTCCAGCCTGGACAACAGAGCGAGACTCCGTCTCAAAAACAAACAAACAAACAAAACAAACAAACAGAAATGGGGCTTTTCGCTGGGTGCGGTGGCTCATGCCTGTAATCCCAGCACTTTGGGAGGCCAAGGCAGGTGGATCACCCGAGGTCAGGAGTTCAAGACCAGCCTGTCCAACATGGTGAAACCTTGTCTCTACCAAAAATACAAAAATTAGCCGGCTGTGGTGGCGGGCATCTGTAATCCTAGCTACTTGGGAGGCTGAGGCAGGAGAATCACTTGAACCCGAGAGGTGGAGGTTGCAGTGAGCTGAGATCGCGCCACTGCACTCCAGCCTGGGTGACAGAATGAGACTCCTTCTCAAAAAAAAAAAAAAAAGAAAGAAATTGGGCTTTTCACTGCCCCTTGTACACCCAGGTTGTAATCACAACCCACAACTCATCTGCTAAGAGGGCAAGCGTGTTTGCCCTTCTCTGATTCCCCATGAATAAGCCATAAACAATTGCAGACTTGGTTCAGGATGCCTGGACAGCTGTGTGTCCCAGGTGGCTCGCAGGCATCTCCTGTGAGGTATGACATCGCTCCCCTGAATAAGTCCTCTGAGGGTGGAGCTGTGCCCATTTTACCCATGCAGGAATCAGAGTGCCTCTGTTTTCCTGTGGGTGATGCCAAGAAGACTAGGGCAGTATTTGATCATCAGCAGGAAGGATGGGCTTTTGAGGAAGCCAGCCTTCTGCTACTGACTTCATTTGGGCCTTGAGGTTATTAGTTTCTCTCTCTGCATCTATTTCCTCTTGGGGGAAATTGACCAACCCCATCTGCTCACCTAGTAACCAAGTACCCCTATTTTTCTAAGAAAAAGAGAATGAGTAATTATTTATTATTTTTTCCTCTTTTCTGTTTCCCCTGTTCCTCATTTCCTACTTAGCCCTTTAGAAATGCAATCATACCTTGACCGGGCACGATGGCTCACACCTGTAATCTCAGCACTTTGGGAGGCCGAGACAGGTGGATCACTTGAGGCCAGGAGTTTGAGGCCAGCCTTGCCAACATGGCAAGACCCCATCTCTACTAAAAATACAAAAGTTAGCCAGGCGTGGTGGCACATGCCTGTAATCCCAGCTACTGGGGAGGCTGAAGCACCAGAATGGCTTGAACCCAGGAGGCAAAGGTTGCAGTGAGCCAAGATCGCACCACTGCACTCCAGCCTAGGAGACAGAGCAAGACCTTATCCCTCCCCTGCCACACACAAAAAGGAATGACATGATAACCTTTTACCTCCCCTTCACCAGACACTCCCTGCAGGGCAAGCTTATCTAACTATGTGCTTAGAAACTCCAGCGTGGAACTCACTCCCATTAGATTGCCTTGAGAGACAACGGTCTATTTACAACCCAAAGTATGCCCACTATGAAACTCTCTCCCCACTGGATAGTTTCAGCCACTCTGAAGACTGAAACTCTCTCCCACCTGGAGAGTTTACAACCTAGTTCTGCTCATGAAGGTGCTAGCTTGACTGCCCAGTAAATAAGGCACCAAACAAATTTGGGCAGACCCCCACCTGCTCACTTTCTCCCCTGCATGCCATTCATGCCAGACCCCCGCTTTAAAAGTGCACACTTTCTGCTCCAAAAGCGAAGTGGTACCCTTAAGCCAGGAAGCCTGCACTTCTTCCCACAAACTAGCTTTAAAATAAAAAGCCACCAGACCTCGCGCTTGTTAATGGAATTTTGCAAGTGGCGAGTGACTGAACCTGTGATTCGGTTACAACCTCTCTTCTGGAAGGGCTGAGGCTCCGTCCAGCTCAGGCAGATGGATGGAGACCCAGGGAAAGGACAGATCAGAGGGGGCTTCGGCACAGAGGCCAATACCAGAAGATAAAACAACTCAGCTATCTCTTAGCTGGAAAATGGGGACTTCTTTGCCCCTAGGAGGTATCAGGTGACAAAAAATATGTGGGACATCTCTGGGCAGCCCTGGAAACAGCCTCTGTTCTCCTCTGCTGGTGGCATTTATGTGGGTCTTGCTTGACGACCCCCCGATTCCTTGGAGAACAACCATTTGTGATTTTTCTTCTTACCGAGGTGGCTAAGAAATGGAAAATTTGTGAGCTAATAATTCTCACAGAGAAAAATGATTGCAAACTCTTTCACGCTACAAAAAAAAAAAAAAAAAGTGGGGGGGATTTCAAAGAAAAGAATGGGACCAGGTGTGGAGGCTCACATCCATAATCCCAGCACTTTGGGAGGCTGAGGTAGGAGGATCACTTGAGCCCAGAAGTTTGAGACTGACCTGGACAATATAGAAAGACCTATCTCTACAAAAAATTTAAAAATTAACCAGTCATGGTGGTGTGCACCTGTAGTCCCAGCTACTCGGGAGGCTGAGATGGGAGGATTGCTTGAGCCCAGGAGGTTGAGGCTGCAGTGAACCCTGATCATACCACCGCACTCCAGCCTGGGTGACAGAGTGAGACTGTCTCAAAAAAAAAAAAAAAAAAAAAAAAGAGAAAAGAAAATAAAAAGAAAAAAGGGGGGAGGCCTCAGGCTTTTTTTTTTTGTTTGCTATTTTATTATTTTTTATTATACATATTTAAGGTGTACAACATGACGTTTTGATATACATATAATCAGTCAAATGGTTACTATATCCAAGTAAATGAACGTATTCATCATTTTACATAGTTACCCATTTGTGTGTTTGGCAAGAGCAACCTAAAATCTATTCTTTTAGCAAAAATCCCAAATACAATATGATATTGTGAACTACAGTTCTTATGGTGTACATTTGATCTCTGTCTGGTGGGAGAACGGGTAGTGAATGGTGACTCTCTGGAGAGGCTGTCCATGGGAGCCAGAGACCTGGCCAGAGAGCTGGGGTCCGGCAGTGTCAGCTGCTATGTCCCCAGAAAGGCCTGATTGTGCAGTACAGGCCCTGAGCACAGAAACTCCAATGCAGGCCGGGCATGGTGGCCCACGCCTGTAATCCCAGCACTTTGGGAGGCTGAGGTGGGCGGATCACGGGGTCAGGAGATCGAGACCATCCTGGCTAACACGGTGAAACCCCATCTCTACTAAAAATACAAAAAATTAGCCGGGCGTGGTGGCGGGCGCCTGTAGTCCCAGCTATTCGGGAGGCTGAGGCAGGAGAATGGCGTGAACCCGGGAGGCGGAGGTTGCAGTGAGCCAAGACCGTGCCACTGCACTCCAGCCTGGGTGACACAGTGAGACTCTGTCTCGAAAAAAAAAAAAAAAAGAAACTCCAATGCAGCCATGAGGTCAAGACCATGTGAAATGAGCTGGGCGTGGTAGCTCACGCCTATAATCCTAACACTTTGGGAGGCCGACATGTGCAGATCACTTGAGGTCAGGGGTTTGAGACCAGCCTGGCCAACTTAGTGAAACCCCATCTCTGCTAAAAATACAAAAATTAGCCAGGCATGGTGGCGCGTGCCTGTAATCCCAGCTACTCTGGAGGCTGAGGCAGGAGAATCACTTGAACCCAGGAGGCAGAGGTTGCAGTGAGCTGAGATTGTGCCAAAACACCCCAGCCTGGGTGACGGAGAGAGACTCTGTTTCAAAATATATATTCATATATATATTTATATATATATGAATATATATATTCATATATATATTTATATATATATTTATATATATTCATATATATATTTATATATATATTCATATATATTTAACGTAAAATGTACATTTCAGAGAGGCATAAATAGCAGAGAATCACATCTTGGTGAGGTTGGACAAGGTTGGAAAACATAAGGAAGGTGAGAGTATTCCAGCCAGAGGACAGAGGTCAAAGGCTGTAAAAAGCAGGAAAGCAGGAACCATGCAAATGTGACCCAACCAGGAGTGACCGTGTGAACAAGACAAAATGCCCATGTGACCGTATTAGTAAAAGGAGGTCGTGTGATCTCATACTCATATGCATATTTATACTCACGCATATTCATAAACTGGAAGGAAATCACCAAAACATTAGAATACTGACGGTGATGGTCTCTAAATGATAGCACCGTGGATGTTTCTTCTTTTCTTTTTTTCAAAGGTTCTCATTTTTTTGTAATGAACCTCAATTATTTAATAGGCAAAAGGGAGGACTGTTGTTTGCGTGTCTGTTTTTATGTTTACGTTGGCAGATGTTCTTTTTTTTTCTTCTTTTTTTGAGCAGAGTTTTGCTATTGTTGCGAAAAGCGAAGTCCAGCCAGGCTGGAGTGCAATGGCACGATCTCAGCTCACCACAATCTCCGCCTTCCAGGTTCAAGCAATTCTCCTGCCTCAGCCTCCTGAGTAGCTGGGATTACAGGCATGCGCCACCACCATGCGACCGGCTAATTTTGTATTTTTTTTAGTAGAGATAGGGTTTCTCCATGTTGGTCAGGCTGGTCTTGAACTTCCAACCTCAGGTGATCCGCCCGTCTCGGCCTCCCAAAGTGCTGGGATTACAGGTGTGAGCCACCGCGCTTGGCCTACGTTGGCAGATTTTCCAGGTGAGAATTTCAACTCAGAGCAATATCATGTCAAGGACAGAGTCTTTGTCACAGGGATGGCTTCACAGTTAGAAAATCATTAGTGGGATGCGGTGGCTTACACCTGTAATCTCAGCACTTTGGGAGGCTGAGGTGGGAGGATGGCTTGAGCTCAGGAGGTCAAGGCTGCAGTGAGCTGTGATCACGCCACTGCAGTCCAGCCTGGGCAACAGAGGGAGACCCTGTCTCATGCATGCAAAAAAGGAAATCATTAAGAGTTTTCCAAAACATGCTCTACATAATGAAAAATATTCCAGATGGCACTAGGCAATAATATTCATTTCTAAACATTTATATTCATGGAGCTTAGACACTGCTGCTCCTAGTTGAGCCAGTCCATGTTTTCCTTCACACCTTGGGCACTGGTTGCTTAATTATTCACTGTTATCCTCACCAACTCACTGAATCTGCTGCCTGCTGGGAGGTGTTAAAAAAAAGCCCTTTTTTAGAGAGATAATTGAATCGGCTGAGGGAAGTGGAGTGTTTTATTTTTAGTGGGGATGGTTGGCTACATTCCATGTATTCTTTTTTAAAATCTTACTTGAAGGATTGTTGCTGTCTGGTGATGGCATATAGCTTTTCCATTTTGCTATTCTGCCTTGTTTCTGAGCAAGGTATAGACACACGGAGATAGAATTCTATTTGTCGCATCTTTATTCCAATCTGGGTGTGCACTTCTGTGTTCAGAAGGCAGCTGAGGTCATTAGACAGCAAAAACTCCTATGCAATTTTGGACTAGGTAAGAGGAGTTGCACCTTTCCACAAGTCAGGTTTGCTGGCTCAGGGGAGCCATGTCTCCAGGCCATCAGCTCATGCAGGTTAGGGAGTCAGGTGGCTCTTTCCTAGGAGAACAGGTGCAGAAAGGGTCGGCTAGTTTTTTCCTCTGTATTGATTACAATTATCAACGAATCGACTGAATTGATGAGATATTTTGGCACTATGTTACTTGCCTTTAGTCCTGCTAATAGGACCCAGCAGAGAGCTTTTGAAGACACTGAGCTCAGAGCGAGCAGACTTTAAAAATTGTTATTATGGTAAAATATGCATAACATACAATTTACCATTTTAACCATTTTTTTATTAAATTTTTTTTCTCTTTTTTTTTTGAGATGGAGTTTCACTCTTGTTGCCTAGGCTGGAGTGCAATGATGCGATCTCAGCTCACTGCAACGTCTGCCTCCCAGGTTCAAGTGATTCTCCTGCCTCAGCCTCCTGTGTAGCTGGGATTACAGGTATGTGCCACCACGCCCGGCTAATTTTGTATTTTTAGTAGAGACGGGGTTTCTCCATGTTGGCCAGGCTGGTCTTGAACTCTCGACCTCAGGTGATTCACCCCCCCTTGGCCTCCCAAAGTGCTGGGATTACAGACATGAGCTACCGTGCCCGGCCTTTTTTTTTTTTTTTTGAGATGGTTTCTTACTCTATCACCAGGCTGGAGTGCAGTGGTGTGATCTCGGCTCACTGCAACCTCCACCTCCAGAGTTCAAGCAATTCTCCTGCCTCAGCCTCCCGAGTAGCTGGGATTACAGGCACGCGCCACCACACCCGGCTAATTTTTGTATGCTTAGTAGAGACGGGGTTTCACCATGTTGGCCAGGCTGGTCTCGAACTCTTGACCTCGTGATCTGCCCACCTCAGCCTCCCAAAGTGCTAGGATTACAGGCATAAGCCACGTGCCCAACCCCAAAATTTTTCTTCAAGAGATGGAGTCCCGCTATGTTGTCCAGGCTGGTCTCAAACTCCTGGGCTCAAGCAATCCTCCCATCTAGGTTTCCCAAAATACTGGGATTACAGGTGTGAGCCACCGTGCCTGGCCCATTTCAATAATATTAAGTGTACAGTTTAGTGGCATTAAGCATATTCACATGATCGTGCAACCACCACCACCATCTAGCTCCAGAACTTTTTTGTCTTCCCAAACTGAGAATCTCTCCCATGGAATTCTCACACCCCTTTTACCCCATCCCCTAGCCCCTGGTAATCACCATTCTACTTTCTGTCTCTATAAACTGGACCAATCGTGGAACCTCATTTAACTGGAATCATAAGGTGTTTGTCTTTTTTGTGACCAGATGTATTTGCCACATTTTGTTTATCCATTCATTCGTCGACGGCCCTGTGGGTTTTGTTTCTACTTTGGGCTGTTAGGAAGAAGGCTGCTATGAGCACAGGTGTGCAAATACCTGTTCATGTCTCTGCTTTCAGTTTTCTTTTGGGTATATGCCCAGAAGTGGAGTTGCTGAACAAGCAGACATTTTAATAGAAACTAGGCCATTTGGAAAGCTCTCTGCCTCCTGAGCCATGGCGTCGAGGAGGGGCCCTACGTCCAGGAGGGGCCCCCAGGAAATTTAGAAACCACAGCAGCATCAAACCCTGAAACATCAGTCTGAGCTGGAGGGGTCTTCAGAAGTCTCGGAGTCCAAAGCCCTCGCTTTATGCAGAATCTGCGTTGAGTCCAAGTTATGCAGCAAAACAGTTCCTCTGTCCTGGTGGTAATGGCTGGGTCCAGAGAACAGCTGCTTAATGGAGGCTCTCAAGGATAAAGCAGAAGGAAACAGCAACCTGGACAAGGAGCAGTAGGGGAAATTTTCTGCTGGGTCAGGAACTATCTGCTGCCCACGACCTGCCTGGTGCATGGACAAATTTCTCCTCAAGGTGGGCCAGGGAATTTCAAGAGGCGCCACTCAGCCTCATTCAATCCAAAGTGACAGGCAATGTAAAGCATTCAATGGTGCTGCTGATTAAGTCAGGGAGATAAGCTGCTGTCCATCAGGGATTTCCTACACACAGACATTATAAATCAGAGGCTCTATGCAGCAAACATCATCGAGGTTCTGATTCAGCAGCAGCTATAGGGAACACTCGGGTGGATGTTGTAGCCATTGATTATTCGTCCTGGTGGTCCAGCACTGGCCACTATAGACTGATGATCATTTTCCCAGCCTCCCTTAAAGCTAGGATCCTGCCATGTGACCTGTGTACCACCAATCAGAGGCTAGGGAGAAAGAGGAGCAGGTACCAGGCATGCTCACTTTGAAACTGGATAGCCACAGCTACATCTAATGTCTAGAGAGAGGGAATCAGCTGGGTTGCTTTTGCTTCTAACAGCATGAGCTGTGATAGCTGCATTGAACCAGTTCTATTCTGTGACTTGAGGCTTGTTCCTGACTCTATAGACTCCAAGCCAGGATCTCCAGCCTTCCTAGAGATCCAAATTACCTAGTATTCCCCTTCCCCTTTTTTCCCTTCTTCTCCCTTCTCTCTTTCATTATTTTTATTTTTGTTTTTTATTTTTTATTTTTGAGATGGAGTCTGGCTCTGTTGCCTAGGCTGGAGTGCAGTGGCGCCAAGTCAGCTCACTGCAACCTCCGCCTCCTGGGTTCAAGCGATTCTCCTGCCTCAGCCTCCCAAGTAGCTGTGACTACAGGCACCTGCCACCACACCTGGCCTAATTTTTGTATTTTTAGTAGAGACGGGGTTTCACAATGTTACCCAGGCTGGTCTTGAACTCCTGACCTCAGGTGATCCGCCCACCTCAGCCTCCCAAACTGCTGGGACTACAGGCTTGAACCACCGCACCTGGCCCCTTCTTTCTTCTTCTCCTTCTTCCTGTTTCTTCTTCTTCCTCCTCCCCTTCCCCTTCTCCTCCTGCTCCTCCTCCTCCTCCTTCTTTTTTTTTCATTCTTTTTGAGACAAGATCTTGCTCTTTCGCTCAGCCTGGAGGGCAGTGGCACAATCACAGCTCACTGCATCCTTGACCTCCCAGGCTCAAGCTATCCTCCCACCTCAGCCTCCCAAGTAGCCGGGACTACAGGTGCACACCACTATGCCTAACTAATTTTTGTTTTTTTTTTGTAGAGATGGAGTCTCACTATGTTGCCCAGGCTGGTCTTGAACACCTAGGCTCAAACAACCTCCCACTTCAGCCTCCCAAAGTGCTGTGATAACAGGCGTGAACCAGTATTCTTTAATTACATTTCTTTTCTGCACAGACCCGTTAGAATTAGTTTCTGTGATTATGAGTAAGAACCCAGGCTGATTCATCAGATTGCTTGCTATCAGTTAGCATTAGGTTCAGCTGTAAACATTTTCTTCCTTTAAGAGACCAATTCTCTGGCCAAGCACAATGGAACGCACCTGTAATCCCAGCATTTTCAGAGGCCGCGGCGAGAGGATGGCTTGAGCTCAGGAGTTTGAAACCAGCCTGGCAACATGGTGAAACCCCATCTCTACAAAAAGAAAAAATACAAAAATCAGCCAGGCATGGAGGTGTGCACGTGTAGTCCCAGCTACTCGGGAGGCTGAGGTGGGAGGATCCCTTGAGCCCAGGAGGTTGAGGCTGCAGTGTGCTATGATGGCACCACTTCACTCCAGCCTAGGCAACAAGGTGAGACCTGATCTCAAAAAAAAAAAAAAAAAAAAAAAGAAGAGAAACAGATTCTCACTGTCACCCAGACTGGAATGCATTGGCACAATCACAGCTCACTGCAACCTCAAACTCCTGGGCTCAAGCGATCCTCCTACGTTAGCCTCCTAAGTAGCTACAGGCATACAGTAACATGCCTGGCTTTTTTTTTTTTTTTTAAGAGACAGAGTCTTCTCACTATGTTGCCCAGGCTGGCCTTAAACCCCTGGCCTCAAAGGATCCTCCTGCCTCAGCCTCACAAAGTGCTAGGATTACAGCTGTTAGCCACTGCACCTGGCCAAGAGTGCCTTAAGCAAGACAAAAGTTTATTCCTTTTTCATTTAAAAGTCTGGGACAATAGTCTTGGCTGGTATGACAGCACAAAGGCCTCTGGTATTTTGGCTCCTTCGAGCTTCTCATTTTGCCATCCCTGGGGTGTGACCTCATCCTTATGGTCCCAGATGGCAACTGAAACTCCAGCCACCACATTCACATTCCAGGTTTAATAAAAATAGAAGGAAGGACAAAGAAGAAGGAGCAGATGGTTTGTAACAGCCACCTTTCAAGGAAGTTCCTGAAAGCCTAAACCTCATTGGCCATTCTGGAGGTAGATAACGGTGATGATTGTACAACATTGCAAATTATACTCAAAACCCCTGAATTGTATACTTTTTTTTTTGAGACAGGGTCTCACTCTGTCATCCAGGCTGGAGTGCAGGCATGATCATGGCTCACTGCAGCCTTGATCTCTTGGGCTCTAGTGATCCTCCCGCCTCAGCCTCCTTAGTAGCTGGGATTACAGAAGTGTGTCATCATACCAGGCTAATTTTTGTATTTTTAGTAGAGACAGATTTTCACCATGTTGGCCAGGCTGATCTCAAACTCCTGAGCTCAAGTGATCCACCCGCCTTGGCTTCTCAAAGTGCTGGAATTATAGGCATGAGCCACTGTGCCCAGCCCTGAATTATATACCTTAACGCAGTGAATTTTGTGGTATGCAAATTTTATGTCAATTAAAAAAAACACACCCATTGACCAGGACTTAGATATATAGACATACCTAGCTGCAAGGGAGGCTGGGAAATGAAGGCTTTATTTTAGGTGGTTACATGGCCAGCTAAGAATTGTAGCTTTTTGCTGGGTGCGGTGGCTCAAGCCTGTAATCCTAGCATTTTGGGAGGCCGAGGCAGGCGGATGATGAGATCGGGAGATGGAGACCATCCTGGCTAACATGGTGAAACCCTGTCTCTACTAAAACTAAAAATACAAAAAATTAGCCGGGCGTGGTGGCGAGCACCTGTAGTCCCAGCTACTCGGGAGGCTGAGGCAGGAGAATGGTGTGAACCCAGGAGGTGGAGCTTGCAGTGAGCCGAGATTGCACCACTGCACTCTAGACTGGGCAAGAGTGCAAAAAAAAAAAAAAAAAGGCATTGTAGCTTTTCAGCCTGGGCAACATAGTAAGATCCCATGGTGGAAAAAAACAAACGACAACAAAAATAATTGTGACTTTCATTTACTCGAGAAGAAACAAACAACAGGGGGCAGTCAGCAGTGTCTACCACAATAAGGGAACACAGAAAACGGTGCCCAAACACTTGCAGGCTAGATCTTACTCCTCAGCTCTACCATTGCCAGCCAGGGTCCTGGAATTTGTACCTTTGTTTTTGTTTTTGTTGGAGACAGGGTCTCCCTTTGTCACCCAGGCTCGAGTGCAGTGTTGCAATCATAGCTCACTGCAGCCTCAAACTCCTATGCTCTAGTGATCCTCCCATCTCAGCCTCCTGAGTAGCTGAGACTGCAGATGTGTGCCACCATGCCCAGCAAATTAAAAAAAAAAATTTTTTTTTTAGAGATAGGATCTCACTATGTTGCCCAGGCTGGTCTTGAACTCCTGGCCTCAAGCGTTCCTCCTGCCTTGGCTTCCCAAAGTGCTGGGATTATACGCATGAGCCCCTGTGCTTGGTCTTGGTGACTTTGTTTTCATAAAGGGATGTCCTCCTGGTTTCTAATGACCAAGACCCAGTTAACTAATGACAGATAATTTTAGCATTGGGCCCTGGCTGCAATACACATCCCCAAACGGCCTACAAACGTCTACTGATAGAAGGCTTCTATGTGCCACCCTCAAGATCTGAGCATCAGAAGTCAGAGTAGGAGGCCAGGCTTGGTGCGTCATGCCTGTAATCCCAGCATATTAGGAAGCTGAGGTGGGAGGATCGCTTGATCCCAGGAGTTCAAGACCAGCCTGGGCAACAGTGAGGCTGCAGTGAGCTATGAGCACACCACTGTACTTCCAGCCTGGGTAACAGAGCGAGATCCTATCTCTAAAAAACTATTTTTTTAAAAAGAGGTCAGGGTGGTCCCTAAACCAGCAGCATCTGTATCACCTGGAAACTTGTTAGAAATGTACGTTCTCCGGTCCTAGCCTTGAGCTCCCGAATCAGAGGCTGCGGACAGGACCAGCGATCTGTATCTATTACACGCAAGCCTCCCAGGGGTTTCTGGTGCTGAGGTTTGAGAATCACATCCCAAAGTCCACACACCCGGGCCACATGAGTTCTGCCTCTCACAGAGCTGTCTTCACTGGAGTTTTTTGTTTTGTTTTGTTTTGAGATGGAGTCTCACTCTGTCGCCCAGGCTGGAGTGCAGTGGCGCGATCTCAGCTCACCGCAACCTCCACCTCCCAGGTTCAAGTGATTCTCCTGCCTCAGCCTCCCCAGTAGCTAGGACTACAAGTGCACACCACCACGCCTGGCTAATTTTTGTATTTTTAGTAGAGGCAGAGTTTCACCATGTTGGCTAGGCTGGTCTCGAACTCCTAACTAAATGATCCACCCACCTCGGCCTCCCAAAGTGCTGGGATTACAGGCATAAGCCACTGTGTCTGGCCTTCACTGGGTTTTTTTGTTCACTACTGTAATTCTCAGCAACTAGGAATGATGGCAGGTCACCATAGCAGGTGCTCAATAATTATTTGGCAAATGAGTGAATGAGATGTTCTTGGCTCTCATTGAAGGAAGCAGTCCATTAAAATTCATTGCTGCTTTTGCCTTTGCTGTGGGGAACTTGTTCATCGCCCCCCACTCACTAGGTCTCATATCACCACACGAGAAGTTTATTTTATCTTATCTCATTTTCTTTTATTATTTACTTATTTATTTATTTCAAGACGGAGGCTTGCTCTGTCACCCGGGCTGGAGCGCAGTGGCGCGATCTCAACTCACTGCAACCTACGCCTCCCGGGTTTAAGCAGTTCTCCTGTCTCAGCCCCCTGAGTAGCTGGGATTACAGATGTCCACCACCACGCCCGGCTAATTTTTTAATTTTTGGTAGAGACGGGGCTTGTCCATGTTGCCCAGGCTAGTCTCGAACTCCTGACCTCCAGTGATCCACCCGCCTCGGCCTCCCAAAGTGCTAGGATTACAGGTATGAGCCACCGGGCCCGGCCAGAAGTTTATTTTAGGACTTAGGGCTAGGCAGGGAAATGGAAAAGGTATCAGGGTCCCAATGAGGGAGCAGGCAGGACTCAACTCCAGAGGTGGGGCCCAGATACTGGACCTAATTGAAGACCAGGTGAAACAGACTGGTGGAAGCAGCTTTCCATAAGACACTCACCAGTGCAGCATGTCAGTTTACCATTGCCATGTCAACACTTGGATGTTATCACCCCTTTCCATGACAATGACCCCACAACCTGAAAGTTACCACCCTCATACTAGAAATGTCTGCATAAACCACCCCTTTATTTGCATATAGGTAAAAGTGGGTATAAATACCAGGGCAGGCTGGTTGCGGTGGCTCATGCCTGTAATCCCAGCACTTTGGGAGGCCGAGGTGGGCAGATCATGAGGTCAGGGGTTCGAGACCAGCCTGGGCAACATGGCAAAAGCCTGTCTCTACTAAAAATACAAAAATTAGCGGGTGTGGTGGAGGGTGCCTGTAATCCCAGCTACTCAGGAGGATGAGGCAGGAGAATTGCTTGAACCCGGGAGGTGGAGGTTACAGTGAGCCAAGATCACACCATTGCTCTCCAGCCTGGGTGACAGAGTGAGACTCCGTCTCAAAAAAAACAAAAAACAAAAAAGGCTGGGCGTGGTTGCTCATGCCTATAATCCCAGCATTTTGGGAGGCCAAAGTGGGTGGCTTGCCTGAGGTCAGGAGTTCAAGACCAGCCTGGCCAACGTGGCGAAACTCTGTCTCTACTAAAAATACAAAAATTAGCTGGGCATGGTGGTGGGTGCCTGTAATCCCGGCTACTCAGGAGGCTGAGGCAAGATTATTGCTTGAGCCTGGGAGGTGGAGGTTGCAGTGAGCCAAGATCGCACCACTATACTCCAATCTGGGCAACAGAGCAAGACTCTGTCTCAACAACAACAAAAACAACAACAAAAATACAAAAAAATTAGCTGGGTATGGTGGTTCACACCTGTAGTCCTAGCTACTTGGGAGGCTGAGGCAGGAGAATTGCTTGAACATGGGAGGTGGAGGTTGCAGTGAGCTGAGATTGTGCTACTTAACTCCAGCCTTGGTGACAGAGCAAGACTGTCTCAAAACAAACAAACAAACAAAAAAAAACAATTGCTGTTTAACACTACTGGCTTGGCCAGGTGCCGTGGCTCACGCTTGTAACCCTAGCACTTTGGGAGGCTGAGGTGGGTGGATAACCTGAGGTCCAGAGTTTGAGACCAACCTGGCCAACATGGTGAAACCCTGTCTCCACTAAAAATACAAAACTTATCCAGGAATGGTAGCACATGCCTGTAATCCCAGCTACTCGGGAGGCTGAGACAGGAGAATCGCTTGAACCCAGGAGGTAGAGGTTGCAGTGAGCCAAGATCGTGCCACTGCACTCTGCACTCTAGCATAGGCGACAGTAATAATAATAATAATAATAATAATAATAATAATAATAAAGACACCACCAGCTTGCTCTTGAATTCTTTCTTGGGTGAACCCAAGAGCCCTCCCAGGCTAAGCCCCAATTTGGGGCTCACCTGCCCTGCATTACCATTAGGATCCTGATGACACACTCAAAATAGGATCATTTTAGAAGGGGCTATTTACAATGAAATTATTTACAAAGGTGTGGATAACAGCAGCAAGTCGTTATCACCCCTGACTGGGAGAAGTGGGAAAGGAGGAGCTGCCAGAACCCAGGAGGGAAGACAGCTAGGTGTAGAAGGATGACCTTCAGTTAAGAGCCATAGCCAGCCCAAGGCCACTTGACCTTGAAGGATTAAGAAGATGGGATAGGGAGGAGATGAACAGCCAGACTTCACTGTTCTGCCTCCCTCTGATCTCATGCCAGAGCTCAACCCAGCTAGAAGCTGGAGAGTACAAGAACCTGTTGATAAAGTCTCTACAGCTCAGCTTGATTGTAGGATAGAGGATGGCTTGGAGAAGGGTTGAGAGCAGGCCCGAATTGGCAAAGGAGAGATACCTGGCATAGATGTGTTTCTTTCCCTGACAATAAGAAGAATGCAACTCATTGGTCACATCTCCCTTTTCACTTTGCCTGCCAGGAAGCTCTAAGCCAAATAAGAGGCTTGCCTAGAGCAACTATGTCAGCCTTTGACTTGTCTTTTGAATTCTTCTGTCCCTCGTTGTCACTTCTTTTCCACTGAACTGGCCCTGATTCCTTCTTCCTATCTGAGTTAAGATTATTTTGTGGCACATTTTCCTTTTGTAAGTCATCTCAACCTTGGTGGCAGGAATCCTGGCACTTATATAAATTTTTAAAATTAAAAATAAGGCCAGGCACAGTGGCTCATGCCTGTAATCCCAGCACTTTGGGAGGCTGAGGTGGCCGGATCACGAGGTCGAGAGATTGAGACCATCCTGGCCAACATGGTGAAACCCCATCTCTACTGAAAATACAAAAATTAGCTGGGCGTAGTGGTGCACACCTGTAGTCCCAGCTACTTGGGAGGCTGAGGCAGGAGAATCGTTTGAATCTGGGAGGCGGAGGTTGCAGTGAGCCGAGATCACGCCACTGCACTCCAGCCTGGTGACAGAGCAAGACTCCGTCTTGAAAAAAATAATAATAATAATTAAAAATAAAACAGCAAATGGCTACCCTGTGCCAGACACTGTAATAGGTGCTACGGGATGTAGAAAAATAGGTGAGATGCAGCTTCTGTCCTCAACAAGACCCCAGTGTACACAGTGAGGCATGGGAATTCATTCATTCTTATCTTCACAAGAATGTGAAGACGCCATTATGAGGGAGAAAAAAGACTGAAGCCATCTGGAGGAAGAAGGACCTGCTGCAGTCTCTCTGAAGTTGAGTTAGAGTACCCATCTTTTTGGCTGCCAAAGGTAAGCATAGGACTTGGGTCTTTGCTTGTACCATCAAGTCCAGGTCTTCTAACCATCAGAGAAGATGACAGTAAACCTCCCTCGGCGTGAGGGGCGTAGAAATGCTTGCAGCTCCCTCTCTTTGTCTATAAGTCTCATGCTTGGGAATTACATCAATGAGAAGCAGCAGGTCCGGGCGTGGTGGCTCATTGCTGTAATCCCAGCACTTTGGGAGGCTGAGGTGGGCGGATCACCTAAGGTCGGCAGTTCAAGACCAGCCTGGACAACATGGTAAAACCCCGTCTCTACTAAAAATATAAAAATTAGCCGGGTGTGGTGGTGTGCACCTGTAATCCCAGCTACTGGGAGGCTGAGGCAGAAGAATCGCTTGAACCTGGGAGGCCGAGGTTTCAGTGAGCCGGGATCGCGCCTCTGTACTCCAGCCTGGGCGACAGAACAAGACAGAGCAACCTCCTGGGTTCAAGTGATTCTCCTGTCTCAGCCTCCCTAGTAGCTGGGATTACAGGTGCGCCACCACACCCAGCTAATTTTTGTATTTTTAGTAGAGATGGAGTTTCACCATGTTGGCCAGGCAGATCTCAAACTCCCGACCTCAGGTGATCCACCCTCCTTGGCCTTGCAAAGTGCTGGGATTACAGGCGTGAGCCAGTGCGCCCGGCCCGTGTTAACCATTTGTAAGTGTACAGTTCAATGGGCACTAAGCATATTCACCTTATTGTGCAATTATCACCACCATCCATCCCCAGAACTTCTCATCTTCCCCCACTGAAACTATCCATGAACTCTCCTCATCTCCTTCTCCCAAACCCTTGGCAGCTGCCAGTCTACTGTCTGCCTCTATGATTTTTTTTTTTTTTTTTTTTTTAAAGAGAGACCAGGTATTGCTCTGTCACCCAGCCTGGAGTGCAGTGATGCTGTCATGGCTCACTGCAGCCTAGACCTCCTGGGCTCAAGCGATCCTCCTCGCCCAGCCTCCTGAATAGCTGGGACTACAGGCACACACCACCATGCCAGCTAACCAGCCTCAGCATCCCAAAATGCTGGGATTTTAGGTGTGAGCCACCGCGCTCAGCCCTGTCTCTTTGAATTTGATACTCTAAGTGTCTCATAAATGTGGAATTATACAGTGTGTGTCCTTTTGTGACTGGTTTATTTCACTAAGCATAAAGTCTTCAAGGCTCATCAGTGTTGTAGCAGGAGTCAGAATTCCCTTCCTTTTTAAGGCTGAGTAATATTCCACTGTATGGAAACATCACATTTGTTTACCCAGTGATGGACATTCGGTTGCTCCCACCTCTTGGCTGTTGCAAATAATGCTGCTGTGAACACAGGTGGGCAAATACCTGTTTCAGACTCTACTTTCACCTTCTAGGGGGGTTACAGCACCAGGTGTGGAATTACTGAGTCACAGCATAATTCTATGTCTGATTTTTTTTTTCAGGAATCATTATACCAAGGAAGTAAATTTCACATTTAAATTTAAATAGCCACATGTGGCTAGTGGCTACATACTGGATGGCAGACATACAGAGAACTTCCAGCATTTGGCCAGGCTCCTTGGGGACCTGTCTCCATCATTCTCTCCTCTAGGTAACCACTACTCTGCCTTTTGTCACCACAGGGAGGCCAAGGTGATAGGAGGATTGCTTAAGGCTAGGAGTTCGAGACCAGCCTGGGCAACATAGAGAGACCCCTTCTTTACTGAAAAAAAGAAAAAGGCCAGGCATGGTGGCTCATGTTTGTAATCTCAGTACTTTGGGAGTTCGAGGCAGGAGGATCTCTTGACCCCAGGAGTTTGAGATCAGCCTGGGCAACATGGTAAGATGTCATCTCTACAAAAAATAAAAATATTAGCTGGGCATGGTGGTGCACACCTGTGGTTCTCAGCTACTTGGGAGGCTGAGGTGGGAGGATGACTTGAGCCTGGGAGGTTGAGGCTGCAGTGAGCTGGTGATCACACCACTACATTCCAGCCTGGGTGACAGGGCGAGACCCTGTCCCAAAACAAAAATTTCAAAAAATTTTTAAAAAGCGAATGTTTGCAGATTCCTAGGCTAGGAGGTTAAAGGCTGGAAATGGAGAAGTGAAAATAGTCAGTTTTATCATATGTAAATCTCCTGTATGTAACAACAAACCATGTTCATAAATGCTTAAGTAAAATGCTTAAAGCATGGGGTTTGCATCATAAAACAAGATGGTTGTTAACGTACAGTTGCTTTGTATTCAATACTTATACCTTTTTTTTTTTTGAGACAGAGTTTTGCTCTTGTTGCCCAGGCTGGAGTGCAATGGCGCGATCTTGGCTCACTGCAACCTCTGCCTCCTGGGTTCAAGCGATTCTCCTGCCTCAGCCTCCCAAGTAGCTGGGATTACAGGCATGCGCCACCACATCCAGCTAATTTTTTGTAGTTTTAGTGGAGACAGGGTTTCTCTATGTTGGTCAGGCTGGTCTTGAACTCCCAACCTCAGGTGATCCGCCCGCCTTGGCCCCCCAAAGTGCTGGGATTACAGGCGTGAGCCACTGTGCCTGGCTGTATTCAATACTTTCTTTTCCATTGCCATCACTTTTCTCACTCTCCTTGCTTCATTTTGAAAAACAAAAATAAAATCCTAAGTTCCTGAACCAACTGAACAAGCCCCCCTTGGCGAGGGAGACCTCAGAGAGAGTTTACACATGGAGTTCCCAGCCATGATGAAACGGGGGGGTTAGACAAGCTCCCCATGTCCTCTCCCTTGCTAACTGCAATTAGACTTTCTTTCCTAAGGGTTAAACAGAAACCAGCGCTTTTGAAAGACTTGCCAGACTCCCCTCCCCGTCTGCAGTTTCAACACAGCAACTGCCCAGCATTCTTCCCTGATAAGAGATCGCTGAGGTCCCGTGTGGTGCCTCCTGCCTGTAAATCCCAGCATGTTGGGAAGCTGAGACAAGAGGATCACTTGAGCCCAGGAGTTCGAGAGCAGCCTGGGCAACATAGCAAGACCCCATCTCTACAAAAAATCCAAAATATTCACCAGGTGTGGTAGTGCACACCTGTGGTCTCAGCTACTTGGGAAGCTGAGGTGGGAGGATCACTTGAGCCTAGGAGTTGAGGCTGCTGTGAGCCGTGATTGGGCCACTGTACTCCAACCTGGGCAACAGAGTGAGACCCCCCGTCTCCAAAAAAAAAAAAAAAAAACAAAAAAGAAAGAGAGGCCAGGCATGGTGGCTCATGCCTGTAATCACAGCACTTTGGGAGGCTGAGGCAGGCAGATCACAAGGTCAGGAGATCGAGACCATCCTGGCTAACACGGTGAAACCCCATCTCTACTAAAAATACCAAAAATTAGCCGGGCGTGGTGGTGGGCGCCTGTAGTCCCAGCTACTCGGGAGGCTGAGGCAGGAGAATGGCATGAACCTGGGAGGCGGAGCTTGCAGTGAGCCGAGATTGCACCCACTGCACTCCAGCCTAGGCGACAGATTGGGACTCCATCTCAAAACAAAACAAAAGAAGAGACCACAGATCATGGAGTGGTTCTGACCAGTCTACAGATGCTGTACACTGAGCGCCTTCGTGTCCTCTGCTTCACCTTTTGATGTGTAGGGCTTCATTGTGACACATTTAAATGTTAAGTCTCTGCCCAAAGTGAACACAGGATGCATATAACATGCTGTTTGCTGATGAGGCATATGTATGTTCTCTCTTCATGAATATTCATAGCTCCTCCCATAACCTGTTCAATATGTATAGTCACCTGTTGAATATGTATAGTTGAATATTTATAGTTCCGTATAAATTCCTGTCTCCTTCTTTCCTCCCTCCACGTACCTGCTTCTGGCTTCTCCCTGAGGCTACGCTTCCCAGCCTGTGGGATGGCATCCTGTAGGCTGCAACCCTTTGTAAGAAATAAAGCTCTCCTTTCCAAATTTGTGAACCTCATAATTCTTCAGTTGACATTTTGTGTAATTTTTTTCATCATTTTCTCAATTTTGGGAGGGGGACTGATTGTATACAAGGCTAGGCAAAAAGAAGAACCACACGGAAAGCATTATGAAAAATGCTCTGTTGCTGAGAATGGCTCCCTTGGTTCTGTCCTCGCTCTACACCAACATCTTCCAGGTTACACATCCTTCCAAAGGGCAACAAGGCTCTAATGTGCTACCAAATGTACTTGGACCATCACTGGCACGCTTTTCTTAAAATGTTTTTAGACCGGGCAAGGTGGCTCATGCCTGTAATCCCAGTGCTTTGGAAGGCTGAGGTGGGAGGATTGCTTGAGCTCTGGAGTTCAAGATCAGCCTGGGCAACATAACAAGATCCTGTCTCTATAAGCATTTTTAAAAATTAGCCAGCTGTGGTGGTGCTTACCTGTAGTCCCAGCTACTCAGGAGGCTGAGGCAGGAGGATCACATGAGCCTAGGAGTTCCGGGGTGCAATGAGCCATAGCTTACCACACCACTGCACTCCAGCCTGGGTGACAGAGTGAGACCCTACCTCTAAAAATTAAAAAATTTAATTTAATTAAAATTTAATTCAAATTTAATTTAATTCAAATTTAATTCAAATTTAATTTAAATTTAATTAAATTAAAATTTAATTTAAATTTAATTAAATTAAAATTTAATTAAAAATTAAAAAAATAAAAAAATTAATAAAATATTTTTAATTTCAGGGATGCCGATATTAAATATAAATGTTATAAATAGCACTCAAAAATGCTTCATTGAGGCCAAGCACGGTGACTCATGCCTGTAATCCCAGCACTTTGGGAGGCCAAGGCGGGCGGATCACTTGAGGCCAGGAGTTTGAGACCAGCCTGGCTAACGTGATGAAACCCCCTCTCTACTAAAAATACAAAAAAGTTAGCCAGGCATGGTAGCAGGCACCTGTAATCCCAGCTACTCAGGAGGCTGAGGCAGGAGAATCACTTGAACCCGGGAGGCAGAGGTTGCAGTGAACCAAGATCTCGCCATTGCCCTCCAGCCTGGGCAACAGAGCAAGACTCTGTCTCAAAACAAAACAAAACAAAAAACAAGAGCTGGATTTTTCTCCAACATCTCATCGCAGAGCCTTTGCATTTGCTGTTGCCTCTGCCCGAACACCCTTCCCCGCATGCTGACATCTGCGTGCCTGGCTTCTTCATTTTATTTGGGTATTTACTCAAATGTCACCTGCTCGGTGAAGCCTTCTCTGACCACCCTCTACTTGTAGCCTTTTTCCCACACTCTATATTTACCTCTCCCCACCATTTCATTTTTTATTGCACTTCTTTTTTTTTTTTTTTTTTTTTTTTTGAGACAGTCTCCCTCTGTCACCCAGGCTGGAGTTCAGTGGCACAATCACGGCTCACTGCAACCTCCGCCTCCCAAGTTCAAGCAATTCTCCTGCCTCAGCCTCCCGAGTAGCTGGGATTACAGGCATGTACCACCACGCCCGGCTAATTTTTGTATTTTTAGTAGAGACAAGGTTTCACCATGTTAGCCAGACTGGTCTCGAACTCCTGACCTCAAATGATCCACCCTCCTTGGCCTCTCAAAGTGCTGGGATTACAGGGATGAGCCACCATGCCCAGCCTCTCTGTTGCACTTCTTAACCCCTGACTTTGATCATTCTTGGTTTTGGTCTGTCTCCCTTCATTAGAACATAAGTTCTGGAGGCATAGGGGATTTTTCCTATGTTGATTATCTTGAAACTCAAGAGCCTGGAACAGTGCCTGGCACATAGTAGGCACACAATAAATAATTTTCAACTGCCACTGGCCTTTTTTCTGAGATGGGGGGTCTTGTTCTATTGCCCAGGCTGGTATGCAGTGGCACAATCATGGCTCACTGCAGCCTCCAACTTCTGGGCTCAAGTGATCCTCCCACCTCAGCCTCCTGAGCAGCTGGGACAACAGACGTGAGCCACCACACCTGGCTATATATTTTTTTCAACTCAATTTTAAATGGCTACAGTGATTGGTTTAGAAACAGACATGTAATCTACCAGTCATGACGGCTCATGCCTGTAATCTCAGGACTTTGGGAGGCCAAGGCAGGAGGATTGCTTGAGCCCAGGAGTTTGAAACCAGCCTGGACAACATAGTGAGACCCTGTCTCTACAACAAAATTTTTTTAAAAAATTAGCTGAGTGTGGTGGTGCATGCCTGTAGACCCAGCTGCTCAGGAGGCTGAGGCAGGAGGATCGCTTGAGCCTAGGAGTTCGAGGCTGCACTGAGCTATGATTGCACCATTGCATTCCAGCCTGGGTGACAGAGCAAGACCCATCTCTAAAAAAAAAAACAAAACAAAAAACGAAAACAATGTATTTTGTTGTTGTTGTTGTTGTTGTTGTTGTTGTTTTTAAGATGAAATCTCGCTCTGTCACCCAGGCTGGAGTGCAGTGGTGTAATCTCGGCTCACTAAAACCTCTGCCTCGTGGGTTCAAGCGATTCTCCTGCCTCAGCCTCCTGAGTAGCTGGGACTACAGGTGCACACCACCATGCCCAGCTGATATTTGTATTTTTAGTAGAGATGGGGTTTCATCCTGTTGGCTAGGATGGTCTTGATCTCTTGACCTCGTGATCCACCCCCCTCGGCCTCCCAAAGTGCTGGGATTACAGGCGTGAGCCACTGCGCCCAGCCCAAAAACGATGTTTTTAAAGAAAAGAAACAGATATGTAATCCACTTTGAGCTAGAGAGACAAAATGAGGCTTTGACATGGGAGAAAGGGGTCCTTTCTCTTGCCCTTCACTTGCCCTGGAAGCTTGCAGGCTAGAACTGTCACCACTGTCACATATCATAAAGGGAAAGCCTGCTTGAGAGTAGCCAGCAGAGGAAAGCCAGAGAGATAAAGCGAGGTCAGGGGTTGGTGACATCATTTGGCCTCTGTATGCAGCCATACCTGAAATAAACATCCAGTGGTGTGCTGGTAAATGTTTAACAATCAGCTCTGGGGTGAGGGGTAAGAGAGCCCTGATTCATAGCATCTGCCAATTTCCATAGTGTAAATATTCTCACCAGGCTGATTGAACTCAGGCTTGGGAGAGATTGCACACAGTCAGTAAGCTGCTCCATCATATCACTGCCCTGACTTCGAGTTCAGTGAATAACCCAAGATATGCCCTTCTTGCTTAAGTCAGCTTGTGTTCGGCTTTCGGTCACCCAAAGATCCCTGATACAGGTGCTGATAAAATAACAAGCCAAGGCTGGGCTTAGTGGCTCACGTCTGTAATCCCAGCACTTTGGGAGGCTGAGGCAGGCAGGTCACTTGAATTGAGGAGTACAAGACTAATTTGGCCAACATGGTGAAACCCTGTCTCTACTAAATACAGAAAAATTAGCCGGGGGTGGTGGCAGACGCCTGTAATCCCAGCTATTCAGGAGGCTGAGGAAGGAGAATCGCTTGAACCCTGGAGGCAGAGGTTGTAGTGAGCTGAGATCACACCACTGCACTCCAGCCTGGGTGACAGAGTGAGACTCTGTCTCCAAAAAATATATAAATAAATAAATAACAAATAAATAACAGCACAAACAAATGTGAAATTGCCCTTGTGACAGGCACAAAGAAGAAAGGCCCGTGAGATAGCTTGCTTGGCAGTGCTTACAAAGCCTTATGGAGGGAGGCATAGGAGGGAGGACCAGCCTGGGCAACAAAGTGAGACCCCGTCTCCATAAAAAATTAAAAAAAAAAAATAGCCAGGCATGATGGTGTGCACCTGTAGTTCCAGCTACTTGGGAGGCTGAGGCAGGAGGATTGCTTGAGCTCAGAAGGCCAAGGCTGCAACGAGCTATGATTGAGCCACTGCACTCCAGAGCGAGACCCTGTCTCAAAAAAATTGACAATGAGATATCACTTCATACCTGTCCGAATGGCTATTTGAAAAAAGATGAAAGATTAAGTGTTGGTGAGGATGTGGAGAAAAGGGACATTCGCACACTGTTGGTGGGAATGTAAATCAGTACAGCCATCATGGGAACCACTGTGGAAAACAGTATGGAGATTCCTCAAAAAATTTAAAAATTTAGCATATGACCTAGCATATGATCTAGCAATTCCACTACTGGGCATATAGCCAAAAGAAGTAGAATCAGGCTGGGGCGTGGTGGCTCACGCCTGTAATCCTAGCACTTTGGGAGACCTGAGGTCAGCAGTTCAAGACCAGCCTGGCCAACATGGTCAAAC
This sequence comes from Homo sapiens, assembly GCF_000001405.40. Taxonomy (NCBI): domain Eukaryota; kingdom Metazoa; phylum Chordata; class Mammalia; order Primates; family Hominidae; genus Homo; species Homo sapiens. Next base: position 98,061,984 of record NC_000007.14, on the reverse strand, counting down.
GCTGTCTCTACTAAAAATATAAAAGTTAGCCAGGTGTGGTGGCACGTGCCTGTAATCCCAGCTACGCAGGAGGCTGAGGCAGGAGAACTGCTTGAACCCAGGAGACAGAAGTTGTGGTGAGCTGAGATCGTGCCACTGCACTGTAGCCTGGATGACAGAGTGAGACTCTGTCTCAAAAAAAAAAAAAGTAGAATCAGTACATCAAAGAGATATCTGCACACTCATGTTAATGACGTCATTATCTTTTAAATTTTTTTTTCCTTTTTTTTTTTTTGAGACGGAGACTCGCTCTGTCACACAGGCTGGAGTTCAGTGGCGCAATCTCAGCTCACTGCAACCTCTGCCTCCCGGGTTCAAGCAATTCTCCTGCCTCAGCCTCTCGAGTAGCTGGGACTACAGGCGCCCGCCACCATGCCTGGCTAATTTTTTGTATTTTTAGTAGAGAGGGGGTTTCACCATGTTAGCCAGGATGGTCTCGATCTCCTGACGTCATGATCCGCCCGCCTCGGCCTCCCAAAGTGCTGGGATTACAGGCATGAGCCACCACGCCAGGCCAAATTTTTCCTTTTTTAAGTCTTTTGCACTCCTGATTGACAGCATTATTCACAATCGCCAAGATGTGAAATCAACCTAAGTGTCCATCACTGGATGAATGGATAAAGGAAACGTGGAATACTATTCAGCCACAAAAGGAGGAAATCCTATCATTTGCAACAACATGGGTGAACCTGGAGGAAATTATGTTAACTGAAATAAGCCAGGCACAGAAAGACAAATACTGTGTGATCTCACTTACATGGGGCATCTGAAAAAGTCCATTTCAGAGAAGTACAGAGTAGAATGGCCTGTTATTCCATCGTCTGCTCTGTGATATGGCAGAGCCCAGGTTACCAGGGGGCTTGGGGTAGTGATAGGGGAGGAAGTTTGGGAGATGTTGGTCAAAGTTTACAAAATTTCAGTTAGATAAGAGAAATAAGCTCAAGAGATTGGTTGTACAACATGGTGACCAATATATTGGCTGGGCAAGGTAGCTCATGCCTGTAATCCCAGTGCTGTGAGAGGCTGAGGCCAGAGGATTGCTTGAGCCCGGGAGTTCAAGACCAGCCAGGGCAAAATAACGAGACCCCATCTCTACAAAAAGTTTAAAAATCAGCCAGGCGTGGTGGTGCGCACCTGTAGTCTCAGCTACTCGGGAGGCTGAGGAGAGAGGACCACTTGAGCCCAGGAGTCTGAGGCTGAAGTGAGCTGTGATTGTGCCATTGCACTCCAGCCTGGGTGAGAGAGAGATACCCTGCCTCAAAAAATAAAAATAAAATAACAATATGTTGTTTTCTTGAAAAATGCTAAAACAGTAGATTTTAAGTGTTTCCACTGCAAAAATTACAAATGTGAGGTGATGCGTATGCCTGTTGGTTGGCTTGGTTTGGCCATTCTGCAATGAATATGTGTTTCAGAACATCATGTTGTAAACAATAAACATATACAAGTTTAGCTGTCAGTTAAAAAATAAGTAATAACAAATGCAGAAAAAACTGACTGGGTGCAGTGGCTCATGCCTGTAATCTCAACCCTTTGGGAGACCAAGGCTTGCAGATCGCTTGAGTCCAGGAGTTTCAAGACCAACCTGTGCAACATAGTGGAATCCATCTCTACAAAAAATACAAAAAGTTAGGTGGGCATGGTGGTGCGCACTAGTGGTCCCAGCTACTCGGGAGCCTGAGATGGGAGGATCGATTGAGCCCAGGAGTTGGAGGCTGCAGTGAACTATGATTGCGCCACTGCACTCTAGCCTGGGCAACAGAGCAAGATCCTGTCTCAAAAAAAAAAAAAAAAGCCTGGGATTTTAAAGCAGCCGAGACAAGCAGTATTTGGAAGTTTTATGTTCCACATTACGAGGGTTTGATGTGTCTTCTGCAGGATTCTCCTTTAGCGTTTCAAGATTGGTTGTGGCTTGGGAGTTCTAATTCTCCAGCAGTGGGCCAGAGCTCTGCAGAAGAGGCAACAACGCACCTTGTTCAGGGACTCTTAAAAAAAGACAACTTGGCAGGGCGCCGTGGCTCACGCCTGTAATCCCAGCACTTTGGGAGGCCGAGGTGGGCGGATCACGAGGTCAGGAGATAGAGACCATCCTGGCTAACACGGTGAAACCCTGTCTGTACTAAAAATACAAAAAATTAGCCGGGCGTGGTGGGGGGCACCTGTAGTCCCAACTACTCAGGGTCAGGAGAATGGCGTGAACCCGGGAGGCAGAGCTTGCAGTGAGCCAAGACCGTGCCACTGCACTGCAGCCTGGGCGACAGAGTAAGACTCCATCTCAAAAAAAAAAAAAAAAAAAAAAGACAACTTTCACTCCATTCACAATGTAGCCCAGGGCAGGGTCGTGGATGTGTTGGAAAGGATGTTTTAGACACTTTGAGCGTATGGCTCTGAACTTGTTCACTCACAGGCAAGCAATGCCCATCGTTTCCCTTTTGATTTCTGCTGCTCAGATTTCCACAAGCCATTGAGAGGCTGCCAGCTTGGATGGAACACTCTTCATCTCAGCCCTGTTATTCCATTGTCTGGGCTGTGATATGGCAGAGCCCGGGCTGGTTAAACATACACAATCCCTGCTCTATCCCTGTATGAGTCTGTTCTTGCTCCGCTGTAAAGAAATACCTGAGACTGGATAATTGAGAAAGAAAAGAGGTTTTAATTGGCTCATAGTTCTTCTGCAGGCTGTGCAGGAAGCATGGAGGCTTCTGCTTTTGGGGGAGGCCTCAAGACGCTTCCAATCACGGTGCAAGGCAAAGTGGGAGCGGGCGATCTTACATGGCAGGAGCAGGAGCAAGAGAGAGAAGGGGAGGTGCCACACTTCTTTCTTTCTTTCTTTCTTTCTTTCTTTCTTTCTTTCTTTCTTTCTTTCTTTCTTTCTTTCTTTCTTTCTTTCTTTCTTTCTTTCTTTCTCTCTCTCTCTCTCTCTTTCTTTTCTTTCTTTTTCTTTCTTGTCTTCCTGCCTGCCTGCTTGCTTGCTTTCTTGCTTGCTTGCCTGCGTGCCTTCCTTCCTTCCTTCCTTCCTTCCTTCTTCTTTCTTTTTTTTTTCTTTTGAGGCAGAGTCTCCCTCTGTCACCCAGGCTGGAGTGCAGTGGCGAGATCTTGGCTCACTGCAACCTCTGCCTCTCTGGTTCAAGCGGTTCTCCTGCCTCAGCCTCCAGAGTAGCTGGGATTACAGGTGCCCGCCACCACGCCCGGCTAACTTTTGTATTTTTAGTAAAGGCTGGGTTTCGCCATGTTAGCCAGGCTGGTCGCGACCTCCTGACCTCAGGTGATCTGCCTGCCTCGGCCTCCCAAAGTGCTGGGATTACAGGCGTGAGCCACCGTGCCTGGCCGCATTTCTACTGTTTTAAGCCACCACCTCTGTGGTAACTGGTTACTGCAGCCACAGGAAACTAACGCTTTTGTAAACCCCAGTCTGTCCCCTGGCCCCTACCCCAGCAGCTGGAGCGATCTTTTAGGCCACGTCCCTCCAGCGTCCTCCCCTGCCATGCAGAATGAAATCCACCTTCCTCCCACAGCACCAGGCTCCCTGCCAGCACCCCGGCCATACACCTCTCCCCATTCCTCTCCTCTCCTCCCACACTGGACTCCACCCATCAGCTATCATCTGCTTGAAGTCTTTTGTTTCTGGAAACTTCTGTTCCAAGAAAACCTGCCGAGCTCGTTCCCACATTGGGTCCTACATGGTCATTGTTCTCTGTTGCGGGACGTCCTTCTTGTGGCTCAGTCAGTGGTTGACTTTTCCTCCTGTGGGACACGTGATCTGGCAACATTTTGGTTGTGGGGACTTGGGGGCTGGGGGATAAGAAGAGGGCTACTGGCATCCAGCGGGCAGAGGCCATGGATGCCGCTCAACACCCTATTGGGCACAGGGAGCACAAGATAGCCCAGTTCCTCCAACTGCAAAGAACTATCTAGCTCCAAACATCCACAGTGCCCAGGTGGAGAAATCCAGTTTCACATCTTTCCATAACTCATTCCTTAACTCTGTCCTTTTTGCCTTTCAGGATTCAGCTCCAAAGCCACCTTCTCGCAGTGGCTCACACCTGTAATCCCAACACTTTAGGAGGCTGAAGCAGGAGGATCATGAGGTCAAGATTTCGAGAACTTCCTGGCTAATATGGTGAAACCACATCTCTACTAAAAATGCAAAAATTAGCTAGGCTTGGTAGTGCATACCTGTAATCCCAGCTACTTGGGAGGCTGAGGCAGGAGAATCCCTTGAACCTGTGAGGCAGAGGTTGCAATGAGCCGAGATCGCACCACTGCACTCCAGCCTGGCAACAGAGCGAGACTTTGTCTAAAAAAAAAAAAAAAAAGCCACCTCTTTCTCCAAGAGACACTGTCTCACTATCCATTGTAAAGTAGCACTCCTCCCCATCACCTGCCTTCATTTTCTTGTTTCGTGAGAATGGGGTCTCACTATGTTGCCCAGGCTGGTTTGAAGTCCTGGGCTCAGGCGATCCTCCCACCTCTGCCTCCCTAAGTGCTGGGATTATAAGCAGGAGCCACCATGCCCAGCCAAGCTTCATTTTCATCTACCATTATTACTATTGTTATTTTAAGAGATGGGGTCTCACTATGTTGCCCAGTCTGGTCTCAGGTTCCTGGGCTCAAGCAATCCTCCTGCCTCTGTCTCCCTAAGTGCTGGGATTATGGGCAGGAGCCACCATGCCCAGCCAAGCTTCATTTTCATCTACCATTATTACTATTATTATTTTAAGAGATGGGGTCTCACTATGTTGCCCAGGCAGGTCTCAACCTCCTGGGCTCAAGCAATCCTCCCACCTTGGCCTCCCAAAGTGCTGGGATTCCAAGTGTGAGCCACAGTGCCCGGCCTGGCCTCATTTTCTTCAGGACCTCATCATCACTTGAAATCATCCTGCTTATTTATTTTTTGTTGTTTTTGTCTGCCTCCCCGCTCCCAGCCCTCCCCAAGACATCCCAGAAGATTTTCACAGCCACTGTGGATGGGAATTATTACTGTCTAGCCATCTCCGCCCCCGTCATCACCCCCGCCACCCCCAGGGAGTCATTAATTGAAGGTTTGTTCTTTCCTTGTAGCCAGCAGATACTTTTCCCCCTCTCCTAGATCTCCTTCTGAAGGTGAGTGCTGCTGGCTTGGACCTGTCTGAACAAGCATCACTTTATGCGGTTTTACTGGTACTTTCTAGTCTTGCCAAGGCTGTGAGGGTGGCTGTAAAGACGGTCGGCCTAGCTTTGCGTTGGAACAAGCTATTGAGGCTGTCCTGTTCCTTCTGAACACGCCTCATTGACTGGGTGTTTCCCTGTGGTCTAGACATAGCCCTGGAACCAGAGCCGAGGCCAAGGTCCCAGCAAATCTAAACCTCCTCTTATTTCAGAATTAGAATCCCAAGATAACAGGAGAAGGGGAGCTGTTATGGGCTGATCATGTTCCTCCAAAATTCATACGTTGAAACCCTAACCCCCATACCTCCGAATGGGACTCTATCTGGAGACGGGGCCTTTAAAATGGTGATTAAGTAAAAATGAGCCAGTCAGGGCGGGCTTTAATCCAGTACGACTGGTGTACTTATGAGAATAGATTAGTGGCCAGGCACGGTAGCTCACACCAGTAATCCCAGCAATCTGGGAGGCCGAGGTGGGAGGATCACTTGAACCCAGGAGTTCAAGATGAGCCTGGCCAAACTGATGAAACCCTGTCTCTACTAAAAATACAAAAATCAGCCAAGCATGGTGGCACACACCTGTAGTCGCAGCTACTTGGGAGGCCAAGGCAGGAGGATTGCTTGAGCCCGGGAAATGAAGGTTGTGGTGAGCTGAGATGGCGCCACTGCACTCCAGCCTGGATGACAGAGAGAGACCCTGTCTCAAAAAAGAAGGAGAAGAAGAAGGAGGAGGTGGAGGAGAAGGAGAAGTGATTAGCACACAGACACACACGGAGGCTGACATATGAAGACCCAGGAGGAAGACAGCCATCTACAAGACAAGGAGAGAGAGCTCCAAAGGGCACCAACCCTGCCAACACCTGAACTGTGGGCTTCTGGCCTCAATAATTGTGAGACAACACATTTCTGTTGCTGAAGCCACCCGGACTGTGGTATCTTGTGATGGTGGCCCCAGAGAACTAATACAGGGGCCAGCCTAGGCTCTAACCCCTCACTCCTCAAGCACTGTTAGGAAGGTAGCCTCATCTCCCCAAGGGTCCTATTCTTCCTTTGTAGCAAGGAGATGGTAAGATGCTTCTACTTTATTGAGCTGCTATGAAGAGCAAATGAGATAGACCTGATGTTTGTTTCTTTTTCTTTCTCTTTCTCTTCTTCCTTTGTTCCTTCTTTTCTTTCTTTTTCCTTTCCTTTCTTTCCTCTCCTCCCTCCCTCCCTCTTTCTCTTTCTTTCTTTCTCTTTCTCTTCCTTCCTTTCTTTCTTTCTTTTCTTTTCTTTTTCTTGCTTTCTTGCTTCTTTCCACAGACTCTTGCTCTGTCACCCAGGCTGGATTGCAGTGGTGCAATCCTGGCTCACTACAGCCTCAAATTCCTGCGCTCAATCAATCCTCCTACATCAGCCTCCTGAGTAGCTGGGACCACAGGTGCATGCCACCATGCCTGGATAACTTAAAAAGTTTTTTTTTATTTTTATTTTTTTGTAGAGATCGGGTCTCGCTCTGTTGCCCAGGCTGGTCCTGAATTCCTGAGCTCAACCAATCCTCCTGTCTTGGCTTCCCAAAGTGCTGGGATTATAGGCATGAGCCACCATGCCCAGCTAAGCCAACCCTTCTTGAGAGCACCAAATATGCCCCAAGCTTTTGTGCATGATCTAGTATGCACCTACCTTGTTCAATTCTCCAGCAACTCTTGGCAAGGGTTCTGTTTTATCCATTTTACAGTTCAGGAAACCAAGGCCCAGAGAGATCAAGTAACTTGCTCAAGAGCACACCAAGATCAGCACAGATATGGCGCTGAATGTGAATGCAAGTTTGCCTAAATCCAAAACCCAGGTCTTTAACCACAAGGTAGGTATATGGTACTCTGATGTACAGGAGAGCCCTGCACTTATTAGTTCTATTATTTACAATATACTAGTAAGTTACTATTCACCACTAAAAAAAAGTTGAAGGCCAGGCACAGTGACTCACACCTATAATCCCAACACTTTGAGAGGCTGAGATAGGAGAATTGCTTGAGGGCAGGAGTACAAGACCAGCCTGGGATCCGATCTCTACTAAAGATCTTTAAAAATTAGCCAGGCATGGTGGCACATGCCTGTGGTCTCAGCTACTCAGGAGGCTGAGGGGGCAGGATCACTTGAGCCCGGGAGGTTGAGGCTGCAGTGAGCTATGATAGCGCCACGGCACTCCAGCCTGTGCAACAGAGCAAGATCCTATCTCTAAACAAAACTTTAAAACTAAGAAAAATAATTTGTGCAGCCATCACTGTGATCCATTTCCATAACTCTTTCATCATCCCAAATAAGATGTCTGAACCTATTAAAGGTTCAGAGGGCACACAGACTCCACTTTTCAGGAGAGGTCTATCAGTCAATTTGTAAAAAGAGCACATAGGATAGATAAATATATTGATGAGGACATCTTTGAAAAATACAGTCTGCTCCAGATGAGGAGGCTGAATACATAAGTGCTAAGACATTGCTCAGTCATAGAAATGGCCATGGGTAGAGGTGGCTGATCATGGACAACGTGATTTGGGGCTTGGCAAAAATATAGTATTTTACATGGTGGGAAAAAGGAAGCAAAGACAGCCAACACCGGCTGGAGAAAAGCCTAAGACTTGGCAACTCCTTTTTGACACGTGTGGCCAGTGCTGTGAGGTTGAGTTTCCATGGGACTCTACAAACTGATGGCTTGTGACCAACACTGCCACATATAAATCCAGCACGTCTTTGGGAGCCAGAGCCAAGAGCCCCAACAAAGAACCAGTTACATGGATGAGTTTAGAATCCAATGAAGGTGGCCTAGTAGCTCATCCCCGTAATCCCAGCACTTGGGGAGGCCGAGCCCGGAGGCTCACTTGAGGCCAGGAGTTCAAGACCAGCCTGGCTAACATGGTGAAACCCCATCTCTACTAAAAATACAAAATTGCCTGGGCGTAGTGGCTCACGCCTGTAATCCCAACACTTTGGGAGGCCAGGGCAGGAGGCTTACTTGAGGCCAGGAGTTCAAGACCAGCCTGGCCAAAGTGGTGAAACTCCATCTCTACTAAAAATGCAAAAATTAGCCAGGCATGGTTGCACACGTCTATAATCCCAGCTACTTGGGAGGCTGAGGCAGGAGAATTGCTTAAACCCGGGAGGCAGAGGTTGCAGTGAACCAAGATCATGCCATTGCACTCCAGCCTGGGCAATAAGAGCGAAACTCTGTATCAAAAAAAAAGAAAGAAAGAAAAAAAAAAAGAAAACCAAGGAGGAAAGATTGGCTGCTTCAAGAAATGATGCTGGGACAATTGGTTAGCTTATTATGAACAAGAATAAAATTAGACTTCTTAACTCTCACTTTATGGTATCAAAATAAATTCCAGGCCAGACGCAGTGATTCGCGCCTGTAATCCTAGTGTGTTGGGAGGCCTAAGTGAGAGGATTGATTGAGGCCAGGAGTCCAAGACCAGCCTGGGCAACATAGCAAGACTCCGTGTCTACAAGAAAGTTAAAACTTAGCCAGGCATGGTGATGTGTGTCTGTAGTCTCAGTTATCGGGAGGCTGAGGCAGAAGGATTGTTTGAGCCCAAGGAGCTGGAGGCTGCAGTGAACCATGATTGCACCACTGCACTCCAGCCTGGGCAACAGAGCAAGGCCTTGTTTCTTAAAAAATAAAAATAAATTTTTTTTTAAAATTTAATGAAGCCATAAAAGAACTAAACATATTTAGGAGAATGTTGATCTGATCCTAGAGAGAGGAAGGCTTTCCTGAACATAAAGACATTAAAGTAATATCAAACATTCAATAAGGGATTTCCTCCGCAGTATTGTCTAGAAAAGGAAAAGATAAGGAAACCCTCACCTTCCCCGGGTCCAGCGATGGAGAATTGGCTAAATAAATTATTGGATACATCCCTATGTTGAATAGTCATGTGATAATTAAGAATCATACTTAGGTAATATTTAAGGATATAAGGAAAATGCTCGTGCTATGTTAAATTTTTTTAAAATTATGTTGCAGAATGTTATAATTATACCACACTATACTTTGCTGCTGTGCTTGAAGAAGGGGGTGTGGTTCCACTGACGTTTTACTGGGTATTCAGCACTGTGCTAAGCATTTTACATGCATTTGACCATTTCCCCAGCTGGGTGAGGTGGCTCACACCTGTAATCCCAGTACTTTGAGGGAACAAGTCTGGAGGATCACTTGAGCTCAGAAGTTCAAGACCAGCTTGGGCAACATAGAGAGACCGTCTTTACAAAAAATAAAAATAAAAAATTTTTGGTGGTGCGCACCTGTGGTCCCAGGTACTCAAGGAGGCTGAGGGAGAAAGATCTCTTGAGCCTAGGAGGTCAAGGCTGCAGTGAGCCGTGTTTGCCTCACTGCCTGGGTGACAGCAAGGCCTTGTGTCCAAAAAAAAAAAAAAAAAAAAAAGAAGAAGAATATGCGGTAGATACTGTTAGTATTATTCCCATATTACAAGTCAGAAGACTGAGGTGTAGAAAAATTAATTCATTTGCCAAAGGTGGCAGGTAAGCAAAGAAGCTGCAATTGTAACTCATGTCTACTCGTTTCCAGAGCCCTGGCAGAAGATTCCTTTGAGGCTATGAATTTCCAATGTTGCAAGACGCCAGCTCTCAAAGTGAATGGGAAAGGAAAGGGGTTACTGGAAGGATACGGAGATCTAAATGTTAGCTGTGGGCCGGGCGCTTTGGGAGGCTGAAGCAGGTGGATCACTTGAGCACAGGAGTTTGACACCAGCCTGAGCAACATGGCAAAATCCTGTCTACCAAAAATACAAAAATTAGCAGGGCATGGTGGCACACGCCTGTAATCCCAGCTACTTGGGAGGCTGAGGCAGGAGGATCTCTTGAACCCGGGAAACAGAGGTTGCAGTGAGCTGAGAGCATGCCACTGGACTTCAGCCTGGGCAACAGAGTGAGACACTGTCTCAGAAAAAAAAAAATGTTAGCTGTGGTTATCCGTGGGTGGTGAGATGATTTCCCAGATTTCCTACAGATTCATGTGACTTTTAGAGTAAGATCAATTTATAAAACATTTTATAAAAGGGTGGGCGTGTAGCTAGATAGACGTCCACACGGGCAGGTTATGAAGCTCTCTCCTCTCTTGGAGTCCCCAAGTGACTTGTCCCTGCGGAATCTGGAGGTCCCCACACAGACACACACCCATAATAAATGCGACAAGCAGTGCGTGACACCAGGCAGTGCCCGGCAAGCCTTTGATGGCTAATGGCTGTAGGTGAAGTTTCTGAAATGACTTGCTCTTGTCCTAGGGTGGCAGATGCAGTTACAAGGGACCCAGTGGGACAGGACAACGCTGTTCTTTATATTCAAGAAGTGCCCCCTTTGATTCATAGCTGGGGACCCCTCGCCGAGCGGGCCATCAGAGAGGCCACCGGTGGCGCCCCGGAGCTCGTCGTGGCGACTGGTCCAGCCTTGCGAAGGAGACCTGGTTACCATGGATACAGCAGGGCGGGGGCGGAGCCAAACCGGATCCCGGAAGTGGGTAATTAGTCTCATCTTCCCGCCACCTGCCTGCTTCCCCACCTCACACCCCATGGCTTCCAATCCTGTCGCTTTCCCCCTACCCCCTGCAGGCTTAGGTTTTCCTTGTCTTTAAAAGGCAGGAACTGGGGAGGAGTGGGTTGGCAAACAAAAAGAGAAATTTGGCAGCCCTACTTTAAAAAAAAAATTGTGGAATTGTTCAAACCTACAGAAAACTATAGGGAGTAAAATAAACACTCATGTACCCTCCACCTAGAATTAATATATGTTCACGTTTTTGCTTGGAGGTGTTTCTGATTTTGATCTTAAGAAACCCCCTTTTCGGGCCGGGCACAATGGCTCATGCCTGTAATCCCTGCACTTTGGGAGGCCAAGGCAGGCAGATCTCTTGAGGTCAGGAGTTCAAGACCAGCCTGGCCAAAAAGGTGAAACCCTGTCTCTATTAAAAATACAAAAATTAGCCGGCCGTGGTGGTGGATGCCTGTAATCCCAGCTACTCAGGAGGCTGAGGCACAAGAAACGCTTGAATCTGGGAGGTGGAGGTTACAGTGAGCCGATATCGCACCATTGCACTCCAGCCCGGGCGACAAGAGCAAGACCCTGTCTCAAAAAAAAAAAAAAAAAATTGGCGTTACACAATGTAAAGATGAATGGTAAATTCATGCTAATAATTTAGATTTCTGAGTTTTCTTTACTTAGAATGATAGTAGGGAGCAAATAAAAAATATTGTGACAAGTCAATAGAGAGACTGCAGAAAAAAGAAAAAAGCTTTATATGTTATTCATTTGTTTTGTTTTGTTTTGTTTTGTTTTTTTGAGACAGAGTCTCACTCTGTCGCCCAGGCTGGAGTGCAGTGGCATGATCTCAGCTCACTGCAACCTCCGTCTCCCAGGTTCAACCAATTCTCCTGCCTCAGCCTCCCGAGCAGCCAGGACTACAGGTGCGTGCCACCACGTCTGGCTAATTTTTGTATTTTTAGTAGAGATGGGGTTTCACAATGCTGGCCAGTCTGGTCCTGAACTCCTAACCTCAGGTGATCTACCTGTCTCAGCCTCCCAAAGTGCTGGGATTACAGGTGTGAGCCACCACACCCAGACACCATTTTGTTATGATTGAGTTTTAACAGTTCTTTGTATATTTGGAATACAAATCCTCTATCTGATATATGTTTTGCAAATATTTTCTCAGAGTCTTTGGCTTGTGTTTCCTTCTCTTAACCCTGGGTCATTTTGGAAAATCAGGGTAAAAATGGGTTAGGCCCACCAGTTAGGATGAGGGGAAGATAAACCAGTGATCTCAGGGGAATAGTCTGGACTGGAGAGGACTGGCTGGTAAAATTGGCCTCCAAAAAAACATGCCTGGCCCTTTTATCACATGGGAAAATATTGGGCTTCTTTTCCATTTCCAAGTCTTCTGGGTCTTTGGGGGTGAGGACTCTGCTACAGGGCCGGTTCCATAATTTGTGGAGTCCAGTGCAAAATGTAAATGCAGGCCTCTTGTTCAAAAAGCAGGAAAAATGTGCTGTTCAAAATACTAGGCTGGGTGCAGTAGCTCATGTCTGTAATCCCAGCACTTTGGGAGGCTGAGGCAGGAGCATCTCTTGAACTCAGGAGTTCAAGACCAGCCTGGGCAACATAGCAAGATCCCATCTTTAATTAAAAACAAACAAACAGGCCAGGCAAGGACCCAGACAATTGTGGGTTGTATTTTTAGTAGAGACAGGGTTTTGCCATGTTGGCCAGGCTGGTCTTGAACTCCTGACCTCAAGTGATCTGCCCGCCTCAGCCTCCCAAAGTGCTGGGATTACAGGTGTGAGCCACTGCGCCCGGCCCCAGGAATAGGTTTGATCCTCAGCTCCTGACCAAATCTAGGCTGCGGCTCAGCGCCCCATCCCATCCTGCCTATTCCCCGTCTTGCGAGTGCAGGACACCGATGGAGAAATCCCAGGGTAACTTAGCAAATAGGTGATCTGCCAAGGAAGGGAACAGGCAGGCCAGGGCAGTCCTAGCCACACTAGGAGGGGCAGAGCCCAGTCAACACCTGCTTAGGCTCAGGAGTGAGTAACTGGCCAGGAATGCAGGTTGCCAGAGGGCTCAGCTGCTATGAGATGCCAAAATCTTTCTCGCGGATGTTAATTTCCACCGTCTCAGGAAGTGGCTGCTGTTTTCACACTAACTCTGCCGCAGCCAGGGGGCTTTTCTAAGCCTCTCCATCTCACACTACACTGAAATCTCTTCAGACCAAATTAAAGCATCAAGGATCCACTTGTGAGATTTGAGATGGGTTCCCCCAAAGTGGTGAACCCCATTGGAGTCGCAATGAGAGCTGTTGTGTCTTGAGGCTCACTGACTCTTTGGGGGAAAAAGTCCTGATCTGTAGCAGTTGCTAATTTCCACAGTGTAAATACTCTCACGGTGGCCAATTTCAAGTAGATAACAAGTCGGACAAGAATCAGGCACAGGTTCTTTGTCAGAAGTTAGAGGGGAAGAGAGTGAACGTGGGGGAAAAGAGAGAGACTTTGGGGACAGACTTAGAGACTCAAGTTTGCGTCCAAACTCTCCCACCTGCCAGCTCAGACAACTCGTTTCTTCCTCCAAAGGCTTAGCTTTCTCCTATAGAAAACAGGGGCACTTGGCCGGGCATGGTGGCTCACACCTGTCATCCCAGCACTTTGGGAGGCCAAGGCGGGCAGATACTTGAGTTCAGGAGTTCAAGAGCAGCCTGGCCAACATGGCAAAACTCCGTCTCTACTAATAATACAAAAATTAGCCAGGTGCAGTGGCTCACACCTGTAATCCCAGCACTTTGGGAAGCTGAGGTGGGCAGATCACTTGAGGCCAGGAGTTCAAGACCAGCCTGGCCAACATGATGAAACCCCATCTCTACTAATAATACAAAAATTAGCCGGGTGTGGTGGCACGCAGCTGTAATCCCAGCTACTCAGAAGGCTGAGGCAGGAGAATCGCTTGAATATGGGAGGCAGAGGCTGCAGTGAGCCAAGATTGCACTCCAGCCTGGGTGACAAAGCGAGACCCTGTCTCAAAAAGAAAACAGGGACACTAACAATGCCTACTTCGTTGGATTACTATGGGCATGAAATTTGGGGCAGTTGCAATAGCAGTTGGCAACTGACCACCTCATATCTATTTCTTCTTCTTAACACTATCCTGGCTGGGTGCAGTGATTCATGCCTGTAATCCCAGCACTCTGGGAGGCTGAAGTGGGAGGACTGCTGGAGGCCAGGAATTCAAGACCAGCTTGGACAGCATAGCAAGACCCCATCTCTGCAAAAAATTTAAAAACTATGTTCACACCACTGCACTCCAGAGCCCAGGTAACACAGCATGACCCTGTCTAATATATATATGACATACTATGTATATACACATATATATTTATATATATGACATATTATATATACATATGTGTATGTCTATTTATATATGTGTGTATATAAATATATACATATATAATATGCCTTATATATAACATATATAATATGCCTTATATATAACATATATAAGATATATAAAACATATATGTCTAATATATATAATATGTGTGTATATAAATTTTTTTTTTTTTGAGACAGAGTTTCGCTCTTGTTGCCCAGGCTGGAGAGCAATGGCACGATCTCGACTCACCACAACCTCTGCCTCCCAGGTTCAAGCGATTCTCCTGCCTCAGCCTCCCAAGTAGCTGGGATTGCAGGCATGCGCCACCACGCCTGGCTAGTTTTGTATTTTTAGTAGAGATGGGCTTTCTCCATGTTGGTCAGGCTGGTCTCAAACTCCTGACCTCAGGTGATCCACCCACCTCAGCCTCCCAAAGTGCTGGGATTACAGGTGTGAGCCACCGTGCCTGGCTCTTTATATAAATTTTTTAAAAAACAAATACCCCAACTTTTCTGAAGATATTTACCCAAAGGTATCAGTCCAATGTGTTTGAGGAAAGCACCCTCCTCCTTCTCACTCTCATGACCCCTCCATACCAGGAGAGGAACATGTGGTCAAGGACTAAGCTCACTGGGACATCACGTTTTCTGGCAACAATGATTGGTTCAGAGACAGCCTGTGACCTCAGAGGGTCCAACTGGGGCAAAGCCTTGGATTTGTTTGGCGGTCAAGGGCACTCTCCTTCTTGCTGGCTGAAGACCCAGGAGAGTATAGCTTTGTGAACTGCTTGCTGCATTTGTCTGTGATCACAAAAAAAAAAAAAAGCATTTTTTTTTTTTGGCCAGAATCCTGGGATGCAGAGCTGAGACGTGGATGGTGGTAAAGTTGCGTGTATGTTTCACCAAGCCCTACCTGAAGCCAAAATGACTGCTGTGTGTTCACAGGCTTTCACGGATATGGTTCCGGGATTCTATTTATGGTAGTGATAGACAGTTTATTTTTAAAATAAATACATGTACGTTTGAAATGTGAGTCACTATAGTTTCTCTTTCTGCAATACATTTTCTTTCTGTGGAAATTTGATAATGTTTTCTGTCACTAGTAACAAAAGGTTCTTCCTGTATTGGTTTTCTCCTGTGTATTAGAGGGCTGCCATCACTCAATACCACAGACTGGGTGGCTTAAACAAAAGAAATGGACTTTCTCACAGCTCTGGAGGCTGGAAGTCCAAGAGCAAGGTGTAGACAGGCTCAGTTTCTCCCGAGGCCTGTCTCCCTGGCTTACAGATGGTCATCTTGTCACTGTGTCTTCAAATGACATTGCCTCTGCACGCAAACATCATGGTGTGCCCCTGTGTGTCCCTCAGTCCTCCTCTTCTTTTTTTTTTTTGAAATGGAGTCTCACACTGTCACCTGGGCTGGAGTGCAGTGATGCGATCTCGGCTCACTGCAACCTCCACCTCACGGGTTCAAGTGATTCTCCTGCCTTGGCCTCCCAAGTAGCTGGGATTACAGGCACGCATCACTACACCCAGCTAATTTTTTGTATTTTTAGTAGAGATGGGGTTTCACTATGTTGGCCAGGCTGGTCTCGAACTCCTGATCTCATAATCTGCCCACCTCAGCCTCCCAAAGTGCTGGGATTACAGGCATGAGCCACCGTGCCTGGCCCCTCATTCCTCTTCTTATAAGGACACCAGTCAGAAGGGATCAGGGCCCACCCTAATGACCTCATTTTAACTTAATTATCCTTTTAAAGGCCCTGTTTCCAAGCACACTCCCATTCTGACGTCCTGGAGGTTGGGACTTCAACATATAGGCCAGGCACAGTGGCTCACACCTGTGATCCCATCACTTTGAGAGGTCGAGCCAGGCGCATCGCTTGAGGCCAGGAGTTCGAGATCAGCCTGGGCAACATGGACAAACCCCATCTCTACGAAAAATACAAAAATTAGCCAGGCATGGTGGTGCATGCCCGTAATCCCAACTACTCTAGAGGCTGATGCAGGAGAATAGCTTGAACCCAAGAGGCGGGGGGTTGCAGTGAGCCGAGATGGTGCCACTGAACTCCAGCCTGGGTGACAGAGTGAGACTCTATCTTGAAATAAATAAATAAATAAATAAATAAATAAATAAATAAATAAGACTTCAATGTAGGAATGTGGAGGGTACACAGTTCAGCATGTAACACTGCAGCTACTATAACAAGGTGCCGGCTGGGTGTGGTGGCTCACACCTGTAATCCCAGCACTTTGGGAGGCTGAGGCGGGCAGGTCACCTGAGGTCAGGAGTTCGAGACCAACCTGGCTAACATGGCAAAATCCTGTCTCTACTAAAAATACAAAAATTACCTGGGTATGGTGGTGCATGCCTGTAATCTCAGCTACTTGGGAGGCTGAGGCAGAAGAATCACTTGAACCTGGGAGGTGGAGATTGCAGTGAGCCGAGATTGCACCACTACAGCCTGTGAAACAGAGCAAGACTCCATCTCCAAAAAAAAAAAAAAAAAAAGCCACAAACTGGGTGGCTTCAAACAACAGGCATTCTCTTTGCTCTGACAGCTCTGGGAGCTAGATGTCCAAAATCACTGAACAACAGCAAGAACAAAAAAACTTGCTTCTGTTAAAATCAGGTGGGACGCATCTCACGCTGGGACACGCAGGTCCAGACGGCAGCCCTGAGCATCTGTCGTCCTGTGAGCACCTCGAGATGACCGCCTGCAAACTGCCCAGCTGCCCTTGTGTGCAGAGTGCTGCAGGAAGGACAGGCGTATCTTCCCTAACCACATCACCCTTCAGTGCAGACGCAAGAGGTGCACGCCTGTCTCTCTCATTGTGAGGCTTCTTACTCATTCCCTTTCCCAATCTATACCCATCGATCCACCAAATACCAAGGACAAAACCAAGAAAAACCATTCATACCAATCTCTACACTTTTCTACCTTCTGTCCAGTCTCCGTTCACCTGTAGGTGTATTTTCACACAGTTCTAGTCAGCATGGATACGATTTTGGATTCTGCTCGTTTTGCTTAAAATTATGTGGACATTGGCCGGGTGCAGTGGCTCACGCCTGTAATCCTAGCACTTTGGGAGGCCAAGGCGGGCAGATCACGAGGTCAGGCGATCGAGACCATCCTGGCCAACAAGGTGAAACCCCATCTCTACTAAAAATACAAAAATGTGCTGGGCATGGTGGTACATGTCTGAAGTCCCAGCTACTCAGGAGGCTGAGGGAGAAGAATCGCTTGAACCCAGGAGGCGGAGGTTGCAGTGAGCCAAGATCGCACCACTGCACTCCAGCCTGGCAACAGAGCAAGTCTCCAGCTCGAAAAAAAAAGGAAAAAAAGAAAATTATGTCAACATTTTTTCTGTATTGCTGCAGTCTTTGTAGTCGTGTGTGTGTGTGTGTGTGTGTGTGTGTGTGTGTGTGTGTGTTTTGGGGGGTGGGGAGAGACAGGGTCTTGCTCAGTTGCCCAGGCTGGAGTGCAGTGGTGCAGTCATGGCTCACTGTAGCCTCCAAGTCCCAGGCTACAGTGGTTCTCCCACCCCAGCCTCCCAAGTGACTGGGACCACAGGCACATGCCACCACACCCGGCTAATTGTTGTGGGTTTTTTTTTAGTAACGGGATTTCACCATGTTGCCCAGGCTGGTTTCAAACTCCTAGACTCAAGCAATTCTCCCACTTCGGCCTCCCAAAGTGCTGGGATTACAGGTGTAATCCCAGCCTGATTGTTATTTTGAAAAGCTGTGTAACATTCCACCTAGAAGATGTACCATAATTTTTTGTTTGTTTTTGAGACAGGGTCTTGCTCTATGTCCCAGGCTGGAGTGCACTGGTACAATCACGGCTCACTGCAACCTTCAACTTCCAGGCTCAAGTGATCCTCTGGCCTCGGCCTCTTAAGTAGCTGGAACTACAGGCATGCATTATCACACCTGGCTAATTTTTGTATTTTTTTTGTAGAAACAAGGTTTTGCCATGTTGCCCAGGCTGGTCTCAACCTCCTGGGCTCAAGTGATCCTCCTGCCTTGGCCTCCCAAAGTGCTGGGATTACAGGCATGAGCCACAGCTCCCAGCCTGAGATAAAATTCTTTACTGCACAATAAATTATACTTCTGGGAAACCAAAAAGACTAACAAAATCCAGAGTAGTGAGAGAACAAGGAGACAGGCCTTCTCATGCTCTGTTTTGGGGGTGTCAATGATTATCATCTTTCCAGAAGGCAGATCAATGTTCTCATACTTCATTGGTGGGAATAAACTGGAACAGACTTTGGAAGACTTCTTGGAAGGCTTATTTAACCACCCAGAAATGTAAATGAGAGGATTCTTTGAAACAGCATTTCCACTTTTTCTAAAGGAGATCATCAGACAAGAGTGCAAAGCCGCATGATTTGCGCATTGGAGTTTAATTTCGGCCGGGCACAGTGGCTCACACCTGTAATCCCAGCACTTTGGGAGGCCAAGGCGTGCAGATCACCTGAGGTCAGGAGTTCGAGACCAGTCTGGCCAAAATGGTGAGGCCCCATCTCTACTAAAAATACAAAACATTAGCCAAGTGTGGTGGTGAGTGCCTGTAATCCCAACCACTTGGGAGGCTGAGGCAGCAGAATCGCTTGAACCCGGGAGGTGGAGGTTGCAGTGAGCCGAGATCATGCCACTGCACTCCAGCCTGGGCAACAGAGCAAGACTCCATCTCAAAAAAAAAAATTTAATTGTTTAATTTCAAATATTGAAATACTGGTAACAACAGGCATGTTCATTAATAGGGAAGGGATTGGTTGAATAATTCATTGGGATTGTGTTGAATCTACAGATCACACAAATCACTGTATGACATGATCAACCTCACTCAAAATAAGAAATATAAATTAAAACTACAAGGAAATAGTATGTTTCACATCTCCGATTGGCAAAGATAAAGAAGGTAGCAAATTATTACTTAGGGTGTGAGGAAAGTCTACGGTAGTTGATGGGACAGTCAACTATAGGGTAGTTGATCCTATATTTGTAGGACAATTTGGCAACATCTATCAACCCCCAAATGCATAAGCTCTTTGACACATCAGTTCCATTACTGATAATCTGTATACACTCTAGCATGGACTCAAAGATCTAAATACAAAGATATTAATTGCCACATACTTAGTAGTAGTTACTAAGTAATAAGTTACTAATACAGTAAGTAGTAAGTTACATAGTAGTAAGTTACTAAGTAGTAAGTTACATAGTAGTAAGTTACTAATACATTAGTTACTACTAACTAATATATTTAAGGCTAGTTAAATACATTATATGACAGGGCCAGGGGCAGTGGCTCACGCCTATAATCCCAGCACTTTGGGAGGCTGAGGCGAACAGATCACTTGAGGTCAGGAGTTCAAGACCAGCCTGGCCAACATGGTGAAACCCTGTCTCTGCTAAAAATACAAAAATTAGCAAGGCATGGTATCACGTGCCTGTGATCCCAGCTACTCAAGAGTCTGAGGCACAAGAATCGCTTGAACTCAGGAAGCGGAGCTTGCGGTGAGCCAAGATCTCACCACTGCACTCCAGCCTGGGCCACAGAGTAAGACTCTCTCTCTCAAAAGACCAAAACCAAAAACAAAAACAAAAATATGCAGCTCTGCATCCTCTCAACAAATATGACTGAAGCCTACCATAACTAGGCATTATTTGAGGGGCCAAGGACTAAAACAGTCTGTCCTCTCACCATGCTAAGATTCTAGTTGGAGAAGACAGAAAACTGTTCTAAATGTTTGTAATAGTCAAGTGGTGAAATGCACTCAGAAAAATAAGGCTGGGTAAGGAAGAGAAAGCGCTGGGACTGAGCGTGTGCTATCCTGTGGGTCAAGGAAGGGGTCTCAGAGCACATTTGGGAAGAAAGCTGAAGGAAGTGAAATGCGGGTATCAGGAAAAGAGTTCCAGGCAGAGGGAACAGCTCATACAAAGGCCCTGGGGTCAGGGTGCCCTAGGCACACTGGAGGAATAGCAAAGTGGCCCAAGTGGTTTAAGGAGTGAGTGAGGAGTAGGGGGAGGAGCTCACAGAGGTATTGGGGGTGGCAGATCCCTGAAGGCCTAGTCAGGTTAAGATTTCAGCCCTGGAGGTCACTGATCTGAGATAAGACTTCTTTTTTTTTTTTAAAGACTAACTTTATTGAGATATAATTCACATAACATACAATTCACTCATTGAAAGTGCACAATTCAGGCTGGGTGCAGAGGCTCACACCTGTAATCCCAGCACTTTGGGAGGCCAAGGCTGGCGGATCCAGATCACCAGAGGTGAGGAGTTCGAGACCAGCCTGGCCAACATGGTGAAACCCTGTCTCTACTAAAAATACAAAAATTAACCAGATGTGGTGGCACACATCTGTAATCCCAGCTACTCGGGAGGCTGAGGCTGGAGAATCTCTTGAACTCTGGAGATGGAGGTTGCAGCGAGCTGAGATCGTGCCACTACACTCCAGCCTGGGCGACAGAGCAAGCCTCCATCTCAAAAATAAAATAAAATACAACACGTTACATGGGGATGGCACGTTAGCAGCACCCAAAGCGAGGGGTGCAGAGTGAAAATGTACACCCTTCTGAGTGAGCACCCGGTGCTGACCAGGAGGTGTTCACAGCTGCCCTCCTCTATGCCCGTCCCCGCCGGAAGATGCTCTGCAGATTGTTCCAGTCGAGGATGCGTGGCAGATGGGGATAAGTCTGCAGAGCAGTGATCAGGGGAAGAGAGTGAGGAAGGCAGGCTGGGAAGGAAGCAGGATTGAACAGCGGGGAAAGCTGAGCTGCAGTGCAGTCTCGATGAAGGCCTCAGCGGACTCCATAGGGAGCGCCGGAACTGGGAGGGCCCTTCCGAGTAGGCTTGAGTCAAGACAGGAAATTGGGTCTTCAGACCTCTTTGCTGCTAAGCATTGAATGCAGTTGCCCTGGGAAGGGACAGGGCTCTGTGCAACCTGGGGACTCTCTGCAGCCAAGGTAACACCTGCAGAGGGCCAGCAGGGGATGGGGGTGCTCTCAGCAGTGATGGGAGTCAATCTTTCCATCCTACAGGGAGTCTGGGGGTTGCCATCATAGGGTTACCGTGGCTGGCCATTGGGCTGTACTCCTTGGGAGAGTGGGGACAGGGAAAGACTAAGTCCTCCCAGGACACCATCTGACCAGGCAGTCCTCCCTCCTCCATCATCCTCCTTTCCTTGGGAGATCTAGGGTTCGAATCTTGGGGTGGACTCAAGGAAGTGGGCGTCAGAAGTCACCCAACCTGGGTCTGCCTTTGATCAGGCAAGGAGTCCCTTCCACATGGCCACACTCGCTACCACCTGCCTTCTCTCTCTCTCTCTGCTCCCTCAATGCCCAACAAGCAGACCCCCCATAACAGAAAAATAGGACTCTGTAGCCTGCAGCCCTGCCTCTCAGTGGCCAGGTAGCCTTGGGTAAGGCAGCTCCTGTCACTTGTTATTCACTCAGCTTTCTCAACCATCCAACGTGGATAAAGGTTCTTTTTACACAGGGTCTCCGTGGTCTTGATGTGTGGCCCAGGCTGGAATGCAGTGGCATGATCACAACTCACTGCAGCCTCAACTTCCTAGGCTCAAGTGATCCTCCCGCCTCAGCCTCCCACATAGCTGGGACCACATATGTGCACCCCCACACCTGGCTGATAAAGGTTCACTTGGAGGCAGATCACTGCACCTAGAGCCCAGGGCCTGGCAGTCAATTGGTCCTCATCAATGGAAGCTATTGTCACGACTGTGCACAGAAACACACCCTTGACCTATAGAGAAATTATGAGGACGTGGTCGTAGGATGGCTTGGCATCACGTGGAAAGATGGGTTTGTGCCAGTGGGGAATTTCTTAGGGAAGATGGGTGCTCTTTATCTGCTGTGAGTTGAGTTGTGTGTCCCCAAAAAGATAAGGTGGAGACCTAACCCCGGTACTGTGAGTGTGACCTTATTTGGAAACAGTCTTGTTAGCTGTCATTAAGATGTAAGTTAAGATGAAGTCAGACTGGATAAGGGAGGGCCCTAAATCAAGTGACTGATGTCCTTTATAGAAAGAGAAGAGGGCCAGGCACAGTGGCTCACGCCTGTAATCCCAGCACTTTGGGAGGCCAAGGCGCGTGGATCACGGGGTCAGGAGTTTGAGACCAGCCTGACCAACATGGTGAAACCCCATCTCTACTAAAAATACAAAGATTAGCCAGGCATGGTGGTGGGCATCTGTAGTCCCAGCTACTCGGGAGGCTGAGGCAGGAGAATCGCTTGAACCCAGGAGGCAGAGGTTGTGGTGAGCCGATATCATGTCACTGCACTCCAGCCTAGGGAACAGAGCAAGCCTCTGTCTCAAGAAAAAAAAAAAAAATTAGCAGGGCATGTGGTGTGCTCCTGTAGTCCCAGCTATTTGGGAGGCTGAGGCAAGAGGATTGCTTGAGCCCGGGAGGTCAAGGCTGCAGGGAGCTGTGATTGCACCACTGGACAACAGAGCTAGACTCTGTCTCAAAAAAAAAAAAAGTTAATTAAAAAAACATAAAAGGGGCCAGGTGCAGTGGCCTGTAATCACAGCAATTTGGGAGGCCGAGGCAGGTGGATCACTTGAGGTCAGGAGTCAGAGACCAGCCTGGCCAACATGGTGAAACCCTATCTCTACTAAAAATACAAAAATTAGGTGGGCGTGGTGGCAGGTGCCTGTAATCCCAGCTACTCCGGAGGCTGAGGCAGGAGAATTGCTTGAACCCTGGAGGCGGAGGTTGCAGTGAGCCGAGATCACACCATTTCACTCCAGTCTGGGTGACAGAGCAAGACTCCATCTGAAAAATAAATAAATAAATAAAATAAAAGGAACTCTGTAACCAGCTCTTTCTGATTCCAAAGGGTGGCCAGGAAGCTGGCATCGTTCCTCAGGCACGGGTGGGAGAACCAGAGCAGGCTCCTCTCCCCCACGGTGCCATCTGTGCCCAAGAACCGCTCTCCCCACGTGGCTGGCTCTATTTCGGCAAGAGAAAGAAGCTTCTCAGATGTGAAGCCCACGGGAGACCCACACGTATGAAGCAGGAGACCAAAAAAAAAAAAAAAAAAAAGGCAGCTCAAAATAGATTCTGTCTACAGCAGAAAATGACCTGGTGCCAGAATGGAGAAAAGTGGCCAAAACGAGCCAGTTTCGAGGCTTTCTAGGGTGCACGCCAGCATTCTGTCTGGAACAGGGGGTACCTCGGGGACTTCAGGATTGTGTGGGCCCCTTGTGGGGTGCAGACGAACCTCCCCCTTCATTCAGAAGCCCGCCTCTATGGCCTGGCCTTTAAAAAAAAGCCATCTCCCGGGATGAACTGGAGGCAGAAGCCACAGCAATTACTTGGAAGGAAGATCTGACTGCAGAAACACAGTGATCTGCATAGCGAGATGTTTCTAAGGCTTGTGGGAGAAAGCCATGGTGGTTTCCAAGTAAACGGCTTTTTACAAATTAAGCACAGCTACAGACAACAGAAGCAAAAAATAGATAAATTGGATTACCTCAAAATTTAAAACTTTTGTGCATCAAAGGATACTATCGTCATAGCAAAAAGGCAACCCAGGAGAATGGGAGACAATATTTACAAGTCATATATATATATATGTCTTGTAAAAATATATTCTTTCTTTGAGACAGGGTCTCGCTCTGTCACCCAGACTGGAGTGCAGTGGTGAGATCTCGGCTCACTGCAACCTCTGCCACCAGGGTTCAAGTGATTCTCGTGCCTCAGCCTCCCAAGTAGCTGGGATTACAGGCACCCATCACCATCCTCAGCTAATTTTTGTATTTTTAATAGAGACGGGGTGGGGGGGTTTCACCATGTTGGCCAAGCTGGCCTCGAACTCCTGACCTCAAGTGATCCGCCTGTCTTGGCCTCCCAAAGTGCTGCGATTACAGGCGTGAGCCACCACGCCTGGCCCACAGGTTATGTATCTGATAAGGGGTTAATATCCAGATTATGCATAAAGAACACCTATAATTCAACAGTTTTTCTTAAACCTGATAAAAATGGATTTGAACAGACATTTCTCCAAAAATACACAAATGGCCAATAAGTACATGAAACGATGTTCACCATTATGAATCATTAGAAAAATGCAAATCAAAACCACAGTGAGATAGAGCACTCTACCCATTAGGATGGTCACTCAAGAAAAAATTGAAAATGAGTGTTCGTGAGGATGTGGAGAAATTGGAACTCTTGCCTACTGCTGGTGGGAATGGAAAATTGCACAGCCATTGTTGAAAATAGTTTGACAGCCCCTCAAAAAATTAAGTCAAAAATAGGGCCAGGTGTAGTGGCTCATGCCTATAATGCCAACACATTGGGAGGCCAAGGCGGGAGGATCACTTGAGCCCAGGAGTTTGAGACAAGCTTGGGCAACATAGTGAGCCCCCATCTCTACAAAAAAAAAAAAAAAAAAAACATACAAAAATTGGTTGTGTGTACTTATAGTCTCAGCTACTGGGAGGCTGCAGGAGGAGGATCGTTAGAGCCTAGGAGCTGGAGGCTGCAGTGAGCTGCACTCAAGCCTGGGCAACATAGTGAGATCCTGTCTCTAAAAAAAACTTTTTTGGGCCAGGTGTGGTGGCTCACGCCTGTAATCCCAGCACTTTGCGAGGCTGAGGCAGGCGGATCACCTGAGGTCAGGAGTTCAAGACCAGCCTG
This sequence comes from Homo sapiens, assembly GCF_000001405.40. NCBI lineage: Eukaryota > Metazoa > Chordata > Mammalia > Primates > Hominidae > Homo > Homo sapiens. Next base: position 98,037,216 of record NC_000007.14, on the reverse strand, counting down.
GCCAACATGGTGAAATCCCCATCTCTACTAAAAATACAAAATTAGCTGAGCGTGGTGGCACGTGCCTGTAATCCCAGCTACTCAGGAGGCTGAGACAGGGTAATCACTTGAACCCGGTGGTGGAGTTTGCAGTAAGCCAAGATTGTGCCATTGCACTCCAGCCTGGGCAGCATAGAATTACCTTATGAGCTAGCATTCCAAAGAACTGAAAGCAGGAACTCAAACTATTTGCACACCCATGTTCACAGCAGCATTATTCACAATAGCTAAAAGATAAATACAATCCTGCGGGTACAGTGGCTCATGCCTGTAATCCCAGCACTTTGGGAGGCCGAGGCAGGCGGATCACGAGGTCAGGAGATCGAGACCATGTTGGCTAACACGGTGAAACCCCATCTCTACTAAAAATACAAAAAACTAGCCGGGCATGGTGGTGGTGGGTGCCTGTAAGTCCCAGCTACTCAGGAGGCTGAGGCAGGTGAATCGCTTGAACTCAGGAGGCGGAGGTTGCAGTGAGCAGAGATTGCACCACTGCACTCCAGCCTGGGTGACAGAACGACAATCTGACTAAAAAAAAAAAAAAAAAAAAAAAAGATAAATGCAACCCAACTGTCCACCAGCGGATGGATGGGTAAACCAAATGTGGCCTATCCATACAATGGAAGATTATTCAGCTTACAAAGGAAACAAATCCTGGCACACGCTACAACATGGATAAACCTTGAGGACATTGTATTAAGTGAAATAAGCCAATCACAAACGGACAAATCCTGAATGACTCCACTTATATGAGTTACCTAGAGTCTCAAAATTATAAAGGCAGAAAGTAGAACAGCGGGTGCCAGGAGGTGGGGGGAGGCGGATGGAGAGTGAGTGTTTAATGGGGACAGGGTTTCAGTTTGGAAAGATGAAAAAGTTCTGAAGATGGAGGTGGATGACGGTTACATCACAGTGTGAAAGTATTGAATGTCATTGAACTGTATGCCTCAACATGGTTAACATGGCACGTTTTATGTTATGGACATTTTAAAACTATTTTTGAAAACGTTTTCAGGCCGGGTGCGGTGGCTCATGCCTCTAATCCCAGCACTTTGGGAGGCTGAGGTGGGTGGATTACCGGAGGTCAGGAGTTCAAGACCAGTCTGATCAATATGGTGAAACCCTGTCTGTACTAAAATTACAAAAATTAGCCAGGCATCATGGCACACATCTGTAATCCCAGCTACAGGGGAGGCTGAGGCAGGAGAATCGCTTGAACCCAGGAGGCGGAGGTTGCAGTGAGCCGAGATCGTGCCACTGCACTGTAGCCTGGGTGACAGAGTGAGACTCCATCTAAAAAAAAAAAATAAGTAAAATAAACAATTACTAAATAAATAAAATAAACATGTTTTAATAACTAGTGAACTAAAAATTTAAAAAATCACAAGATTCCCTTCCATAAATTCAGGAAACATCTAGAAATCTGCCAATCTATGGTGGAGTGAGCAGCTTCAGGGTCAGACATCCACAAGTCATCCCCAGTTGCCCGGGATCCAGGCCCCCTCAGCTCATAAGGAGGAAACAAACAATGGAAATCCAACCCAACCCCCTTCTCTTTCTTTTTCTTTTCTTTTCTTTCCTTTTTTTTTTTTTCGAGATGGAGTTTTGCTCTTATTGCCCAGGCTGGAGTGCAGTGGTGCGATCTCGGCTCACTGCAACCTCTGCCTCCCGGGTTCAAGCGATTCTCCTGCCTCAGCTTCCCAAGTAGCTGGGATTACAGTCATGTGCCACCACACCCGGCTAATTTTTTGTATTTTTAGTACAGGCATGGTTTCACCATGTTGGCCAGGCTGGTTTCGAACTCCTGACTTCAGGGGATCCACCCGCCTCAGCCTCCCAAAGTGCTGGGATTACAGGCGTGAGCCACCGCACCCGGCCGAGACTGGCATTTGAATCAGTGAATTGTGTAAGGGAGTTCTGCCCTCTCCCAATCTGGGCAGGAACCACCCAATTGTCAGTGGGCCTGGAGAGGATAAAAGAGCAGAGGAAAGAATTCTCTGTCTCTCTCCTGGACCTGGGACACCCATCTTCTCCTGCCCTTGGACATCAGAATTTCCGGTTGTCCGGCCTTTGGGACTTGGACTGAGCCACGCTGCTGGCTTCACCAGTTCTCCAGCTTGCAGATGGCACAGGGTGGGTGAGTGTCAGCCTTGATAATCTCATGAGCCAGTTCCCATGGTAATCCTCTTCTCATTTATCTATATCGCTATCTATCTATCATCTATCTATATCTATCATCTATCATCTATCTATCAACTATCATCTATCTATCATCTCTCTATCAATCTATCATCTGTCTATCTATCTAGCTGTCTATCATCTATCATCTATCATCTATCTGTCATCTGTCATCTATCTATCATCTATCATCTATCTATCTATCTATCTATCTATCTATCTATCTATCTATCTATCTAATCTCCTGTTGGTTCTGTTTCTCTAAAGAACCCTGACACAATACACTTTTCCTATTCATTCGAAACATCATCTTCATTCTGCAGGATTCATCCCTCGCCTAGACGCTGGCGGGGCGGGCCTGGTCTGTCTGCGGGTGCTGTCTGCACACAGCAGGAACGAGTTAGCACTTGCAAATGCTCGCTGCTCCCCGGCGCCGCCCGCATGTCGGCTTGGCTCATCCCGCATCCTGGGCAGAGCCCAGCGTTTGTGTTTGTCCTTGGCCCTGGGCTCGAGGAGATGTTTACACTTTCTGCTTAAATCATAAGAAACTGGATCTGGCCAAGCACTTTCCCCAGATTTAGCCACTTTTCTTGTTTCGACTGCAAATATCTTATCTATTCTCTCGAGATATAAACAGCACAAGGGGATGACCTGGTGTGTTCATCTGACACCAGCCCCATTCAGATGCTGAGTCCGGGGTGCTGTGTGTGGACCAAACATGGGGTAAATAAAAATGGGTATGTCCCCCAGGAGGCAGTACTTGTTTCCTGGCCACCCTCAGGGACCCACCTGGCTCCCAAAGCTAAGCTTGGGGCTCCAACTGCCTATCTCAAGAGGGAGCCTGGGCCAGGTGCAGTGGCTCACGTCTGTAATTCCAGCACTTTGAGAGGCTGAGGTGGAAGGATCACTTGAGCCCAAGAGTTCAAGACCAGCCTGGTCAACATAGTGAGACCCCATCTCTACAAAAAAATTTTTGAAAATTAGCCGAGTATGGTGGTGCATGCCTGTAGTCCCAGCTACTCAGGAGGCTGAGGTGGGAGGATCACTGGATCCCAGGAGTTCGAGGCTGCAGTGAGCCATGATCACACCACTGCACTCCAGCCTGGGCAACAGAACAAGACCCTCTCTCTAAAAAGATAAAAATAAAAATAAAAAATAAAAAGGGCTCCTGAAGTCTAAATGTTCCAGAAACATGGAGAGGGAAACAATGATTTCTTTGAGCAATATGGGTACAGAAATATAGCTAGGTAGGTTGAATAAGATCTACTATTCGGTAACACAACAGGGTAACTACAGTCACCATTAATTACCATACATTTTAAAATAACTGAAAGAGGCCGGGCGCGGTGGCTCACTCCCATAATCCCAGCACTTTGGGAGGCCGAGGCAGGTGGATCACCTGAGGTCAGGAGTTCAAGACCAGCCCAGCCAACATGGCGAAACCCCATCTCTACTAAAAATACAAAAATTAGCTGGGTGTGGTGGTGTGTGCCTGTAATTCCAGCTACTAGGGAGGCTGAGTCAGGAGAATCGCTTGAACCCGGGAGGTGGAGGTGGCAGTGAGCCAAGATTGTGCCACTGCATTCCAGCCTGGATGACAGAACAAGACTCCACCAAAAAAATAAAAATAAAAATAACTAAAAGAGTATAACTGGAATGTATGTAACATGAAGAAATGATACATGTGTCCAGGCACAATGGCTTACACCTGAAATTCCAGCCCCTTGGGAGGCTGAAGCAGGAGGATCACTTGAGCCCAGGAGTTTGAGGCCATACTAGGCAACATGGCAAGACCCCATCTCAGAAAAATATATAATCGATTAAAAAATTTTTAACAAAATGTGAAACATCACAAATGAGGGTTCTCTGTAAGTTCTCTGACCTGTTGATTAGATGCTTTAGAAGCATTCTTTTTTTTTTTTTTCCAAGACAGGGTCTCACTCTGTCACCCAGGCTGGAGTGCAGTGGCATGATCTTGGCTCACTGCAACCTCCACCTCCCTGGTTCAAGCGATTCTCATGCCACAACCTCCCAAGAAGCCAGGATTACAGGTGCACACCACCACGCCCAGCTAATTTTTGTATTTTTAGTAGACATGGGGTTTCACCATGTTACCCAGGCTGGTCTTGAACTCCTGGCCTCAAGGGATCCACCTGCCTCGGCCTCACAAAGTGCTGAAATTACAGGCATGAGCCACCATGCCCGGCCAGATGCATTCTTTCTGGGTTCCACAGAAGGGCCCCCCATTGACCCTGAGACCTGCTGTCTGAGGCACTCCTCCTATTTCCAGGCACGACTCCTTCCCGGGGTGAATATCCCAAGCTTCATTTGAAAGGAGCCGTAATGATGAGGCAAGAAGCCTTTTCCCAATCCTCCCCAAGGGCTGGTGGTGAACCTCACTCCTGTTTTTAAAGCATTAGCTCAATGAGGTGGCAGTGAGGTCCAGGTATCCACTTTTCTTGATTAAACCGAGAATGCCTTTGCCTTCCATAAGGTCCAATTCCAGACTGGGTGTTGGGCTTGATTTAGGCTTGGGGGGCCTCCCGGGCAGGGCAGCAGTGCAAGTCAGCACCTGGTGTGTGGCCAAGATTATATTTCCTGTCCCCAGGTCCAGTGCATGGACACACAGGCTGGCAAAGGAATCGGCCCTCACTGTGACTGTGGGGCTTCCTTCCCTCCTTCCCTGGCCTATTTCTAAGGATGCCTCGCTCATCCCCAGACTCCAAGGATGCCTCTCCAGCTTGGTTTGGGTTTTTGGTGTTTTGGGTTTTTTTTTTTTTTTTTTTTTTTTTGAGACAGAGTCTCGCCCTGTTGCCCAGCCTGGAGTGCAGTAGCACGATCTTGGCTCACTGTAATCTCCACCTCCCAGGTTCAAGCAATTCTCCTGCCTCAGCCTCCTGAGTAGCTGGGATTACGGGTGCATGCCACCACACCCAGCTAATTTTTGTATTTTTAGTAGAGACAAGGTTTCACCATGTTGGCCAGGCTGGTCTCGAACTCCTGACCTCAGGTGATCCGCCCACCTCAGCCTCCCAAAGTGCTGGGATTACAGGTGTGAGCCACCACGCCCAGCCTGGTTTGAGTTTTAAGTGTCACCAGAGGCAGACTGGGGACTCCAGGGCAGAGACTCACTCTTCCTTAGTTACATTTCATCCCAGCCATGGCCATGACCCCTATTGTCTCCCCGAAGTGTATCAAGGCTACTCAGCTGCAAAGTGAGGGGTTGGCTCTCACCCCAAAATGTGGAGGGTTGGCTGGACGCAGTGGCTCATTCCTGTAATCCCAGCACTTTGGGAGGCCGAGGCAGGAGGATTGCTTGAGGCCAAGAGGTCGAGACCATCCTGGGCAATATAGCCAGACCCCCATATCTAAAAAAAAAAAAAAAAGCAAAAAATTGGAGGGTCCTAGGGGGTGTCAGGGCCAATATGTTCTAAGGTCACTCTGACCCACCCTCCTTTCAGATGAGGAAACTGAGGCTGAGAAGGCAGGTAAGCCTATCCAGGCCCACAGTGGGGCTTCCAGACTCCCAGGTCCTCCTCCCTGGTGCAAAGACCACAGGATACCAGGGAATGGGTCACCTCAATAGACAGCACAGGGACGTGGTTAAAAGCACAGGCCCGGGGCTCACACTGCCCAGGCTCAGCCTCTTCTCAGCCACTTACCAACCCCAGGACACCGAATAGCCATTTAACTCCTCTTTAATAGCCATTGAGCTTCAGAGAGTCCATTCATAAAATAGATAAAAATAGAAGCTGTTCCATGCAATAGATGCCCAGTATCTGACATGCAGTGAAGCACTCAATAAATTCTAGATATTATTGTTATTAATGTAGACATCTTTCATCAGATTCTCTTTGTGAATTACAGCAAGTTTATAGGCTGGGGGGTGGATATTGAGAGCACTTCTTTGCTATTTGTGGCTAGGCTTGTAAATCTGAAGGGTTGCTTTGGTTTGCTATTAGCATTCAATTGTGCCTAGAGATACTGTATAAATTTTAAAAAGCCTGTTTATGCCAGGTGTTGTGGCTCACGCCTGTAATCTCAACATTTTGGGAGGCTGAGGTGGGAAGACAACTTGAGTCCAGGAGTTTGAGACCAGCCTGGACAACATAGTGAGTCCCTGTTTCTTTCTTTCTTTCTTTTCTTTTTTTTTTTTTTTTTAAAAAGCCTGTTTGTGATGACTGTTCTAGACATAGATACTTTTACTTCAATGGAAGAGGATATTTGATATTATATCTTCCTGAATAAATGTACATAATCTATCCTATTAAAAAAAAAAAAAAACCCCAGCCAGGCGTGGTGGCTCATGCCTGTAATCACAGCACTTTGGGAGGCCGAAGTGGGCAAATCACGAGGTCAGGAGATCGAGACCATCCTGGCTAACACGGTGAAACCCTGTCTGTACTAAAAATACAAAAAATTAGCAGGGCGTGGTGGCGGGCGCCTGTAGTCCCAGCTACTCAGGAGGCTGAGGCAGGAGAATGGCGTGAACCCGGGAGGCAGAGCTTGCAGTGAGCCGAGATGGTGCCACTGCACTCCAGCCTGGGCGACAGAGCGAGACTCTGTCTTAGAAAAAAAAAAAAAATTCCCAGCCAGGTGTGGTAACTTACACCTGTAATCCCAGCACTTTGGGAGGCCAAGGCAGGCGGATCACAAAGTCAGTAGTTCGAGACCAGCCTGACCAAAATTGTGAAACCCCATCTCTACTAAAATACAAAAATTAGCCGGGCGTGGTGGCACATGCCTGTAATCCCATCTACTCAGGAGGCTGAGGCATGACAATCGCTTGAACCCAGGAGGTAGAGGTTGCAGTGAGCCGAGATCGTGTCACTGCACTCCAGTCTGGGCGACAGAGCGAAACTCCACCTCAAAAAAAAAAAAAAAAATTCCAGCTCTATCCAAAACACAGGCAATAACAAATGCTGGCAAGGTTGTGGAAAAGGGGGAACCCTCATACACTCTTGGTAGGAATGTAAATTAGTACATCAACTATAGAGAACAGTTTGGAGGTTCCTCAAAAAACTAAAAATACAGCTATGACACGATCCAGCAATCCCACTGCTAGATTTATCCCCAAAAGAAAGGAAATCAGTCTATGAAAGAGATCTCTGCATTTCATGTTTATTGCACCACTGTTCACAGTAGCCAAGATTTGGAAGCAACTTAAGTGTCCATTGACAGATGAACGGATAAAGAAAATGCGGTATTTATACACAATGGAGTACTATTCAGCCATAAAAAGAATGAGATTCTGTCATTTGCAACAACATGGATGGAAGCAAAGTTCTTTCTGTTAAGTGAAATAACCCAGGCACAGGAAGACACACTTTGCATGTTCTTCCTTATTCATGGGAGCTAAAAATTAAAAATAATTGAACTCAGGCCAGACGCGCTGGCTCACGCCTGTAATCCCAGCACTTTGGGAGGCTGAAGCAGGTGTATTACTTGAGGTCAGGAGTTCAATACCAGCCTGGCCAACATGGTGAAGCCCTGTCTCTCCTAAAAATACAAAAATTAGCCGAGCATGGTAGCACGCGCCTGTAATCCCAGCTACTTGGGAGGCTGAGGCAGGAGAATGGCCTGAGCCTGGGAGGTGAACGATGCAGTGAGCCGAGATCGTGCCACTGGACTGCAGCCTGGGCGACAGAGCAAGACTCCATCTAAGAAATTAATTAATTAATTAAAACAAAATAAAATAATTGAACTCATGGAGATAGAGAATAGAAGGATGGTTACCAGAGGCTGGGAAGGGTAGGTGGCAGGGGCGGGTGAAAGAGGGGATGGTTAATGGGTGCAAAAAATAGTTAGAAAAAATGAATAAGACCTTGTATTTGATAGTACCACAGGGTGACTACAGTCAATAGGAATTGTGCATTTTAAAATAACTAAAAGAGTATAACTGGATTGTTTGTAACACAAAGGATAAGCGCTTGAGGAGATGGATACCCCATTTATCCTGATATGATTTTTTTTGAGACGGAGTCTTGCTCTGTTGGCCAGGCTGGAGTGCAGTGTCACTATCTCAGCTCACTGCAACTTCTGCCTCCCGGGTTCAAGCAATTCTCATGCCTCAGCCTCCCGAGTAGCTGGGATTACAGGCATGGGCCACCACACCCGGCTTATTTTTGTATTTTTAGTAGAGACGGGGTTTCACCATGTTGGTCAGGCTGGTCTCGAACTCCTGACTTCCTGACCCACCCGCCTCGGCCTCCCAAAGTGCTGGGATTACAGGTGTGAGCCACTGCGCCCGGCCCCCCGATGTGATTATTATACATTGCATGCCTGTATCAAAATGTCTTATGTGCCCCATAAATATATACACCTACTATGTACCCACAAAAATAAAAAAAAAAAAATTCGAGTCGTTGGTGAAGGATTAGGATGGATCTCAAGGTTTTGTGCCTGGAAGTCCCCTTCACCCTTCTGCACTCACCTCTGCACACATTTCTGTCTTTAAATGACATCCATCAATCAACTACATTGATGTAGTTGTAGTGCTGCTCACTGCACAATCAGGACTGTTTGCAGAGTAGGCATTTGGAACATCACTCCATGGGTCGCCACTGAGGCAGAGCCAAAGGTGAGTAACTGTGGCAACTCACAATGTAGTATTCCGGTGGAGAAAACCAACAAAGTAAAAAAACAGTCCACAAGAGGATGCCTGCCTCCCTCCCTCCCTCCCTCCTTCCCTCCTTCCCTCCTTTCATTCCTTTTTTTTTTTTTTTTTTGAGACGGAGTCTTGCTCTGTCACCCAGGCTGGAGTGCAGTGGTGCGATCTCGGCTCACCGCAAGCTCTGCCTCCCGGGTTCACACCATTCTCCTGCCTCAGCCTCCCTAGTAGCTGGGACTACAGGTGCCCGCCACCGCACCTGGCTAATTTTTTGTATTTTTAGTAGAGACGGGGTTTCACCGTGTTAGCCAGGATGGTCTCGATCTCCTGACCTTGTGATCCACCCGCCTCTGCCTCCCAAAATGCTGGGATTACAGGCGTGAGCCACCGCGCCTGGCTGGACTGCATGCCTGCCTGCCTGCCTGCCTTCCTTCTTTCCTTCCTTCCTTCCTTCTTTCCTTCCTTTCTTCCTTTCTCTCTTTCTCTTTTCTTTCTTTCTTTTCCTTTCTTTCTTCTTTCCCCTTCTTCCTTCCTTCTGCCCCCTTTCCTTTTTTTCTTTTCTTTCTTCCTTTCTCTTTCCTTTTCTTTTGTCTCTTTCTCTTTCCTTTCTCTTCTTTCTTTCTCTCTCCTTCTTCCTTACTTCTCTCTTTCTTGCTTTCTCTCTCTCTCTCTTTCCGTGTGTGTGTGTGTGTGTGTGTGCACACTGACATTCATGACTCCAGCTCCCCAAGATGGGGCGTCTTTGTCCGTGGGATCCAGTGGAGATTTTCTTTCTGCCTGGATTGCAAATCTGGGGCAGGAAAGCAGAAAAAGTATCAGGAAGCCAGGCATGGTGACACGCACTTGTAGTCCCAGCTACTTGGGACACTGCCGCTAGAGGATCCCTTGAGCCTGGGAGTTCAAGGCTGCAATGGCTATGATCGCACCACTGCACTTCAGCCTGGGTGACATAGCAAGACCCTGTCTCTAAAAAAAAAAAAAAAAAAGTATTAGAGAACTGCCACTTAATGCAAGAAAAGGGAAACTGCACTAGGAAAACATATGCATAATTTAACAAAAGGAACACGAATATTTGATGAAGGTGCAGGAGGAACATACTCTCATACACGGTTAGAGAATGAATTAGTTTCAACTTTCTAAAACCCTACCTGGCAAATAAAGTCTTTACATTTTTAAAAGTATATAGTTTTTGGTCTGTGCATATTTGTGTGTGTACAGAAAAACACTGGAAGGCGCTAGGCAAACATTTATAGTGGTTTTACCTAGTTGAAGGAATTATGGATAATTATTTTTATGTTTTCTTATAATTTCTTCCAATGCTTCTGCCTTTCCTCAAAAATGTTTTTTTTTTTTTTTGAGACAGAGTCTTGCTCTGTTGCCCAGGCTGGGGTGCAGTGGCGTGATCTCAGCTCACTGCAATCTCCACCTCCCGGGTTCAAGCGATTCTTCCGTCTCAGCGTCCTGAGTAGCTGAAATTACAGGCATGCACCACCATATGCCCGGCTAATTTTTGTATTGTTAGTAGAAACGGGGTTTCACCCTTTTGGCCAGGCTGGTCTCGAACTCCTGACCTCAAGTGATCCGCCCGCCTCAGCCTCCCAAAGTGCTGAGATTACAGGCGTGAGCCACTGCGCCCAGCCCAAGACAAGACATCTTTAAAAGGAAGGGGGAAGGAAAGAAAGGGCTCGACAAATGTGGGCACGCAGGGAGATGCCTTCATTTGCACACATGAGTCAGGTCAGGTCCACCTGGGGGGCAGAGGAGGAAACTGAGCTTCCAAACTAATATTTCTCCCAACACAAAGACTCGGGACCATGATTACAGCTAGTTCTGTGGCCCAGGGCAGGCAATCTAATCCCTCTGAGACTCAGTTTATTTATTTATTTATTTATTTATTTATTTATTTATTTATTTAGAGATGGAGTCTCACTCTGTCACCCAGGCTGGAGTGCAGTGGCGCGATTTCAGTTCACTGCAACTTCTGCCTCCCGGGTTCCAGCGATTCTCCTGCCTCAGCCTCCTGAGTAGCTGGGACTACAGGTGCCCGACACCACGCCTGGCTAATTTTTTTATATTTTTAGTAGAGACGGGGTTTCACCATATTGGCCAGGCTGGTCTCGAACTCCTGACCTTGTGATCTGCCCACCTTGGCCTCCCAAAATGCTGGGGTTACAGGTGTGAGCCACTGCACCCAGACTATTCTTTCTTATTTTTTTAGAGACAGGGTCTTGCTCGGTCGCCCAGGCTGGAGTGTAGTGGCGCAATCATAGCTCTCTACAGTCTCCAACTTCTGGGCACAAGTGACCCTCCCACTTCAGCCCCCTGAGTGACTGGGACCGCACTTGGCTCTTTTTTTTTTTTTTGGAGAGATGAACGCTCACTATGATGCCCAGGCTGGTGTTAAACTCCTGGGTTCAAGCAACCCTCTTGCCTCTTCCTCCCAAAGTGCTGGGATTACAAATGTGAGCCACTGCGTCCAGTTGATTTGTATTTTTTAATCTGAAGCTGCTCTGGTGTTAGGACTGACTTGCTTCCTGAGTACAGATTTAGATGTCACTACAGTACTGATTCCCGAGTGCCCTGAGGCACGCGTCCTCCTGTGTGGGGAGTCCTTATGGTCCCTTCCGGGCTTGATTCTTCTCAAATGTTTAAGCATTTTTATTTATGTATTTATTTTTTTGAGACAGAGTCTTGCTGTGTTGCCCAGGCTGGAGTACAGTGGTGCAATCTCAGCTCACTGCAACCTCTGCCTCCCAGGTTCAAGCGATTCTCCCACCTCAGCCTCCCAAGCAGCTGGGACTGCAGACACGTACCACAACACCTGGCTGATTTTTTTTTTTTTTTTGAGACAGAGTCTTGCTGTGTTGCCCAGGCTGGAGTGCAGTGGCAAGATCTCGGCTCACTGGAAGCTCTGCCTCCTGGGTTCACGCCATTCTCCTGCCTCAGCCTCCCGAGTAGCTGGGACTACAGGCGCCCGCCTCCACGCCCAGCTTTTTGTATTTTTAGTAGAAACGGGGTTTCACCGTGTTAGCCAGGATGGTCTCGATCTCCGGACCTCGTGATCTGCCCACCTTGGCCTCCCAAAGTGCTGGGATTACAGGCATGAGCCACAATGCCCAGTGAAGTGAAACACTTTGTATGCTCTCCCTGCTCCAGAGACAGAGGCCACTTCCCAAAAAGACATGAGGCCACGGACACGCAGTGAGCTGGCAATCTGTGCTTAGTTTTATTTCCTGGAATTGGCAAGGGGAGTCACTGCTCTCAATTGGACATCGAACTTCCAAATGGTGAAAAATGAGGGTTGTGTGTATATCATGGGTATCTCTGTGTGTATGTGCGTGTGTGTGTGTTTGTGTGTGTGTGACAGAGAGAGACTCTGAGAGAGAGAGAGATAGAGATCGAGTTTGGCGGTTGGGCACAGTGGCTCACACCTGTAATCCCAGCACTTTGTGAGGCCGAGGCGTGTGGATCACTTGAGTTCAGAAATTTGAGATCAGCCTGGCCAGCATGGTGAAACCCCATCTATACTAAAAATACAAAGATTAGCCGGGCATAGTGATGCACGCCTGTAATCCCAGCTACTCGGGAGGCTGAGCAGGAGAATCGCTTGAACCCAGGAGGCAGAGGTTGCAGTGAGCCGAGATCATGCCACTGCACTCCAGCCTGGGCAACAGAGCAAGACTCCGTCTCAAAAAATAAATAAATAAAATAAAATAAAATAAAATAAAATAAAGAGTCTGGGGAGCTACAGAGAGGGGATAGCAGAGTTATTTCGCCCTGGGCTGTAGTCATCCTTGTTGAAATCTGACTTCGTTCATTCCATGGAATTTGGGGAGGGGGGTGTATATGGAATAAATGTGTCTGGGATAGCTGCATTCAGCATTGCATACACCCAGCTAGGGAGATGGATCACCTTCTCAGGACAGCTTGATCCAGCTGCCTGCTTGGGGTCGGAAGCAAAGACAAACCGGGACCTCCACAAGAAGTCCCATCCCCTGGATACAAACAGGGGGAGGGTGGTGGCAGCACCTGGCTTCTTACTGCATGCAGGTATCAGTTGGCCACGGGAAGCCCCATTTCAACACCTTCAGAGGCCATCTGTCAAGTGCAACTATTCTAGATCCTACAGCTGTGATCACATGCACTGAGTGGGTGTGAAGAGCTGGGCGTCCAGGACTTTCCAGCCCAACCCCGCAGGGTCTTTCTTCTTGGCCCCAGTCTCTGGCTTCTGTTGACGTAGCTGCGAGGACAAGCTCTCTTTCCCCACATTCAGGACTGTCACGCCATCCACATGCAGTGTGAGGTCGGCCTTTCCTGGGGTGGTTGAAGAATCAGTGTGCAATTTGCAGTTGACCTTTATTATTATATTATATTATATTATATATATTATATTATATTATATTATATTAATTTAAATAGAGACTATGTTGCTCAGGCTGGAGTGCAGTAGCTATTCACAGGTGTAATCCCACTGCTGATCAGCACGGGAGTTTTGACCTGCTCTGTTTCTGACCTGGACCGGTTCACCTCTCCTTAGGCAACCTGGTGGTCCCCTGCTTCTGGGAGGTCACCAATGAATGCCAAACTCCTGGGATTGAGCGATCTCCTCACCTCAACCTTCCAAGTAGCTGGGACTACAGGCATGAGCCACCACACCCAGCGCAGTTGACATTTCTTATGTGCACCCAGAAATGTCATCCTGGTGACCAAGGAGAGTATATGATGCCCCCTGCTTATAAGAGCCCAGTGCCCACACTATAATGGGGTTACCAAGTGTCTATCAATGCTCAGACAAAAAGTCTTCCATGAGAAGGAGTGAAGCTCAGCCAGGCACAGTGGCTCACGTCTATAATCCCAGCACTTTGGGAAGCAGAGGAGGGAGGATTACTTGAGGCCAGGAGTTCGAGACTAGCCTGGACAACACAGTGAGACCCAACCCCCGCCACACACACACCCAAAAATTAAAAAATTAGCCTAGCACGTTTGCAAGTGCCTGTGGTCCCAGCTACTCAGGAGGCTGAGTCGGGAGGACTGCTTGAGCCCAGGAGGTCAAGGCTGCAGTGAGCTATGATAACATCACTGCACTGCAGCCTGGGCAACAGAGCAAGACCCTGCCCCTAAAAAAAAATTAAAACATTAATAATAAAAATAAAATAAAGATCACCCAGGCAGCTTAAAACTCAGGTTATCCCTGTGATCAGTGCTGCAAGGTATTGACCATTAGCATTGACCAGTGTCTTCAAGAAGCTTCCATCAGAGGCTGCAAAATGGTACCCACAGGCCAAGCCCGGCTGTAGATTGCCTTGACTGGCCCATGAAGAGTTTGAAAATAATTGTAACTAACTGCCAATATTCAAACATTTGGAGATTTCCTGTGGAAAAAAAATTCTGCATTTTCCAATTCTCTGGCCACGCGGAGCCCGCATTCGGGCCTAGTAAGTGCCCAGGAGCTGGGCTACAAATGCAGCTACCCCCTTTAGAGTTGGCCTTGGTGTCCACAGGCCTCTCTCCCAGGGGCGGGTCTGCTCAGGCCTGTGGACACCTCTCCAGCCCTGCTGGAAAAGTGCAATTCCTGGAGTGTGTTCTGACCAGGAAGGACTCCTCAGAGCTCCTGAGGAAGGCATGGGCCCCTGGCCTGAGGCTCACTGCAGCTGTCCCAACCCTGTCACCAGCTCTGGGCTGTGGTTTGGTTTGGTTTGGTTTGATTTTAGAGACACAGTTTCACTATGTGATCCAGGCTGGAGTGCAGTGGTGCAATCATAGCTCACTGCAGCCTTGAACTCCTGGCCTCAAGTGATCCTCCCACCTCAGCCTCCTGAGTAGCAGGGACTATAGGTGCCCACCACCACATCTGGTTCATTTCTAAATTTTTTTGTAGAGATGTTGCCCAGGCTAGTCTTGAACTCCTGACCTCGAGCAATCCTCCTGCCTCAGCCTCCCAAAGTGCTGCAATTATAGGCTTGCATCACCCCACCTGGCTGATTTTTATTTGCCTATTTATTTATTTATTTATTTTTGAGACAAGGGTCTTATTCTGTCACCCAGGCTGGAGTGCAGTGGCACAGTCATAGCTCACTGCAGCCTCAAACTCCTGGCCTCAAACGACCCTCCCACCTCAGTCTCCTGAGTAGCTGTTCATGCTCAACACCTGGCTCATTTTTAAGTTATTTGTAGAGATGGGATCTTGCCATTTTTCCCAGAGTGGTCTTGAACTCCTCCTGGCCTCCAACGATCCTCCTGCCTTGGCCTCCTAAAGTGTTGGGATTACAGGGGTGAGCTGTTGCACCAGACCCCAGTGTTTGTCTCTGAGGGACTTCCCCACACATGACCTCACCTGACCTTCAGAGAAACCATCCAGAGGGAAAAGGGACAAGGTCATTACCTGCGCAGGGAGAGCCCTTGGGCCGGGTAAATGGCGCAAGGTATGGGCTGAAGCTTCCCTTGGGGAGGGAAGGGACATAGGTCATGGGACAAGGTGATGTGGCCTGGACACGGTGGGGCACTTTCTCATCCTGGGTGAAAGTAAGGACGTAGGAAGGATGGGAGCATGGAGTAATAGCAGAGTGGGTGACATGAGAAAGTGGAGGCCCGGCCTGAAAACGGAGGGGGACAATGGTGGGAGGTGATGGGCGGTGGAGATGCCAGCCCGGCCCAGCCGAGACTCAGAGCTGTGGCAGCGGCGCCCCCTGGTGGCCGTGATGGTGCCTGCTTCCCCTTCCCTGGAGATTTGATGGCAACATCACGGGAGAAATGATTCAAAGCTGAGCAGGTGCCAGGCACCGTTCAATGTACACGATACATGGGTGTTTCTCTTTTAAATTTTTTATTTAAAAGATTATTTTAAAAAATTTTAACGGGCAATTTTCCTTGGGTCTTGAAGTCATCATTTCTTTTTCTTTTTTTTTTCTGAGAGTCTCATTCTTTTGCCCAGGATAGAAAGCAGGGGCACAATCACAGCTCACTGCAGCCTCGACCTCCCACCTCCCAGGCTCAAGCAATCCTCCCACCTCAGCCTCCCGAGTAGATTGGACTACAGGTGCACACCACCACGCCCACCCAATTTATATATATTTTTTGTAGTGAGGAGATCTCACTGTGTTGCCCTGGCTGGTCTTGAACTCCTGTGCTCAAGTGATCCTCCCACCTCGGCCTCCCAAAGTGCTGGGATTACAGATGTGAGCCACCACGCCCAGCCTGCGTGGGTGTTTCTACAAAATCTTAAGTATCTCTCACAGCAACCCTGTGATTGCCACTATTATCACTATCCCTTTTCACAGCTGAGGAGACCCAGGTTCTGAGAACTGAGGACCGTGATATATCCTATGCAGTGCTATACTGGGATTTGAGAAACCCAGGCCCACCCAACCCACTTCAAAAACAAAGGTAGGCCAGGCGCAGTGGCTCACGCCTGTAATCCCAGCACTTGGGGAGGCCGAACCAGGTGGATCACTTGAGGTGAGGAGTTCGAGACCAGCCTGGCCAATATGGTGAAACCCTGTCTCTACTAAAAATAGAAAAATGAGCCAAGCATGGTGGTGGGCGCCTGTAGCCCCAGCTACTCGGGAGGCTGAGGCATAAGAATTGTTTGAACCTGGGAGACGGAGGTTGCAGTGAGCTGAGATCGCGCCATTGCATTCCAGCCTGGGTGACAGAGCAAGACTCTGTCTCAAAAAAAAAAAAAAATGTAGATCCAGCAATTCCACTTCTGGGTAGATGCTCCAAAGAATTGAAAGCAGGGACTCCAGCTGATATTTGTGGGATTTTTTAACCTCTTTTTTTTTTTTTTTTGAGATGGGGTCTGACTCTGTCCCCCAGGCTGGAGTGCAGTGGCAAGATCATAGGTCACTGCGGCCTCAACCTCCAGGCTAAAGCAATCCTCTTGCCTCAGCCGCTCAAGTAGCTGGGACTACAGGCATTCCCCACCATGCCCAGCTAACTTTTTTATTTTTTGTAGAGATGGGGTCTTGCTATGTTGGCCAGGCTGGTCTCAAACTCCTGGCTTCCAGCAATCCTCCCACCTCAGCCTCCCAAAGTGCTGGGATGACAGGCCTGAGCCACTGCACCCGTCCTCAACAGATATTTGTACACCCATGTTCATTGCAGCATTATTCACAATAGCCAAGAGGTAGAAGCAACCCAGGAGTCCACCTACCAATGAATGAACAAAATGTGTCTGTCCATACAATGAAATATTATGTAGCCCTGAAAAGGAAATAAATGCTGACACCTGCTACTGCATGGAGGAACCTTGAGGACATTATGCTCAGTGAAATCAGACAGTCACAGCTGGGCGCTGTGGCTCACACCTGTAATCCCAGCACTTTGGGAGGCTGAGGTAGGAGGATCACTTGAGCCCAAGAGTTCAAGACCAGCCTGAGCAATAAAGTGAGACCTCATCTCTACAAAAAAATTTTAAAAGCCAAGTGTGGTGGTGTATTCCTGTAGTCCCAGCTTCTAGAGAGGCAGAGGTGGGAGGACTGCTTGAGCCAGGGAGGCAGAGGTTGCAGTGAGCAGAGATCATGCCACTGCACTCCAGCCTGTGGGACAAAGCCAAACCCTGTCTCAAAAAAAAAAAAAAAAAGAAGAAGAAGAAGAAAGAAGGGAAGGAAGGGAGGGAGCGGAGGAGAGGAAATAAGTCAGTCACAAAGAGGCAAATATGGCCGGGTACAGTGGCTCACACCTGTAATCCCAGCACTTTGGGAGGCGGAGGAAAGTGGATCACTTGAGGTCAGAAGTTTGAGACCAGCCTGGCCAACATGGTGAAATCCTGTCTCTAATAAAATACAAAAAATTAGCTTGGCATGGCGGCGCACGCCTGTAATCTCAGCTACTTGGGAGGCTGAAGCACAAGAATCACTTGAACCCAGGAGGCAGAGGTTGCAGTGACCCAAGATTGTGCCACTGCACTCCAGCCTGGATGACAGAGTGAGACTCGTCTCAAAAAAAAACAACAAAAAGGCCGGGCGAGGTGGCTCATGCACTTTGGGAGGCTGAGGTGGGTGGATCACCTGAGGTCAGGAGTTCAAGACCAGCCTGGCTAACATGGCAAAACCCCGTTTCTACTAAAAATACAAAAAAATTAGCCGGGCGTGGTGGTGCGCGCCTGTAATCCCAGCTACTCAGGAGGCTGAGGCAGGAGAATCGCTTGAACCTAGGAGGCAGAGGTTGCAGTGAGCCGAGATTGCACCACTGCACTCTAGCTTGGGCAACAAGAGCAAAACTCCAAAAAAAAAAAAATGGCAAATACAGCATGATTCCACTTATATAATGTACCTAGAATAGTCAAACTGATAGAGACAGAAAAAAAGTAAAATGTTGGTTATCAGAGCCTGGGGATAAGGGGGATGGAGAGTGAGGGTTAATGGGGACAGTTTCAGTTTGGGAAGATGGAAAAGTTCTGGAGATGGATGGTGGTGACAGTTGCATAATATTTTGTTTATTTCTCTCTCTGTCTCTCTTTTTTTTGAGACAGAGTCTCGCTCTGTTGCCCAAACTGGAGTATGGTGGCGCAACCTCGGCTCACCACAACCTCCGCCTCCCAGGTTCAAGCAATTCTCCTGCCTCTGCCCCCTGAGTAGCTGGGATTATAGGTGCACACCACCACACCCAGCTAATTTTTGTATTTTTAGTAGAAACGGGGTTTTGTCACGTTGGCCAGGCTAGTCTTGAATTCCTGACCTCCTGCCTGCCTCAGCCTCCTAAAGTGCTGGTGTTACAGGCGTGAGCCACCATGCCCAGCCCGGTTGCACAATATTTTTGATGTAATAAATGCCACTGAATTGTACCCTCAAAAATAGCTAAAATGGCAAATTTTATGTTATGCATATTTTACCATAATTAAAAAAAAAAAAAAGCAAGTGTAGGATCCACTCCCAGCCGGGGCTCTGGCCCTGCCCTGGCCCCACAATGGAGGAAGGTGCTTCTCTCCCATTAAGGTGGACACGCATTGACCAGGATTTTGAGCATGTGGTTTTTCCCTTCCCTAGCCCGGGCCTCGACCTTCTATGACAATCCGCTTTCCTCTTTCATGTGATTTTACTTTCCCAGACTGGAACATTCGCTTTCTGTTCACTTTACTAAACGACTCTTAGACATCCAACCCCTCTCTGTCCTCTCTCTTCCCTGAAGCTTCCTTGGCACACGACACACCTAGGCAAGCCTGGGTGGGTAGAGGAGTGGTTCACCCCATCCCTGGAACAGGCTCAGGGGCTTTCGGGCATAAAGGCCTCCTCCCTGGCTTGATGGTCAACCTGTGCCCAGTGTCACATCCATCAAATGACTTTGTATTTCCCAGCTTCTCTTCCACCCCCACTCTCTTGGGAGAGGTCAGGCCCTTCCAGCCCAGAGTAGGGGTCAGTGTGGACCTGGGATTTGATGTATACTCTAAACTTGGAGAAAAAAAATGGTTAAAAAGTCCCCCAAGGGCAGCAGGAAATCAGGCTCTGTCCCCAGATGCATTTGTGACGAAAGGGATTAGACTCTTTGCAGCTCCTGTTAAAACCAGCCACCGCGTCCATAGGTTGATCCAAGAATTCTCTGCAAAGTCTGTAAAATTCCATCCTTGGTCTTGCTTGCTTTAATGACAGTCTTTCACATTTTTGTCCTAACGTGTTCCTTCTCAGCCTGATTTTTTAACAAACTGGCAACTTTGAAATGTAAAACAGTGAAATCTAGAATTTTCTCCCAGAGAAAACTTTTCCAGAGAGAACACACACAAACACACACACACACACACCCCCATCAATTGAGAACCATATGCTAAGAGCAACTATGTTTACTTTACAAAAGAATAATGTCTTGGCTGGGCACGGTGGTTCATGCCTGTAATCCCAGCACTTTGGGAGGCCGAGACAGGCAGATCACTTGAGCTCAGGAGTTCGAGACCAGCCTGGGCAACATGGTGAAACCCCATCTCTACAAAAAAAATTAGCCGGATGTGGTGGCACGTGCCTGCAGTCCTAGCTACTTGGGAGGCTGAGGTGGGAGGATCACTTGAGCCTGGGAAGTGGAGGTTGCAGTGAGCCAAGATTGCACCACAGCACTCCAGCCTGGGAGACAGAGTGAGATGCTGCCTCAATAATAATAATAATAATAATAATAATAATAATAATAATAATAACAACAATAACAACAACAACATCTTGAAATATCCATTTCTGTCTCTTTCTTGCCACTGGAGACAAAACAGTGAGCCAGGTTGCAATTTTTTTTTCCCATTCCTCACTCCTGGAGGCAGCCAGGCCACTGGGTTCTGAGCTCCTTGTCTCCAGAGAGTTGAGAAGAACATGCTAGAGTCAGCTTGCTTCAAGTCTCAGCTCTACCATTTGCTAACTTTGGGTAAATCATTCAAGCCTCGGTTTCCCCATCTGTAAAACAATGAAGATTATCAATGTAACTACATCCTACATGCAGTAGGCAGCAGACTACAAGGGTGTCTCGAGACCAGCAGAGGCAACATAGTCTTGCTCTGTCACCCAGGCTGGAGTGCAGTGGTGCGATTATAGCTCACTGCAGCCTTGAACTTCTGGGGTTCCAGCGATCCTCCTGCCTTAGCCTCCCAAGTAGCTGGGACTACGGGCACATGCTATCACGCCTCACTAACTTTTTAACTTTTTTGTAGAGATGGGGTCTCGCTATGTTACCCAGGCTGGTCTTAAACTCCTTGCCTCAAGCATTCCTCTTGCCTCTACCTCCCCAAGCAGTGGGACTACAGGCGTGAGCCACTGTGCCTGGCTAATTTTTAAATTTGTGGCAGAGACAGGTGTCGCACGACGTTGCCCAGGCTGAGTCTATATTTTCATACGGTCATTATTCCCCATGTTCAACTTAGAGGCAAAGTCTTATTATTATGGTTGTAGTTGAGAAAACCTGGGCTCAGCAATATAACAAGGTTCATCTGAGGTCAGCCAGTTTATAGCACACCTGGGTTGGGGCTGGACCCCACCCACCTCCCTCCCCTGCCCCGCCCACCAACTTTTCTGTTGGGTACAAGGTGCTGCCTACATAATGCAAAATATCCACAGTAAATTACAGCGAGGTGAGGCTGGAGCTGTAGTCTGCATGACAAAGCAGTCTTTAACACACAAACACACACTGCAGTAATCACCACATACAGTATTCCCCTGTGAGAGTTAGTTGGCTTTCAGGTTGAAAATAAGCTGATTCTTTGAAACAAGAAACATGTCAGATTACTTTGCCAAAAAGAGATTCAGATACTTTTTTTTTGAGACAATGTCTTGCTCTGTTGCCCAGGCTGAGTGCAGTAATGCAATCATGGCTCACTGCAGCCTCGACCTCCTGGGCTCAAGTGATCCTCCTGCCTCAGCCTCCTGAGTAGCTGGGACCACAGACATGCACCACCACACCTGGCTAATTTTTTATTTTTTGAAGAGATAGAGCCTCACTATGTTGCCCAGGCTGACCTCAAACTCTTGGGCTCAAGCAATGCTCCCGTCTTAGCCTCCCAAAGTGCTGAGATTACTGGCATTACAGGCGTGAGCCATAGCACCCGGCCTCAGACACACAGGACGAAATCTCCAAACTGCTTCTCTATAAAGGACAGAGGGTGACTCAAGAACGTGAGCTCGGCTGGGTGTGGTGGCTCACACCTCTAATCTCAGCACTTTGGGAGGCCAAGGCGGGTGGGTCACTTGAGGTCAGGGTTCGAGACCAGCCTGGCCAACATGGTAAAACCCCATCTCTACTAAAAATAAGAAAATTAGCCAGGCATGGTGGCAGGTGCCTGTAATCCCAGCTACTCGGGAGGCTGAGGCAGGAGAATCACTTGAACCTGGGGGGCGGAGGTTGCAGTGAGCCGACATCGCGCCATTGCACTCCAGCCTGGGTGACAGAGTGAAACTGCGTCTCAGAAAAGAAAAAAAAAGAACGTGAGTTCAAGGAACCTGACCCTCACGCCGTCTTGTTTCCACCTTGGGTGTTTATTTCCTTGTTTATTTGTGTTTCTTTTCTCCTTCCCCAGAAAGCTGACTTCATGAGACCGAGGATCTCATTCATTGATCGATGCTACATATTCAGCATGTTGGATAATGAGGTTGGTGAGATTAATGAAATCCCGTCCACCAGGGCCGACCCACAAAGAGACTTTTTATGAAGAACATGCTCCTGAACTCCGCTCCAGAACCAGCTTTTGAAAAGAAAAATCTGAAAAAATTTGACCTCAGTTAAACTAGTCCAAATCCCTGAGCATAACCAAATCTTTCCTCATTCACTCTTCCCTTGGACCATGTTTAGTTCAGTTGCTGATGACAATATTTGTTTTAGTAAGGTTGTCACTCTACCTTGGGTGAAGATTTGGGTTCTGTGGACTGATGTTTTTATTTTATTTTATTTCTTCATTTTATTTATTTATTTTAATTTACTTTATTTTATTTTATTTATGTTATTTTATTTTTTTTAGTTGAGACAGGGTCTCACTCTGTTACCCAGGCTGGAGTGCAATGATGTGATCGTAGCTCAATGCAGCCTCAAACTCCTGGGATCAAGTGATCCTCCTGCCTCAGCCTCCCGAGTAGCTGGAACCACAGATGCATGCCGCCACGCCCAACTATTTTTTTTTTTTTTTTTTTTTTGGTAGAGACAGGGTCTCGCTATGTTGCCTAGGCTGGTCTCTAACTCCTGGGCTCAAGCCTACCTCAGACTCCCAAAATGCTGGGATTACAGGTGTGAGCCATTAGGCCTTGCCAAGATGTCTTGATTTAAAACAAAGCCCTCTTCTGTGTTTGACACAGGGCCTTTCCACTCATGCTTGTGCCCTCTGCCACGGTGCTGTGGTTCTCACCCTGGGATTTTTATTCCCTCTGATGTGCCTTCCTCTGGTGACATCTATAGGCAGCTGCGTAATTCATGCCCACAAAGAAGGACAAACCGAGGAGGCTGGAGAAGTCAGGGTTCCTCTGGAAATAAATATTCTGTATTCTGTTGCATGCACACATATATGCACTTTTTTTTTTTTGAGATGGAGTTTTGCTCTTGTTGCCCAGGCTGGAGCACAATGGCATCATCTCGGCTCACTGTAACCTCCTCCTCCTGGGTTCAAGTGATTCTCCTGCTTCAGCCTCCTGAGTAGCTGGGATTACAGGTGCTTACCACTACGCCCGGCTAATTTTTGTATTTTTAGTAGAGATGGGGTTTTGCCATGTTGGCCAGGCTGGTCTCAAACTCCTGACCTCAGGTGATCTGCCCACCTCGGCCTCCCAAAGTGCTGGGATAACAGGTGTGAGCCACCACACCCAGCCCACTGCTCCCTTTTGACCAATAATTTGGGAATGTCATTTTAAAAAAGCTTTAATTCTTTATATAGCCTTTAACTCACCCTTCCAGGAACTTAAAATGTTTTATTTTTTTCTTGAGACAATGTCTCACTGTGTCACCCAGGCTGGAGTGCAGTGGTGCGAACATGGCTCACTGCAGCCTGGATCTCCTGGGCTCAAGCAATCCTCCCACCTCAACCTCCCACATAGCTGAGACTATAGGCGCACATTGTCATGCTCAGCTACTTTTAGTATTTTTATTTTCTTGTAGAGACGGGGGTCTTGCTGTGTTGCCCGAGCTGGTCTCGAACTCCTGGCCTCAAGCAATCTTCCCACCTCAGCCTCCCAAAATGTTGTAAAAATTGTGGAGATTTCCCCAACTTATGGCCAAGATGGATTAACCCTCTTGCCTTAAATACCTACAAAACCGTACAACACATACGCAAAGGCAGTTTTTAGACACCGGTCAATAGGTGGCACTAAAGACCGTGATCTCTGTTAGGGGAGAAACCAATGAGGCAAAGTGTTTCCAGCTGCTGCGGGAGGAGGGCAGCCGAGCAGAGCCCAGTGGTCTCCCTGAGTGCAGGAGACAGAGCTGAAAGTGTGAGCAGGCCTGGCCAGGTGCAGTGGTTCACGCCTGTAATCCTAGCACCTTGGGAGGCCGAGGTGGGTGGATCATTTGAGGTCAGGAGTTCGAGACCAGCCTGGCCAACGTGGTGAAACCCTGTCTCTACTAAAAATACAAAACATTTAGCTGGGCGTGGTGGTGCATGCTTGTAATCCCAGCTACTCAGGCGGCTGAAGCACGAGAATCACTTGAACCTGGGAGGCGGAGGTTGCAGTGAGCCGAGATCGCGCCCCTGCACTCCAGCCTGGGCCACAAAGTGAGACTCCATCTCAAAAAAAAAAAAAAAAAAAAGTTTGAGCAGGCCAAAGCAGCTGGAATTTGCAGGATGGAATCCCGCAAGAGAGATATGCAAAAAAAACCAAACTCTGCAGCTTTGCAAAGGAAACCTCTTGACTCGGAAGCTGAGGGGGATCAGCTCACGCATGGAGGAAATTATCCGAGCAAGACCAGGGGAAGGAATCACACAATAGAAACAGGCAGAATAATTCCAAAGTCTACAAAAAGCTGGGAACCGTTCGTGTTCCCAGCAGGCAAAGTGAAAAACCTCGTAATACACAGAGCACTGAGTCAAGCATTCAGAGGGGTATTGCTTTCGTGGTGCGGCAGAATTGGCCCTAGACTAAGGGTTCTGCAAGTCTCAAAAGGACCATGCATCTGGGCACGGAGGTTCATGCCGGTGATCCCAGCACTTTGGGAGGCCGAGGAGGGTGGATCACCTGAGGTCAGGGGTTCAAGACCAGCCTGGCCAACATGGTGAAACCCCCGTCTCTACTAAAAATACAAAAATTATCCAGGCGTGGTTGTGCGCACCTGTAGTCCCAGCTACTCGGGAGGCTGAGGTGGGTGCATCGCTTGAACCCAGGAGGCAGAGGTTGCAGTGAGTCGAGATTGTGTCACTGCAGTCCAGCCTGGGTGACAGACCGAGACTCCCTCTCAAAAAAAAAAAAAAAAAAAAAGGATTATGCCATTTCCAAGTCACTTAACCATGTCCCAGAATAAAGCTCAAGAATATATTTTTTAAACAAGAATATTCAGCACCCAACCAGGTAAAATTCACAATACCTGGTGTCCAGTAAAAAATCACCAGGCATGGCAGGAAGTGTTGGCTCACACTTATAATCACAGCACTTTGGGAGGCTGAGGCAGGAGAATTGCTTGAGGCCAGCAGTTCAAGACCAGACTGGGCAACATAGCAAGACCTCATCTCTACAAAAGTAAAACTAAAAAATTAGCCAGGTGCGGTGGTGCACACCTGTAGGCCCCACCAGATGAGAGGCTGAGGTGGGAGGATCGCTGAAGCCCAGGAGGTTGAGGCTGCAGTGAGCTATGGTGGTGCCGCTGCACTCCAGCCTGGGCAACACAGCAAGATCCCGTCTCTAAAAAGTAATAATCACCAGGTATGCCAAGAAGCAAGGATTATACCCCAGGAAGAGGAGAAAAACCAATGAAATGAAATGACAAAGATAGAATTAATAAAGAGATTAAAATAGCTACTACAACTATTTGATGTGTTCAAGAAGGTAAATGAAAATATGAGCATGTTAAGGGTAAGTATGATGGCTCACACCTGTAATCCCAGCACTTTGGGAAGCTGAGGCGGGTGAATCATGAGGTCAGGAGTTTGAGACCAGCCTGACCAACACGGTGAAACCCCGTCTCTACTAAAAATACAAAAATTAGCTGGGCGGGGTGGCACTTGCCTGTAATCCCAGCTACTCAGGAGGCTGAGGTAGGAGAATCGCTTGAACCCGGGGGGCGGAGGTTGCTGTGAGCCAAGATCGTGCCATTGCACTCCAGCCTGGGCAACAAGAGAGAAACTACATCTCAAAAGAGAGAAAAAAAAAAGAAAACTCGCTAGGCATGGTGGCTCACACCTGTAATCTCAGCACTTCCTGAGTCTGAGGCAGGTGGATCACTTGAGGTGAGCAAGGTGTCAGAGCCCCAGCACCAAGAAGTGGTCGATTGGAGGGTTGGTAAAAAGAATTTGCTGACATCAGGCTGGGCATGGTGGCTCACATCTGTAATCCCAGCACTTGGAGAGGCCAAGGTGGGTGGATCACTTGAGGTCAGCAGTTCAAGACCAGCCTGGCCAACGATAGCCAGGAGAAATGTAGCGATGGTGTAACCCCATCACTACTAAAAATACAAAAATTAGCTGGGCATGGTGGTATGGGCCTGTAATCCCACCTACTCGGGTGGCTGAGGCACGAGAATTGCTTGAACCTAGAAGGTGGAGGTTGCAGTAAGCTAGGATGGCACCACTGCACTCCAGCCTGGGGCACAGAGAGAGACTCTCTGTCTCTCAAAAAATAAATAAATAAAATAAAAATAAGAAAACTGATGTTCTGAGAGATTAAGTGAATTTCCCAAGGGCAGACAGCTAGAAAAGCCCAAGATAGGATGGGATATCCTGTCTCCTGAGCTTCTTTCTATACATTCAAGGTCATATCTAGATAAGAACATGAGGGTTTTTTTAAATTATTATTTTTTGGAGACAGGTTCTCTCTCTGTCACCCAGGCTGGAGTGCAGTGGCACAATTGTATCTCACTACAGTCATGAATTCCTTGGCTCAAGCAATCCTCCCACCTCGGCCTCCCAAGTAGCTGGAACTGCAGGCATGCGCTACCATGCCTAGCTAACTTTTTACATTTTTGTAGACATGGGGTCTCACTCTGCTGCTCAGGCTGGTCTCAAACTCCTGGCCTGCAGCAATCCTCCTGCCTCGGCCTCCCAAAGTACTGGGATTCCAATCGTGAGCCACCGCACCTGGCCAACATGAGAGTTCTTTTTTTTTTTTTTTTTTTGAGACAGTCTTGCTCTGTCACCCAGGCTGGAGAGCAGTGGCACGATCTCGGCTCACTGCGAGGTCCGCCTCCTGGGTTCACACCATTCTCCTGCCTCAGCCTCCCCAGCAGCTGGGACTACAGGAGCCTGCCACCACACCGGCTAATTTTTTTTTTTTTTTGTATTTTTAGTAGAGACGGGGTTTCACCTTGTTAGCCAGGATGGTCTCGATCTCCTGACCTCGTGATCTGCCCGCCTCAGCCTCCCAAAGTGCTGGGATTACAGGCGTGAGCCACCGCGCCTGGCTCATTGAAGCTTTTGGGTGACAACGTCTCTTCCTTGATGGTTTTCTTTTTGTTGATTTTTGTTGTTTGTTTTGTTTTGTTTTTTGAGACAGTTTCACTCTTGTTGTCCAGGCCGGAGTGCAATGGCGTGATCTCGGCTCACTGCAACCTCCATCTCCCAGGTTCAAGCGATTCTCCTGCCTCAGCCTCACGAGTAGCTGGGATTACAGGCTCCCACCTATAATTTTTGTATTTTTACTAGAGACGGGGTTTTACCATGTTGGCCAGGCTGGTCTTGAACTCCTGATCTTAGGTGATCCACCTGCCTTGGCCCCCTAAAGTGTTGGGATTACAGGCGTGAGCCACTGCGCCCGGCCAGTGTTTTTTTATTGGATGGTTTTTCCTGGGTTCTGAATCTCATGGGGATGTCTGCCCAATACAAGGAGACCCCCCACAAAGAGAACCCACATCATGGACAAGTGCAGATAGATAAAAATACGGGACCCTGGAGCGAGAGATACCGGCTCTCTCATTATGTGGGGTTTAGTTGCAATTTCTCCTTAATTAACTCACTTAAGTCTTCATTAAATGTTGCCTCCAGCTCATCCGTAAGTTGAGACGGAGCCGCTCATATTTCTTGTTCATGAAAAAATCAGCGTCCTATAGCATTTTGTTTCTTTTCTGCTATAGCATTTCACATGTGCCTAAGCAGTTTGGGGCTCTCCCGATATGTGTGTGTATATATATATGTTCTTATTGTTCCTGCTCAAAAACTGAAACATTGATTTAGTGACCACAGAGTTGGCCAGAGAGCAAAAACAGCAAGAACAGGTTTTGGGTGAAAACTGCTGGAGAACTTCTTGGCAAGAAGTCCTCAAATGGGGTAGCCTGGAGGTGGCTCACTAATGCTGACACCAAATGTGTGTGCCACAGGTGGTGGTGGTTATAGTTGTTGCTGGTTTTTAGCAGGATGGGAGGGAGATGTGCTTTAAGAATCCCAGTTCTGGCCGAGCACGGTGCCATGGCTCACGCCTGTAATCCCAGCACTTTGAGAGGCCGAAGCGGGCAGATCACCTGAGGTCAGCAGTTCGAGACCAGCCTGGCCAACACGGTGAAACCCCATCTCTACTAAAAATACAAAATTAGCCGTGCTTGGTGCCGCTTGCCTGTAATCCCAGCTACTTGAGAGGCTGAGGCAGGAGAATGGCTTGAACCCAGGAGGCGGAGGTTGCGGTGAGCTGAGATCGCACCATTGCTCTCCAGCCTGGGCAACAAGAACGAAACTCAGTCTCAAAAAAAAAAAAATCCCGGTTCTTGGGGAGGAAGTTGGAATAGAACCAGTTGCGTCATGTGATAGACACTTCCACTGTGTTTTCCAAAGGAAATTTACATTCAGGAAGGAAAACATGTTGAAGAGTGGAAGGAGAGCCAAGAGAGTTGCTAAGTACTTGGGTAATGCATTTCTTATTCAGAGGAAAGTGAGTTTAGCAGGGAAGGAGGGTTCCAGTTCCTCCCTCACCAGTGCTTGGCATGGGTCAGCCCTCCTCATTTTGGACATTTTCATTAATGTGTGTTGGCATCTCATTGTGGTTTTATTCATTTATTTATTTATTTATAATTTGTTGTTGTTGTTAGAGACAGGGTCTCGCTATGTTGCCCAGGCTGGTCTCAAGTTATCCTCCCCTGGGCTCAAGTTATCCTCCCACCTCGGCCTCCCAAAGCATTGAAATTGCAAGCATCAGCCACCACACTCGGCCTAGTTTTTAATTTAAAAAAAATTTTTTAGAGACAGGGTCTTGCTATGTTGCCCAGGCTAGAGTACAGTGGCTATTCACAGGCACGAACATTGCACACTACAGCCTCAAACTCCTGAGCTCAAGTGATCCTCCTGCCTCAGCCTCCTGAGTGGGTAGAACTATAGGTGTGTGCCACTGGGCCCTCACGGTGGCTTTAATCTTCATTCTCTAAGGATGAATAACATTAAGCATCTTTTCATGTGCTCGTTTGCCATCCATATTGGAAGTTCGTTTTAAAGATAGGATCCATACACCAGCATGTTTGTACTGTGAAAGAAGATAAATTATCAGGACCCTGAACTCACTATGCCAAAGAGAAAGTCAAGCTTGGAAACTGAGTCATGCATTACTGCCTTCCCTTTTGTTCCCAAACGGAGAGCTATATTTTCATAACCCCATGTCCTAGCCTCAAGCATAAGCCAGGTGCCCACCAAGATAGAAGGTTACGTATCTTCCCAGATGGCTCCCTCACAAGTTGCTCACAAAGTGAGACCCTAATTCTTTCAGGATATATCTCCCCCTATAAACTAGCCCTAAAAGCAAGTTCTGTTAAATCTCACACTGACAATGTCAATTACCAGCTTATTTTCACATGGATAGGACAAGGACAAGACCATAAATCATCCTTCCACCTACCCTGAGATAAATGCAGCATGGCCCTATTCCCCTACTCCCTCTTTTCATGTTTACTTTGTTATGTAAAATGCAGATTTACTGAGCTCAAGATGAATGCAGCATAAACTCTTTACTCCCTCTTTTCACATTTACCTTATGTAAAATGTAGATTCACTGGGCTTAAGATGAATGCATCACAGACTCTACTCCTTTTCAAGTTTACTTTATCTTGCGTAAAATGTAGATCTACTGAGCTCAAGATGAATGCATCATGGACTCCTCTACTCTTTTCACATGTTTATCCTATGTAAAATGTAGATCTACTGGGCTCAAGATGAATGCATCATGGACTCCTCTACTCTTTTCACATGTTTATCCTACGTAAAATGTAGATTTACTGAGCTCAAGATGAATGCATCATGGACTCTTTACTCCCTCTTTTCATGTTTACTTTATCTTATGTAAAATGTAGATTTACTGGGCTTGAGATGAACGCAACATGGACTCCTCTACTCCCTGTTTTCATATGTTTATCTTATGTAAAATGCAGATTTACTGAGCTCAAGATGAATGCATCATGGACTCTTTACTCCTTTTTTCACATGTTTTACTTTACCTTATGTAAAATGTAGATTTCCTGAGCTGGAGACAAATGCCTCATTGACATGTAAAATGTAGATTTATTGATCGCTAATCAGAGCCTTGAGAGAATGGGACCATTTGCCTCTCTGCCTACCCTCCCTTCCTTTATCCCTCCTGCTTGCTCTTTCCCCTTTAAATAGTGAAGTCCCCAAACCCTCTTTGGAAACTCACAGGTCACAGATGCTCCTGTGGCTGATGTTCCTCCTGGGCGTGTCCTCAAACTGCTGCATCAACCTCAGTCAATGGGGACTCATGCCTCAGTCCCTTTTTCAGTTAATATTATGTTAATGGGAAAGATCTATTAGGGAGAGAGAAATTGATGGCACAGGAGAGGGAGGGGGGAGTACCTGGAGTGATGTGCTTGAGAGGGTGGCAGGAATGGAATCCAGTTTAGATGGTGGAGGGGCTGGCTTTAGATAGGATGTGGATGGTTCATTTTTTTTTTTTTTCTCGAGACGGAGTCTCGCTCTGTCACCCAGGCTGGAGTGCAATGGCATGATCTCAGCTCACTGCAACCTCCACCTCCTGGGTTCAAGCAATTCTCCTGCATCAGCCTTCCAAGTAGCTGGGATTACAGGTGCGCGCCACCACGCCCAGCTAATTTTTTGTATTTTTAGTAGAGATGGGGTTTCACCATGTTGGCCATGCTGGTCTCAAACTCCTGACCTCATGATCCGCCTGCCTCAGCCTCCCAAAGTGCTGGAATTACAGGCGTGAGCCACCGTACCCGGCCTGATGGTTCATTTTATAGCTAAGGCAGGAAGGCAGAGTGAGTGGATGCAGACGCTGGGAGAGGGCCGATGTTGTCTAGGGAACCTGGGGACACTCTCTTCCAGTCGTTACTATTTTCTCAGTTAAGGAGAAGGCAAGGTCATCTGCTGAGGATGAAGACATGTTGGGGTTTGAGAAGGAGATCAGGAATGCAAGAATGATCTGGAGAACAATGGGGCAAAGAGGGGGCCAGGTGCTGTGGCTCATGCCTGAAATCTCAGCACTTCAGGAGGCCGAGGCAGGAGGGTCGCTTGAGCCCATGAGTTCGAGACCAGCCTGGGCAACATGATGAGATCCCATCTCTACAAAAAATAAAACATTAGCCAGGCATGGTGGTGTGTGCCTGTGGTCCCAGCTACTGGTTGGGGGGGATGCTATGGTAGGGGAAATCACTTGAGCCCAGGAGGATGAGGCTGCAGTGAGCTGTGATCACACCACTGCACTCCAGCCTGGGTGACAGGGGGAGACCTTGTCTCAAAAAAAAAAAAAAAAAAAAGGAGGAAAAATGACCTTCACGGTGTTCTAAAAAGCAGTGGCTTCCAGTTCAGAAGGGGTTTGCTGCTCTCTGTCTAATGAGTTGGGGTTCTCTTTTCTCCTCCACGTTCTAGGGTTTTGATGCCTCTTAGCATCACCATCTCTCATTTGGGGAGCAATTATGATTGTTTAGTAAAAGCTCAACTTTTTTAAGAAGCAAAACCAGCAAGAAAATTCAGCATGTCTCGGTTTTCTAGATGGCATCCTCAAAGATCACACCCAGGCGCTTAATAATTTAGCCTTTTGGGCAAAGTTCTCATTAGAATATATCAAATAGGCTGGGCACGGTGGCTCACACCTGTAATCCCAGCACTTTGGGAGGCCGAGCCAGGCGGATCACCTGAGGTTGGGAGTTCGAAACCAGCCTGACCAACATGGAGAAACCCCATCTCTACTAAAAATACAAAATTAGCCGGGTGTGGTGGTGCACGCCTGCAATCCCAGCTACTCGAGAGGCTGAGGCAGGAGAATTGCTTGAACCCGGGAGGCGGAGGTTGCAGGGAGCCGATATCGTGCCATTGCATTCCAGCCTGGGCAACAAGAGTGACACTCCCTCTCAAAAAAAAAAAAAAAAAAAAAAAAAAGAACTAGGGAAATAGAGTGTGATTTCCTGGCAGGAATTTTGACTGGCATGAGACATTTGACTTAAAAGACCTGCGGAAGACAGTGGGCAGCGGCTGTAGTTTGATACCATTGGATATGACCTGGGATTCCCATTAACCAAATTTGGTGTCATCATGACCCAGTCACCCGATCTAGTCACCCTGAGCCCCTCTGCAAGTGCTTCAGGTGTTTCCTGGCCAGTGTCGGCCGACGAGTAGTGTGATTTGCAAATGCCTGCATTATTCATGTTTTTGATCTATTCTAATGAGAACTTTGCCCAAAAGGCTAAATTATTAAGCGCCTGGGTGTGATCTTTGAGGATGCCGTCTAGAAAACCGGGACATGCTGAATTTTCTTGCTGGTTTTGCTTCTTAAAAAAGTTGAGCTTTTACTAAAGATTCATAATTGCTCCCCAAATGAGAGATGGTGATGCTAAGAGGCATCAAAACCCTAGAACGTGGAGGAGAAAAGAGAACCCCAACTCATTAGACAGAGGGCAGCAAACCCTTCTGAACTGGAAGCCACTGCTTTTTAGAACACCGTGAAGGTCATTTATGGTGGCCATCCCATTCCCATAGCTTGTCAGCCAAGGCGTTTTTTTATTAGGCTGGTGCGAAAGTTATAATTGCAAAATTATATTACAGTTGCAATAATGCAAAAACCACAATAACTTTTGCACCAACCTAATTAATAAACATGAGTCACCTCTAGCGATGGGAGAACACTAAATTCATGAAATACAACATACTCAGCTGTGACCTGGAAGTCCCAGAGAACTGTTCTGGGCTTGGGGAACACATACCCTGTGCATTTAGAGACAGTGAGTTTAACTGTGCATTTAATACATAGGTAACAACAATACTGAAATCTTTTGTTCTTTTATTCATTTTCGGAAAAGAAAATGCATATACACATCTAGATGTAGGTCAAATATGCCACACTCTTGATAATAATAGAGTTGTCTTCATTTGGATAAAGATTTTAATCACTTCAGTCCCATAATTTCGGGGCAGTTTAAAAGCTATTCATGAATAGTATAGGTATTTGTACAAAAGTCCAGTATTTTTCTGCTGGGTGCAGAAATTTTTCTGGCTCGTGCCTGCAATCCTAGTGTTTGGGGAGGCTGAAAAAGGAGGATTGCTTGAGGCTAGGAGCTGAACACCAGCCTGGGCAACATAGCAAGACCCCCATCTCTACAAAAAAAAAATTTAATTAGCTGGGTGTGGTGGTTAGCGCCTGTAGTCCCAGGTACTTTAGAGGGTGAGGTGAGAAGGAGCCATTGAGCCCAGGAGTTCAAGGTGACACTGAGCTATGATTGTGCCACTGCACTCCAGCCTGGGCAACAGAGTGAGATGAAGGACAGAAGGAAGGAAGGGGGGAGGGAGGGAGGGAGGAAAGAAGGGAGGAAAGAAGGAAGGGAGGGAGGGGGGAAGAGAAGGAGGGAAGAAGGAAGGAAGGGAGGGAGGGAGGGAAGAAGAAAGAAAGGAAGAAAAGAAGGAAGGAAGGAAGGAAGTTAGAAAGGAAGGGAGGGAGTGAGGGAAGGAAGGATGTTGAATTTCCTACCTCCTTGATAGGATGGGAGGGATTGGAGTGAAAATTAGATTGACTTATTATATTAAAAAACCAAATGTGTTGTTTGATTTTCTCACATCTGACCTGTGTACTGAGAATTTAAACTCACTCAACTCCCAGTAATAACTGCTAAAACCATTTGGGTGAATTTCTCTGTAGCCTTTTACTGATATGTGGTGGATTTGTATTGTGTCAATTTAGCAAAACTGGGACTGCATTTCCTAAAATTCCCCTCCCTGCCTATTTCCAGTTTATTGTGAGCAAGAAGACATATCTGTGGAGGGTGGAGGTTGGCACTGGTTACCATGTGACCCGCTCCCACAATTGTGTAAGGTCCAGTCCCTATAACCGCCATCCTGTGTCTATAAATATATATTTTCCAATTTACAAAATGCATTTAGCATAGTGCCTGTTTCACTTTACAATATGTGGTGGATATTTTTCCGTATCATTAAGTAGACTTGTAGACTATCCTTTTATTTTTTATGGCCCATCAATTAACAAATCCCCGCACATTGGACGTTGAGGTGATTTCCAATTGCTAAGAGAAGCAAAATCTTTGTGTCCGTCTGCAATAGTTTGTTCATTTTTCTTGCAGTTCTTTAAGAAAAATTCCTCCTTGCCTTCTGGCCTGTATTGTTTCTGATCAGAAGTCTGATGTCACTGGGTGCAGTGGCATGCACCTGTAATCCCACCTACTCAGGAGGATTGCTTGGGCCCAGGAGTTCAAGACAAGCCTGGGCGACATAGCAAGACCCCATCTCAAAAAAAAAAAAAGAGAGAGAGAAGTCTGATGTCAATCTTTTCTTTGTTCCTCTGAACATATTGTGTCTCTTTTTTCTGGCTGCCTTTATGATCTTCATCTTCTCTTTATCACTTGTTTTAAACAATTTTATAATAATGCGCCCTTTATACATGTTGGCTCTTCCTCCTCCTCCTCCTTTTTCCTCCTCTTATTTTTTCTGGAGGTTCATTGAGCTTCTCGAGCCTACTTTCATCCAATGTGGAAAATTTTCTGCCATTATTTCTTTAAATATTTTTCTGTTTCTTCCTCTTTCTCCTTTCCTCTGAGACTCCAATTACATGTATATTAGGCCACTTGAAGTTGTCCAATAGCTCACTGATGTGTGGTTTTATTTCTTCCAGAATTGTTTCTCTCTGCGTTTCAGCTTGTATCTTTTCTATTGCGATGTGGGGGTGTTTGGGAGGGGATTGGTTTTGTTTTGGGGGGTTGTTTTTTTTTTTAAGACGGGGTCTTGCTATATTGCCCAGGCTGGAGTGCAGTGGCACAATCTTGGCTCAATGCAGCCTTGACCTCCTGGGCTCAGGTGATCCTCCCTGGTAGCTGGGACCACCAAACCTGGCTACATTTAAAAATTTTTTTTTGTAGAGATGGAGTTCCACCATGTTGTCCAGGCTGGTCTCAAACTCCTGAGCTCAAGTGGTCCACCCGCCTCAGCCTCCCCAAGTGTTGGGATTACAGGAGTGAGCCACTGTGCCTGGCCTCTTTCCCATTGCTCTGTTTTCAAACTCATTACTCTTTTTTTCTTCAGTGTCTAATTTGCTAATCCCATCCAGTGTATTTTTCATTTCTAGCTTCACTGTGTTTTGTTGTTGTTGTTGTTGTGTTGTTTTGTTTTTTTGGAGACAGGGCCTACCCAGGCTGGAATGCAGTGGCAAGATCACAGCTCACTGCAACCTCAACCACCTGGGCTCAAGCGATCCTCCTGCCTCAACCTCCTGAGTACCTGGAGTCACAGGCATGCACCACCACACCCAGGTGAACTTTTTAATTTTTGTAGAGATGGGGGTCTCACTATGTTGCTCAGGCTGGTCTTGAACTCCTGGCTTTAAATGGTCTCCCACCTCAGCCTGCCAAAGTGCTGGGATTACAGGTGTGTGCCACTGCGCCCAGCCACTCTCATCTTTATTTCAGCCTTTTCTTCCCCCAACAATGCTCTAGTAAGCTCAGGAAGACACAGCCAGCCAAAGGTCTAAAGGGCTTTTGCCATCAATTTCACTGAGTAATTTAGAGCAAGTGTCTAAGAGTGAGGGGGAAAAAAGACATAGCCAATAGTCTCTCAGATAATTTTAAGGAATTTTCCTCTCCTGCAGCATTTGGATAAGAAATGATGTAGCTTCTGTCTTCCTTTGAGAGTCAGTTAGAAGGCACTGGGAATGTGAAGTCTGACACCCATAACAGCTCTGGG
This sequence comes from Homo sapiens, assembly GCF_000001405.40. Taxonomy (NCBI): domain Eukaryota; kingdom Metazoa; phylum Chordata; class Mammalia; order Primates; family Hominidae; genus Homo; species Homo sapiens. Next base: position 98,001,679 of record NC_000007.14, on the reverse strand, counting down.
CTACCCAGAAAGTCAGCTAAACCAATACTCATGCCAAGAGCTACTGAGTCCAGGCCGGTCACAGTGGCTGACGCCTATAATCCCAGCACTTTGGGAGGCCAAGTCAGGTGGATCACCTGAGGTCAGGAGTTCGAAACCAGCCTGGCTAACATGGTGAAACTCTGTCTCTACTAAAAATACAAAACTTAGCCAGGCATAGTGGTGTACGCCTGTAATCCCAGCTACTTGGGAGGCTGAGACAGGAGAATTGCTTGTACCCAGGAGGCAGAGGTTGCAGTGTGCCGAGATCGCGCTATTGTACCCCAGCCTGGGCAACAGAGTGAGACTCTGTCTCAAAACAAACAAACAAACAAACAAACAAAACAAAACAAAACAAAAACGACTGAGTCCTAAGTTCTAAATAGCTGGGTTGACTTCATACCATTGGCATTCTGAATACAGTACTAACAGAAAGCTGCAGGAAGAAAAGAGAGAAGAGAGGAACTCAGGAACCATGAATGTTCCCCACGAGGGGGTGCCAGGCCCTCCTAGACCCACCTGTGAACCTACCCCTTCCCCAAGGCCATTGGCAGCTGGAGTCTTAAAATACTTCCTGCAGCTCTAGCTGGGCATGGTGGCTCATGGCTGTAATCCCAGCACTTTGGGAGACCGAGGCAGGCGGATCACTTGAGGTCAGGAGTTCAAGACCAGCCTGACCAAAGTGGTGAAACCCTGTCTCTACTGAAAATACAAAAATTATCCGGGCATAGTGGTGTGCGCCTGTAGTCCCAGCTACTCAGGAGGGTGAGACAGAAGAATCACTTGAACCCGGGAGGCGGAGGTTGCAGTGAGCCGAGATGGCGCCACTGCACTCCAGCCTGGGCAACAGAGACTCCATCTAAAAATAAAAATAAAATTTAAAAATTTAAAAAATATATTTCCTGCAGCACTGTATCCTCCCCTATGATCTCATTCCCACCTGCACCCTTCTCCAGTCCCCTCCCACCTGCACCCACGTGCATTACCCCAGAACAGTTTCTTCTGCACTACCCAGCAACAACTCACCGCCCCACCCATCATCCGCACGTGCTCACCCTGGCGGCCTCATCCTAACCTCTCGGAAGCATTCAACTTGCCGGGTCCATTCTCGAAGCATTCGTACCCTCGCTCCCGCCCCTGACATTGGCTGACCCAGGACAAGAGCACAGAGGCCCACGTGCCACGTGTGTGAATTGCAAGTGAAACTGACAAGTGGTTAAATACAGTATGTTTGTGCCATCCTCCAGCCTTGACAAGAGTATTCTCATAGCAACAAAACCATAGCTATGACATCTTTGCTTTGTTTTCTTTGTTATTATATATTTTGGGCAGAGGAGTAGGCTGACATTTGCAGAATCCTTTATTTTTATTTTTATTTTATTTTATTTTATTATATTTTTGGAGACAGAGTCTCGCTCTGTCACCCAGGCTGGAGTGCAGTGGCATGATCGTGGCTCACTGCAGCCTTAATCTCCCAGTCTCAAGCCATCCATCCTTCCACCTCAGGATCCTGAATAGCTGGGACCATAGGCTTGTACCACCCCGCCTGGCTAATTTTTAAATTTTTTTTAGAGACAGAGTCCCACTATGTTGCCCAATCTGGTCTCGAACCCCTGGGCTCAAGCGATCCTCCCTGCCTCAGCCTCCCAAAGTGCCAGGATTACAGGCGTGAGCCACTGCCCTCAGCCTTTGCAGAATTCTTTATGCATTCTCATAGCAGCCTGTCCATTGGCTGGGGCCAGAACAAGCCCTTATTAATAATAATTTCTTCTCACTGGGGTTCTGAGCTCTGTGTCCTACAAAATAAGCCATTAGTCCAGGCCGTGTAGGAAAATCAGGGAACCAGAGATTTCAGCACACATCTGAAGGCTGGTACGTTCTGGCCATCTAATCTCTGAAATTTAGTTTATCTTCATCTGTAAAATGGGAGCATCAATACCTGCCTTAATGTTCTGAGCAGTGAGGTATCTTGTGGAAAATGTTTGCTGCTTTGCTGAGTACAGAAGTGCTTGACATATCAGCACAGAGGCTTAACGCATGTTAACATAAGTATGCAGTCTTAGCCAATGTTTAATCTGGGTACCCCATGGCCCACTCAAATTGACATACAAAATTAACTATCACAACTACCACATGAAATTCTTGTAAATATCACGCTAATTGGTGAATATCTTTTTTTTTTTTTTTTTAAAGACCGAGTTTCGCTCTTGTTGCCCAGGCTGGAGTGCAATGGCACGATCTCAGCTCACCGCAACCTCCACCTTCCAGGTTCAAGCGATTCTCCTGCCTCAGCCTCCTCCCCAGTAGCTGGGATAACAGGCATGGTAATCCACAAATTAAAATGCCCAGAAAGCCGGGCGCAGTGGCTCACGCCTGTAATCCCAGCAGTTTGGGAGGCCAAAGCGGGAGGATGGCTTGAGCCCAGGTGTTCGAGACCAGCCTGGGCAACATAGTGAGACCCCCCTCCCCGTCTCTACAAAAAATAAAATAAATTAGCTGGGTGTGGCGGCGTGTGCCTATAGTCACAGCTACTCGGGAGGCTGAGGTGGGAGGATCACTTGAGCCCAGGAGGCAGAGGCTGCAGTGAGCCATGATTGAACCACTGCACTCAAGCCTGGGTGACAGAGTGAGTCCTTGTCTCAAAAAAAAAAAAAAAAAAAAGAGATAGGGGTCTCACTCTGTTGCCTAGGCTGGTCTTAAACTCCTGGCTTCAAGCAAACCTCCCAAAGTGCTGAGATTATAGGCTTGAGCCACCGCACCCTGCCTGACCTGGGATATCTCTCCCTTGTTCATCACGGGGATAATAATATTTCAGAGTTGTTGCCATGGTTAAATGACACAACATCATGTTGGTGAACTGGGCAGTGTTGCACACACTGTGAAGCAGGGCAGGCTTCACGGGTGTGAGACCTGTGGTCTTCAGGGTCCTGCACTTAGAAAGCCTGCACACTTGATTCAATCCGCTGAGGCCCCCATAGTGAAATTCTTTGAACAAGAGGACTTGCATTTCCTTTTTTCTTTTTCTTTTTTTTTTTTTTTAGGGATGGGGTCTTATTATGTTGCCCAGGCTGGAGTGCAGTGGCTATTCACAAGCATAATCCCACTACTGATCAGCACAGGAGTTTTGACTTGCTCCGTTGCCAGCCTGGGCTGGTTCACCCTCCTTAGGCAACCTGATGGTCCCCTGCACCCAGGAGGTCACCATATTGATGCCAAACTTAGTGGAGACACCCAATCGGCAGAGCGAACTGCAGCCCAGAGCTCCCGGGCTCAAGCAATCCTCCTGCCTCGGCCTCCCAAGTAGCTGGAACTACAGACACCAGCCACCGCGCCCGGCAGGACTTGCATTTTCACCGTGCACCGGAGCCCACAGATTACGGGGCCAGCGGTAATTAGGGGACTTGTGCCATTTCCACACCCACCATAGGTCACGAGGGATGCATTTTGCCCTGCCCCGTGGGTAATCAAAGCTGTAAACCCAGGAGAGGTCAGCTCTTATAGATGGGGGCTGTGCGCTCCTGGGGATCCCCCATCCTTGTTATTCATTCATTCCATTGGGAAACACACAAGCTGTCCTTTTCACGCAGCCCTAAGACACTTTACGGTCTTCGTTTGTAAATAGCAGTCACTTCGTTTCACGAAGGAGCTTGTCCCAAACCCCCATGTGTAAACTTATTTAACCAATTATTGCTCAGTCTGTGAGTGGGAAAGGAAATCCACTCGTAGAGAAGTATCTCATTTATAAATAAACACTCCCATAACTCTGGATCCCACCCCATCCCCCACGTCACTACACAGAGATGGCTGGATGCAGAAACTCAGATTCAGAGAGCCAGTTCATTCACTGCTCAAATGTGTTCATTGAATAGTTACACTGTGACAAGGAATGTGCCAATGAAAGACCGAAGATAAAAATGGACGATGGGGCTGGGCACGGTGGCTCACACCTGTAATACCACCACATTGGGAGGCCAAGAAGGGAGGATGGCTTGAGCCCAGGAGGTCAAGACTGCGGTGAACCACAATCGCATCATTGCACTCCAGCCTGCATGACAGAGCCAGACCCTGAATGTACAAAAATTAAATTAAAAAATTAAGGCCAGGCGCAGTGGCTCATACCTGTAATCCCAGCATTTTGGGAGGCTGAGGCGGGTGGACCACTTGAGGTCAGGAGTTCAAGACCAGCTTGGCCAACATGGTAAAACCCTGTCTCTACTAAAACTACAAAAAAGTCACAGGGTGTGGTGGTGCACACCTGTAATCCCAGCTACTTGGGAGGATGAGGCAGGAGAATCGCTTGAATCTGGGAGGTAGAGGTCGCAGTGAACCTAGATCTTGACATTGCACTCCAGACTGGGCAACAAGAGCAAAACTCCATCTCAAAAAGAAATTTTTTTTTAAATTAAATTAAATTTAATTTAAAAATCAGCCTGGGGTGGTGGCACATGCCTGTAGTCCCAGCTACTCAGGAGACTGAGGCAGGAGGACCACTCAAGCCCAGAAGCCTGGATAATTATTTAGTTATTTTCATTTTTTGTAGAGATGGGTTCTTGCTTTGTGACCCAGGCTGGTCTCAAACTTCTGGGCACAAGCAATGCTCCCGCCTCGGCCTCCTAAAATGTTGGGGATTACAGGCATGAGCCACCCAGTCCAGCCATGCTTGGGTTTTTTCAAAACCCACCTGGCTAGGTTGGAGGTGACCCCGAGTGGAGAAGGGTTAAGAGGCCACCACGGTTGTTTCCATTCCCAAAAGAGATGCTGGTGGCTTGGGCTGGGGTAGTGACGGTGGTCCATGAAGAGAAGAAGAAGTTAGGAGATATTTAGGAAGACATCTGTTGAGAGAACATGGAAGTGGGTCCACGGTGCTCTCAACTAGCCCATCATACATGATGGAAGGAGGGTCTCCCATGCAGTCAAGAGTTTTGTCCCCACAAGGGCAGCCAGGCTGGGCGCGGTGGCTCACGCCTGTAATCACAGCACTTTGGGAGGCTGAGGTGGGCGGATTACTTGAGGTCAGGAGTTGGAGGCCAGCCTGACCAACACGACGAAACCCCGTCTCTACTAAAAATAATTAAAAAATTAGCCGGGCATGGTGGCAGGCACTTGTAATCCCAGCTACTCGGGAGGCTGAGGCAGAAGAATCTCTTGAACCTGGGAGATGGAGGTTGCAGTGAGCCGAGATCGTGCCACTACATTCCAGCCTGGGTGACAGAGCGAGACTCTGTCTCAAAAAAAAAAAAAAAAACGATCTACTTCCACATCTTCCTCCTGTTCTTTCCTGGGAGCAATTAGGAATTGGTGGCCAAAATAATGAAGACTACTGAATCAACGTTTAAAAATTGTTAATATATACATATACATGATATACATAAGCATTACATTACATAAATATGCAAATATGATAAACAACATATCATTATGCATATGCAACATATGTCAGATGCATAACATGATATGCAACATAAAATACATAATATGAAATTTACCATCTTAATAATTTTCTTTTTTTTTCTTTGGAGAGACAGGGTCTCACTCTGTTAACCAGGCTGGAGTGCAGTTGTGTGATCACAGCTCACTGCAGCCTCAAACTCCTGGGCCTAAGTGATCCTCCCACCTCAGCCTCCCGAGTAGCTGGGACCATAGATGCACACAACCATGTCTGGCTAATTTTTTTTATTTTTTGTAGAGTCGGGGTAGTGCTTTGTAACCCAGGCTGGTCTCAAACTCCTGGCTTCAAGCAATTCTCCCGCCTCGTCCTTCCAAAGTGCTGGGATTGCAGACATGCACCGCCTCACCCGACCCATCTTAAACCTTTTGAAGTTCAGTGGCATTAAATATATTCACATTGTGCAACTGTCACCACCATCCATCTCCAGAACTTTCTCATCTTCCCAATCTGAAACTCTGTCCCCATTAAACACTCAATCCCATTACCCCTCCCCCCAGCCCTGCTAACCACCATTCTGTCTGTCTCTGTCAGTTTGAATATTCTAGGTACCTCGTATTAGTGGAATTATACAATATTGTCTCTTTGTGTGAATCTATCTATCTATCTATCTATCTATCTATCTATCTATCTATATATATTTTTTTTGAGACGGAGTCTTGCTCTGTCACCCAGGCTGGAATGTAGTGGCACAATCTCGGCTCACTGCAACCTCCACCTCCCGGGTTCAAGCAATTCTCCTGCCCCAGCTTCCCAAGTAGCTGGGATTACAGACACCCACTACCATGCCCGGATAATTTTTTTGTGTTTTTAGTAGAGACAGCGTTTCGCCACATTGGCCAGACTGGTCTCGAACTCCTGACCTAAGGTGATCTGCCCACCTCAGCCTCCCAAAGTGCTGGGATTACAGGTGTGAGCCACGGCGCCCGGCCTGAATCAATATTTGATGCTCAGATTGCACATAATGGAATTCAAGTTGTCATCTTAAGTGCCTCCTTGATTCAGAAAACATGTTCACTGAATATGTTATCTTTTTAAAATTTAAATAAATACAATATTTTTCTATAGAGATGGGAGTCTCACTACATCACCCTGGCTGGTCTCGAATTCCTGGGCCCAAGCAATCTTCCCATCTCGGCCTCCCACAGTGTTGGGATTATAGGCATGAGCCACCACTCCTGGCCTTGTCTCTGGTATCTTTATTTTCTTTCAGAAAAATAGCATGAACATAAAAAGTATCTTGGTTTAACCCATATGCTACTTTGATTTAAATGAGCAGATTTTTAAAAAATGTTTTATCTCTATGGACAATTGTAAACACTCCCAAAGAAAAAGAAAGGACTCAGCTAGTTTCTATGGCAACTTAATGTCAGAAACCTAATTCAAAACTCTTAAGACTTATTTTCAGAAACTTTTTTTTTTTTTGAGACAAGGCCTCACTGTGTCACCCAGGCTGGAGTGCAGTGGTGCAATTGTAACTTGCAGCAGCCGGTACTTCCCAGCCTCAATCAATCTTCCCACCTCAGCCTCCTGAGCAGCTGGCACCGCAGGCATGCGCCACCATGCCTAGCTGATTTATTTTTTTTCTGAGACAGAGTCTCGCTCTGTTACCCAGGCTGGAGAGCAGTGGCCATGATCTCAGCTCACTGCAACCTCTGCCTCCCGGGTTCTAAGTGATCCTCCTGCCTCAGCCTCCGGAGTAGCTGGGATTACAGGCATGCACCACTACGCCGGGCTAATTTTGTATTTTTAGTAGAGACAGGGTTTCACCATGTTGGCCAGGCTGGTCTCGAACTCCTGACCTCAGGTAATCCACCTGCCTCGGCCTCCCAAAGTGCTGGGATTACAGGCGTGAGCCATCGCACCTGGCCGGGGCTGATTTATGATTATTATTTTTTTGTAGAGACAGGACCTTGTCATGTTGTCCAGGCTAGTCTTGAACTCCTGGGCTCAGGAAATCCTCCCACCTTGGCTTCCCAAAGTGCTGAGATTACAGGCATGAGCCACCACACCCAATCTTTAGAAACTTCTTTAAGGGGCTGGGCAAGGTGATGCTGGTTGGGAATCGTATTTTCAACTTCTTTTTGCTATTTTTATTTATTCATTCATCAAATAACTGCTGAGCGCCTAAATATAGGTCAGTCCTGGGCTAGGCACTGGGGAATAAAATGTGGACAAGAGATAGGGTGCCGGCTGGAGGTTTGGTCATTTAAGAGAGGCTGCAGGTATCCCTGAGAGAAACTCTTCACTGACGACACTAGGGGGTATACCATCCTGGTAGGAGAATATATTTGGGGCAAAGTGAAGATGCCCACTGTTTTACCCAGGAAAGAGTCTGAGGTCTTGCTCTAGGTATCCTGAATTGTCTACTTATTTATTTATTTTTTTTTTGAGGTAGAGTTTTGCTCTTGTTGCCCAGGCTGGAGTGCAATGGCATGATCTCGGCTTGCCACAACCTCCACCTCCCCAGTTCAAGTGATTCTCCTGCCTCAGCCTCTCGAGTAGCCAAGATTACAGGCATGTGCCACCATGCCCAGCTAATTTTATATTTTTAGTAGAGACGGGGTTTCTCCATGTTGGTCAGGTTGGTCTCGAACTCCCGACCTCAGGTGATCTGCCTGTCTCAGCCTCCCAAAGTGCTGGGATTACAGGCATCAGCCACTGCACCCGGCCTGAACTGTCTACTTCTAAGCCACTGTATGTTTCTCATTGCAACATGGGATCTATTTTTGCACTTTTTAAAAACTTCAGGCTGGGCACAGTGGCTTACGCCTGTAATCTCAGCACTTTGGGAAGCCGAGCAGGGTGGATCGCTTGAGTCCAGGAGTTTGAGACCAGCCTGGGCAACATCGTGAGGCCCCCGTTTCTACCAAAAAAAATACAAAAAATTAGCCAGGTGTGGTGGTGTGCGCCTGTAGTCCCAGCCTCCTGGGAGGCTGAGCTGGGAGGATTGCCTGAACCCAGGAGGTCAAGGCTGCAGTGAGCCGAGATCACACTACTGCACTCCAGCCCGAAGAGCAAAACTCTGTCTCAAAAACAAATAAAAATAAAAATGAAAAACAAACAAACAAAAAACATGACTCCAGCTTTTAAAAAGGAGATCCTAGGCCAGGTGCGGCGGCTCGCACCTGTAATCCCAGCACTTTGGGAGGCCAAGGCAGGTGGATCACTTGAGGTCAGGAGTTTGAGACCAGCCTGGCCAACATGGTGAAACCCCCATCTCTACTAAAAATACAAAAATTAGCCGGGTGTGGTAGCATGTGCCTGTAATCCTAGCTACTCGGGAGGCTAAGGCAGGAGAATTTCTTGAACCCGGGAGGCGGAGGTTGTAGTGAGCTGAGATCATGCCTCTGCACTCCAGCCTGGGTGACAGAGCAAGACTCCGTCTCAAAAAAAAAAAAAAAAAAAAAAGGAGATCCTGACACATGCCACAACACAGATGAACCTTGAGGACATTATACTCAGTGAAATAAGCCAGTCTGAAAAATACAAATACTATATGATTCCACTTATATGATGTCCCTAGATAAAGCAGTCAAACTCTTTTTTTTTTTTGAGGTGGAGTCTCGTTCTGTCACCCAGGTTATAGTGTAGTGGCGCAATCTCAGCTCACTGCAACCTCTGCCTCCCAGATTCAAGTGATTCTCCTGCCACAGCCTCCCAAGTAGCTGGGATTACAGGCTACCATGCCCAGCTAATTTTTGCATTTTTAGTAGAGATGGGGTTTCACCATGTTGGTCAGGCTGGTCTCGAACTCCTGACCTTGTGATTTGCCTGCCTCGGCCTCCCAAAGTGCTGGGATTACAGGCATGAGCCACTGTGCCCGGCCAGTAGTCAAACTCTTAGAAGCAGAAAGTACAATGATGCTTACCAGGAGCTGGGAGGTGGGGGAACAGGGGAGTTGTGGCAGCTCAATGGATACAGAGTTTCTGTTTTTCCAGCTGAATAAATTACAGAGATCTCTCATTCAATAATGCACCAAGAGTTAACAATATTGTACTATACATACACTTAAAAATGGTTGAGATTATATATTTTATGGAATGTGGTTTTTACCCAATAATTAAAAAGAAGAGTCTAGCACAGTGCTGGCCATATAAAGCCTCAATAAATGTTTGCTGAAAATTAAAAAAAAAAAAAAGGCCAGGAGTGGTGGTTCACACATGTAATCCCAGCACTTTGGGAGGCTGAGGTGGGAGAATTACTCGAGCCCAGGAGTTCAAGACCAGCCTAGGCAACATGGCAAAACCCTGTCTCTCCAAAAAATATGTATATTAAAAAAATTAGCCAGGCATGGTGGTGTGTGCCTGTAGTACCAGCTACTCGGGAGACTGAGGTGGGAGGATCGCTTGAGCCTGGAGGTCAAGGCTGCAATGAGCTGAGATTGTACCACTGCACTCCAGTCGGGGCAACAGAGCAAGACCCTGTCACAACAGAAACAAAATCTTGAGGTGTCTAGTCCTGGCCTCAGCCTCAGAGTATTTGTTTCTGAACTTGTTAGTTTTGGGGGTTGGGGATGCTGGTTTGATTTCCTCCTTTTTGCCTTTTGAGTGTGTGCAATTTATGGTATAGCTGGGAAACGTAAAAGTCAAGAGTTTTGTAGGAAAATCACGTCACTTAGCCCTGTCTCCTGTGCCGGACGAGTCCTGTGTGTGCACTTGGTGACAATGGCTTTGAGTCTTCAACTCCAGATTGAGGTCAGCCTTACACATCCATAGTTCCCAAAGCTGAAAACAGGCCTGCCTCCAACGGTACCTGCTAACATCTGGGGAGCTTTTCAGCTTACAGAGCACCCTGTATGTGTTTGTCTTAGTTCAGGCCACCATCTCCAGCTTACCAGGCTCTAGAACCTTCTCCACACTTTGCCAACAGGGTTCGTTTGCAGAATTGAAACCTTAGTTAAGGTTTGTTGAGGTTGTTGTTGTTGTTGTTGTTTTTACAATTGGCTATTCCCACCCACATTCCCTTGAGACATAAATAGAAAAAAAAAAGAGGTTTCCTGAGTAGGACAAGACATTTGAGCTGCATCCACTTGATCCTTGAAAAGGAAATCTAAGAGGTTGTAACTATCACTTTTTCTAGCCTATATAAGGTAGGTCAGTAAGGTAGCAAAAGCACATCTGTTGTTTTGCTCCTTCAACTCTTTTTCCTGATTCTTCCTGGGGGAAAACCTAAAACGGTGAGTAACTGGTGGACCCATCAGACCCCAGACTCTTCTTCACTGCATGCATTCATATTAGGCTCAGGTGCTTAGACTCCTGTTTTCCCATGGCTCTGACATCTGGAAGGATTTTAATCTCTGGGAGATGGGCTTTTCATCCATCTGCTTCCCACCTTTCAGGACAGGTAGCATGTCTTCTTCCACAGAATGTCTGCAAGCAGCCCAAACTGTATCCTTTCCCACGTGGAATTTGCAACAGTGCATCTCTCGGACTGCTGTAGGAAAATGCCAGTGCATTTGTAACATGGTTTACGGCTGCCTATGCAAATGACTGATTATGTCAGTATAATTTTTATAAGAAAACAATTGAATCCTTCTTTGGGTCATGTTTTTTTTTTTCATTTTTGGCATATATTCAAAAGAAGGCTCTGAGACAAAAAGGGCTGGGGTCTTTTTGGTATCTGGTTTTAATTTGGATATTCTGTCCCGTCACTTAATACAAAACCATGCTTATCACATTTTAAAAATTCTAGACAGGCCTGGCTTGGTGGCTTATGCCTGTAATCCCAGCAGTTTGTGAGGCCAAGGCAGGCAGATCACATGAGGTCAGGAGCTCGAGACCAGGCTGGCAAACATGGCAAAACCCCATCTCTACTAAAAACACAAAAATCAGCCAGGCCTGGTAGTGCGCACCTGTAATCCCAGCTACTCGGAAGGCTGAGGCAGGAGAATCACTTGAGCCCAGGAGGTGGAGGTTGCAGTGAGCCAAGATTGTGCCACTGCACTCCAGCCTGGGTGACAGAGTGAGACTCCATCTCAAAAAAAAAAAAAAAAAAAATCTAGACACACATACAGTTTCAGTGGGCCTGGGAAGATGTGTTTCCCCTGGATGTGCACGTTCCTGTTTGTGGCTTATCGCCTCTCGTTTATTCTGTGTGAGTAGGTAGAAAATGAGCATCACGGACGTGCTCAGTGCTGATGACATTGCAGCAGCGCTCCAGGAATGCCAAGGTAGAGGGGACGTGGGGCGGGGGTGGGATTTCCTCACAGCTTTGCCCCTCCAGCGAGGCAACACAAAATCAAAATGTAGGCCAGGCGGCCAGACGCAGTGGCTCACGCCTGTAATCCTAGCACTTTGGGAGGCTGAGGTGGGTGGATCACGAGGTCAGGAGTTTGAGACCAGCCTGGCCAAGATGGTGAAACCCCATCTCTAATAAAAATACAAAAAAATTAGCCAGGCGTGGTGGTGGGCACCTGTAATCCCAGCTACTCGGGAGGCTGAGGCTGAGAATTGCTTGAACCCGGCCTTTTTTGTAGACTCTGTCTACAAAAAAAAAAAAAATGTAGACCAGGCATGGTGGCTCACATCCGTAATCCCAACACTTTTCGGAGGCCAAGGTGAGAGGACTGTTTGAGCCCAGGAGTTTGAGACCAGCCTGGGCAACATAACAAGACTCCATCTCTACAACATAACAATAAAAATAAAAACTAGCGGGGCATGGTGGCATGTGCCTGTGGTCCCAGCTACTCTGGAAACTAAGGTAGGAGGATCACTCAAGCCCAGGAGGTTGAGGCTGTGGTGAGCTATGATCGCTACACTGCACTCCAGCCTGGACGACAGAGTGAGACTCTGTCTCTAAATAAATAAATAAATAAATAAATAAATAAGTAAATAAGAGCTTGGCTGGAAAATTCATGGAATCAGAGAAGAAAACTACTATTTATTAGATAACTAAAATTATAGAGATCTGGGATCTGAGCACACGATTACACTTCTGTAAGACAAAAGAAACCTACTAAACATGAAAGCAAGAAATCACTGAAGGGCCAGGTGTGGTGCTCACACCTGTAATCCCAGCACTTTGGGAGGCCAAGGCCGGTGCATCACTTGAGGTCAGGAGTTCAAGACCAACCTGGCCAGCCTGACAAAACCCTGTCTCTATTAAAAATACAAAAATGAGCTGGGCATGGGGGTGCATGCCTGTAATCCCAGCTACTCGGGAGGCTGAGGCAGGAGAATCAGTTGAACCTGGGAGGCAGAGGTTGCAGTGAGCCGAGATCACGCCACTGCACTCCAGCCTGGCGACAGAGTGAGACTCTGTCTCAAAAAAAAAAAAAAAAGAAAGAAAGAAATCGCCAAAGGCCATTTAGCCTGTTGAAATCCAGTGATTGCATTTCCCCCTACCAATTAGACCAGGGATGTTGGGGGCTCGGCCACACAGCCTGTAAAGTGGGCCAGGGGGAGGGGGAGGCACAGAGGAGAGGAGGAGGGAAAAGGAAAATGGACAAAACCAAGTGGAGGAGGGAAGACCGGGGCGGAGGGGACATGGGATGCCATCACAGAGCCATCAAGTCTTGGCTGTCCCAAAATCTTAGACCAGTTGAGCATCCCCGTAGCTCAGGGATATTGTTGAAGTGTTTTTAATCATCTGTGTTTTCAGTACCTTGGCCCCAACATAGAATGTGATCCAATGAGTGTCAGAATAACCCATTCTCTGTTCTTCAGACCCAGACACTTTTGAACCCCAAAAATTCTTCCAGACGTCAGGCCTCTCCAAGATGTCAGCCAGTCAGGTGAAGGATGTTTTCCGGTTCATAGACAACGACCAGAGCGGGTATCTGGATGAAGAAGAGCTTAAGTAAGCTTTGTCCTGAGGCTGTCTGGTACCTGGCACTGCTGGGTGGGCCTGGGGTGCAGTGGGGGCCAGGTTGCTCAGTATTTCTTCAATGGCCAGCCTTGGTGTTGGTCATTCGGCCAAGCATCATTAAAGCAAAGGACATGAGTCAGTTGACCGCACATCTACCCATGCAAAGCCCTCAACATGGGCAGTGAAGACTACAGGTGCAAAGATTCTTTTTTTTTTTTGAGACAGGGCCTCACTGTCACCCAGGCTGGAGTGCAGTGGGGTGATCTCAGCTCCCTGCAGCCTCCGCCTTCCAAACTCAAGTGATTCTCATGCCTCAGTCTCCCAAGTGGCTGGGATTACAGGTGCTTGCCACCACATCCAGCTAATTTTCATATTTAGAGTAGAGATGGGGTTTCACCATGTTGCCAGGCTGGTCTCAAACTCCTGACTTCAAGTGATCCTCCTGCCTTGGCCTCCCAAAGTGCTGGGATTACAGGTGTGAGCCACCGTGCCCAGCCGCAAAGATTCTTTCATGTAAGGGATTTCCTTTGGCAAATGGACTTTAAAAAACTAAAAACTTGGCTAAGCGCGGTGGCTCACGCCTGTAATTCCAGCTACTCAGAAGACTGAAGCACAAGAATTGCTTGAAATCAGGAGGCAGAGGTTGCAGTGAGCCCAGATCGTGCAGCTGCACTCCAGCCTGGGTGACAGAGACTCTGTCTCAAATAAATAAATAAATAAATAAAAATTAAAACCACTAAAAACTTAAAAATGGGCCAGGCACTGTGGCTCACACCTACAATCCCAGCCCTTTGGGAGGCTGAGGTGGGTGGATTGCTTGAGTGAGCCCAGGATTTCAAGACCAGTCTGGGCAACATGACAAAACCTTGTCTCTACAAAAAAAAAATACAAATGTTAGTGGGGCATGGGGGGGTGCACCTTTAGTCCCAGCTACTCGGGAGGTTGAGGCAGAAGGATTGATTGAGCCCAGGAAGTTGAGGCTGCAGTGAGCCATGATGGTATCACTGCATTCCAGCCTGGGTGACAGAGCAAGACCCTATCTCAAAAATAAACAAACAAACAAACAAAACCTTAAAAATGAAGTGCCCACCATTGGTTTCTACAGCTTAAGGAAACCTTTGCTTGCTAAGACCTTGGCTAATTATTGCAGGTGCTGGAAACAGATGATATGCTTAAAGGAAAAACAAAAGTCTAAACACAGGGATGCACGACCTTTTTGAAAATCCCCATGGATCTTTATTATCCTGTAGGTTTTTCCTCCAGAAGTTTGAGAGTGGTGCCAGAGAACTGACCGAGTCAGAAACCAAGTCCTTGATGGCTGCGGCGGATAATGATGGAGATGGGAAAATTGGAGCAGAGGGTATGTCCACACGTGTACGTAGCATAAAACACTCTAGCTCAGGAAGCATCCGTGAGGGGTTGGGCTGTGAGATCAAACCAATGTGGCTTAAAATCTCCCTTTCTTAACCTTACCGAGCCTCAGTCTTCTCATCTGTAAAATGAGACTAAAGTAAGGATGCAAATGATGTGTGTAAAAACCCTGGCATAATTCTCGGTAGGTATATAGAAGCTGGTCACACTGGTCATTGTCTATGAGCTGCAAAATATCCTTCACCTGACTAGGGGACTAGCTAGCTACCTGGCCAATTATTTGTACCTGCCAACCATAATGCACCTGCATATAGCGCGAGGTATTTCTACCAGTGGGGTTTGAACCCCTCAGAATAAGGGAAAGATTTACATCCTCAGACCAGGGTCCATTGGCATGCGTAGGAAGGCCTCTTCATCTTCAAGGGTTTAGACAAATATATTTTATTGGACATTAGCCCGCCAAGGGGATAATATTAAACAGAGAACAAATAAGCCAACCTCATTTATTGAGTCTTCCGTAGGCAGAATCCTAGGTTTGAGCTTTAGAATACACTAGCATAGCTGTAGGACTATTTTCACTTGATTTTGTCATGTTGCTAGCATGCTTTTTAACTACTTTGTGTCTGCCAACTCAGCAGAATGTATGGTGGTCCTTCTGGTGGTGCTAATTTGAAATTTAAAACTGCTACGTTAGATGCTTATTAAAAAAAAAACCTGTTCAAAATTATACCACTATCGCTTACTACATGGGAGTTAATGCAGATAGATAGCTCATAAAAACAGATTAGGTAAGGGGGGATTGCCTTATTTAAACATAACCACGGGCTGGGCGTGGTGGCTCAGGCCTATAATCCCAGCACTTTTGGAGGCCAAGGTGGGCAGATCCCCTGAAGTCAGGAGTTCAAGACTAGACTGACCAACATGGTAAACCCCATCTCTATTGAAAATATAAAAAATTAGCCGGGCATGGTGGTGGGCACCTGTAATCCCAACTACTCGGGAAGCTGAGGCAGGAGAATCACTTGAACCTGGGAGGCAGAGGTTGCAGTGAGCCAAGATGGCACCATTGCACTCCAGCCTGGGCAACAAGAGTGAAACTCTATCTCAAAAGAAAAAAAAAAGATAAACATAACCATGAAGGATTTCCAAATAAACAAAGCTTACCAATAAATATAAAGCAAGTCCCCAGTTTTTTATATCAATCTGTAACATCCATACCTTGTTATTATTACTATTATCCTTCTTTTAGTAACAGAAACTTTTGGAGTTTGGTTCAATGGAGGAAAGTCAGTTCAAAGTCCCACCCTATCAAATATATCCTAAAAATGCAATACCCAGCTACAGAATAGAGAAAGAAAATCTCCCCTTCCTGTCTGCAGACAAAAAGTTAAATGTTCACAGATGGTCACAGGTAATTACAGTGAATTCATGCATTATCAGGGAGAAATGATGGGCTTGACAAGTTCTAATTCAAAGACCTCTATTGCAAAGCTGAAGATGTTTGTTAAATAAGATTGTTCAGAGAAAAGGAACCCTGTGGACTTCCTTGAGATATAGTCATTGATACCCAGGGTTTTTTTCTTTCTTTCTTTCTTTCTTTCTTTTTTTTTTTTTTTTGAGATGGAGTCTGGCTCTCTCGCCCAGGCTAGAGTGCAGTGGCATGATTTCGGCTCACTGCAACCTCCGCCTCCCAGGTTCAAGTGATTCTCCCGCCTCAGCCTCCCAAGTAGCTGGGACTACAGGCACATGCCACCACGCCCGGCTAAGTTTTGTATTTTTAGTAGAGACAGGGTTTCACCATTTTGGCCAGGATGGTTTCGATCTCATGATGTCATGATCCACCCGCTTCGGCCTCCCAAAGTGCTGGGATTACAGGCATGAGCCACTGTGCCCGGCCAGTTTTTCTTTCTTTTGTGCCCTCCAAGGGGGCCATGCCCATCATCTGACAATTTTCTTTGCTTCCTTCCCTCTTTGGAATTCTCACTGGCCACGGCATGTCTGTAAAGAACGAAGCCACCTCCACTGACCCTGTTCTCACCTCTTCTGTTCTAGAATTCCAGGAAATGGTGCATTCTTAAAAGCCCCAGTCTCTGGAGAAAAGAGAGAAAGGGATAATCACCTGGAAGGATTCCAAAGCCCTGGGAATGGGGAACCCCACATCCCATCCCTACCTAATTTGTTAATTTTCCCTGAAAACCTTCTGCAGTTTGCTCATTGTTTTAGCGAGGTCACGAGAGAGTCACTCATGACTTTCTTGGTGGTGGGTATATGCCCTGACAACTTCTGTAAGCCCCCCTTCCCCCAACAGGCAATGCCTCTAAAAATCACCCAATAAAGACAGGCTTCTCAACATCTGCTGTTGTGTGGGCGTGTTTTTTCCTCAGCACGACACTCAAGCAAGCTGGGACCAAAGGCTTTTTGTAGGATTTCTGGTCCCATCAAGCTTGGAGCGGGCCACACTGGTGTTATGGTCGAGCAAACAAGGAAATCAGGTTTTGGAGGGTGTTTTTGGTTGTTTCTTTAGAGTCACAAATAAATGCCATTGTCAAGCTAGGATTTTTCTCAGCAAATCTTCTGACACTGAAATTAATAGGAAGGGATTTTAGCCAGCATAAAATCACTCTTTTTTTTTTTTTTTTTTTTTTTTTTTGAGACAGAGTCTCACTCTGTCACCCAGGCTGGAGTACAGTGGCTCAATCTTGGCTCACCGCAACCTCTGCCTTCCGAGTTCAAGCTATTGTCCCACCTCAGCCTCCCAAGTAGCTGGGATTACAGGCGCACACCACCACGCCTGGCTAATTTTAGTATTTTTAGTAGAGATGGGGTTTCACCATGTTGGCCAGGCTGGTCTCAAACTCCTGACCTCAAGTGATCCACCCACCTTTGCCTCCCAAAGTGCTGGGATTACAGGTGTGAGCCACTGTGCCCAGCCAGTCACTCTTACCAGTGTGTTTTCTGCCATGTGTTAGAAAACCACTTTGCTTTTAATTAAAAGCAAAAGGTACAAGACAAAACAGAATACGTGTCTGTAGTGGTCTGTAAAGCTCAGGAGAGACTTGCGATTCCAGGTTAGTACAAACGGACCCATTTCCTCTTTATTATTTATTTATTTTGAGACAAGCTCCAGCTCTGTTGCCCAGGCTGGAGTGCAGTGGCACGATCTCAGCTCACTGCAACCTCTGCCTCCTGGACTCAAACCATCCTCCCACTTCAGCTTCCTGAGTAGCTGGGACTACAGGCATGCACCACCACACCCGGCTAACGTTTGTGTTTTTGGTAGAGGTGAGGTCTCACTGTGTTATTTAGGCTGATCTCGAACTCCTGGGCGCAAGCGATCCTCCCACTCAGCCTCCCAAAGTGTTGCGATAACAGGCGTGAGCCACCGCATCCGGCCTTACTTTTTATTGTTTATTTAATAGAGATGGTGGGGGAGGGTCTCACTATGTTGCTCAGGCTGATCTCGAACTCTTGGGCTCAAGCCATCCTCCCACCTCAGCCTCCCAAAGTGTTGGGATAACAGGCATGAGCCACTGCGCCCGGCCTTACTTTTTATTGTTTATTTATTAGAGATGGTGGGGGAGGGTCTCGCTCTATTGCCCAGGCTGGTTTGGAACTGCTGGTCTCAAGCCAACCTCCCACTTCAGCCTCCCAAAGTGCTGGGATTGCAGGTGTGAGCCACCACAGATCCATTTTCAAGTCCTTTTTCTTCTTTTCATTTTGAGACAGTCTCACTCTGTCACCCAGGCTGGAGTGAGGTGGCACGATCTTGGCTCACTGCAACCCCTGCCTCCCGGGTTCAAGCAATTCTCCTGTCTCAGCCTCCTGAGTAGCTGGGATTACAGGTGCCCACCACCACGTGCAGCTAATTTTGTATTTCTGAAGACAGGGTTTCACCTTGTTGGCCAGGCTGGTCTCGAACTCCTGATCTCAGGTGATCCACCTGCCTAGGCCTTCCAAAGGATTCCAAGCCACAATTAGGCATGCACCACCATACCTGGCCATCTTCTTCTTCTTTGAGAAACAAGCTATCAAAAAAAAAAAAAAAAGAGAGAGAGAGAGAGAGAGAGAGAAAAACGAGCTCTCAGAGAGGCTCACCTGCTCTCACCCAATCCTCTGACACCTCCCCCTTCTCTTTCTCAGCCACTGGTTTCCTGGCTCTAAGGCGATTCACCTAAGCCCAATACACCTAGCCTTGCCTTTGGTTTGAGGTGAGCCTCCGGGGTTCTGTTACAGGGCTGTCATTAGGGCTGGGCACTCTTAAGCCAGGAAATTCTCACCAGGCTGGTTTCCAGGTGGCACATTAAAGTTCTTCTCTCAGGCTAACCCTGCGAGTTGAGGACTCCTGGGAACAATTGAGGCATTTTCTGGAGAGCTTGTGTAAAAGCTCACACTTTTTACTAAACCCTCCAGCTCACAAGAGGCCTTGGGGCTCTTCCAGATTGCTTCTGGCACACTAACCAGCTTAGTGGCTTTTCAGCCTCTGTTTTCTAGAGGGTCATGTTAAATGCAGTTCCTCAAAGTATGGGGCACATACTAGCAGGGGGCCTCAAGATGACTTAGGGTGACAGGCACAAACTTTTTTTTTTTTTTTTTAACAGTATCACTCTCAGCATAGTGACTTTTTTTGTTTTTGTTTGTTTTTTGAGACAGAGTCTCACTCTGTCGCCCAGGCTGGAGTGCAGCAGCTCATTGCAACCTCTGCCTCCCAGTTTCAAGCGATTCTGCTGCCTCAGCCTCCTGAGTAGCTGGGATTACAGGCATGCACCACCACACTCAGCTAAGTTTTGTATTTTTAGTAGAGACGGGGTTTCACCATGTTGGCCAGGCTGGTCTCGAACTCCTGACCTCTGGTGATCCGCCCACCTAGGCCTCCCAAAGTGCTGGGATTACAGGTGTGAGCCACCACACCTGGCTGAGCCTTGATTCTTAAAACAATCCACAGTTTGCCTTCACCGCCACACCGTACACTGGTATTCTGCTCTGCTATTTTCTTTTCACTCCACCGACCGTCCCCAGCTAAGGATTCTTTATCTCATCAACAGTTCTAAATGGGTGATTCTGTCGTTCCATGGGGCTTCTGACCACCATAGACACCTCAAAGAAACAACGTGGATGATAACGCTTTTTAAATCACAGTTGTGAGTTTTTCACGGACCAAGAACTCCATTACCCACTGGAGCTGCCAAGACAACCTCACCCTAATCTAGGTTAAGAGCATGGATTTCTCTCTCTCTCTCTTTTTTTTTTTAAATAGAGATGGGGGGGTCTCACTATGTTGGCCAGGGTGGTTTTGAACTCCTTGTCTCAACCAGTCCTCCCTCCTCGGCCTCTGAAAGTGCTGGGATTACAGGCATGAGCCGTATGTCCAGCCTAATTTCTCTTATTTCTTTTCTGTCAATCAGGAGGGCACCTGAATAGGAAAAATGACTAAAGGGGTTATATGGAGCCACCAGGGGACACTGTGTCATTAAGTCTTACATAGCAAGACCCCATCTCTACAAAAACAAATTCGTGCCCAAAGAGGTTTACTTGTATTCATAGGTGGAATTAAACGCCCCAAGAGCATTCCCCAAATCCAAACACCACAGTTAAAAACTGGTGTGAGTAAAGACAAGACTATTAGCACTGGATTAGGTCAAGACTATTAGGTCTGACTGTCTTAGGGAAAATGCTTAGATGTATACAAAGGGATAAATAGCCAGAACATTTTTTTTTCTTTTTTCGAGTCAGAGTCTCGCTCTGTTGCCCAGACTGCAGTGCAGTGGTGCAATCTCAGCTCATGCAACCTCCACCTCCCAGGTTCAAGCAATCTCTTGCCTCAGCTTCCTGAGAGCTGAGATTACAGGTGTATACCACCATGCCCAGCTAATTTTTGTATTTTTTGTAGACACGGGGTTTTGCCATCTTGGCCTGGCTGGTCTCAAACTCCTGGCCTCAAGTGATCCACCCGCCTTGGCCTCCCAAAGTGCTGGGATTACAGGCATGAACCACTGCACCTGGCTGGATTTTCTATAGGTAGAATTTTAGTTGGTTATTCATAAATTTTATTCATTTTACTGTCTCAAAACTACAATTCAAATGGACAATTATTTTTGTCCATTTCGAATAACAGTACACTACTTTTTCATTCTTCCAACCCGATCTTAGGGACTTCATTTCAGAGTCTCTGTCAACAGACAATAAGCAGCAATAATGAAGCACTATCTCTATTTAACACCCAAGAATTTCCAGGTGGTACACTTACATGAAACCTAATAATCTCGTCTTTACTCATACCAAAGTTTAATTATGTTATTTGGATTCTGGGTATGCTCTGGTGGGGTTGAGGGGGGATTTATTTCAACTGCTCATACAAGTAAAACTCTCTGGGGATTAGAAAAAAATTTTTTTAGAGATGGGGTCTTGCTATGTTGCCCAGGCTGGAGTGTGGTGATGCAATCACAGCTCACTGCAGCCTCCAACTCCTGAGCTCAAGTGATTCTCCTGCCTTAGCCTCTCAAGTAGCTGGGACTACAGGTGCTCACCAACTGCACCCAGCTAATTTTTGTATTTTTTGTAGAGACAGGGTCTTGCTATGTTGCCAGGGGTGGTCTGGAACTCCTAGCCTCAAGTGATCCTCCCACCTGAGCCTCCCAAAGTGCAGGGATCACAGGCATGAACCACCATGGCTGGCCTCTTTGCACATTTGAGCATATTCATTAATTAGCACTTTTTGATTTAGTTGTTATTTTTCTAAGTTTGCATTTTGTAAAAAAAAAATAATAATAATTAGCATTTCCAAGCCTTTGATGGGAAGTATAATTTTAAAATAATTTTTTTAAGTTACCTGAGTTTAGTCATTACATGAATTTCATACAAATTTCCTATTCAACATGTATCTCACAATAAAAAGAATGAAAGGAGATGCAGTAAAATTTTAATCCTAGTTATTGCCAGCTGGGAGGATTACAGAACAGGGAGAGAAGACTGGAGCCTTTATAAACGTGCAGCTGGGTGGGGTTCAGGGGCTCACGCCTGCAATCCCAGCACTTTGGGAGGCCAAGGCGGGCGGATCACCTGAGGTCAGGAGTTCGAGACCACCCTGGCCAACATGGTGAAACCCCATCTCTACTGAAAGTACAAAAATTAGCCAGGCGTGGTGGCAGATGCCTGTACTTCCAGCTACTTGGGAGGCTGAGGCAGGAGAATCGCTTGAACCCAGGAGGTGGTGGTTGCAGTGAGCCGAGATCGCACCACTACGCTCCAGCCTGGGTGACAGAGAGAGATTCCATCTCAAAAAAATAATAAATAAATAAATAAAAAGAGATAAAATAAAGTGCAGCATAGTAACTAGAGAAAATGAAGGAAAAAAATTAAAATTAAAATTTTAAAAAAGACCAGTCTGGACAACATAGGGAGACCGTGTCTCTACAAAAAAACTTAAAAATTAGCTGGGTGTGGTAGCATGCACCTGTGGTCCCAGCTACTCGGGAGGCTGAGGTGGGAGGATCCCTTGAGCCTGGAAGTTGAGGCCACAGTGAGCCATGATCATGCCACTACACTCCAATCTGGGTGATAGAGCGAGACCCTGTCTCAAAAATAAATTAATAAAATAAATAAAATGAAAAGAGATGCAGAGTTTGCCCAATAACTATCACTAAACCAAAGTAGTAATAAATTCTTTTTTTTTTTTTTTTTTGAGAAAGAGTCTCTCTCTGTTGCCCCCAGGCTGGAGTGCAGTGGCGTGATCTTGGCCTACTGCAACCTCTACCTCCCGGGTTCAAGTGATCTTCCCACCTCAGTTTCCCAAGTAGCTGGGATTATAAGCGCCTGCCACCATGCCCAGCTAATTTTTGTATTGTTACTTGAGATGGGGTTTCACCATG
Organism: Homo sapiens; assembly: GCF_000001405.40. Taxonomy (NCBI): domain Eukaryota; kingdom Metazoa; phylum Chordata; class Mammalia; order Primates; family Hominidae; genus Homo; species Homo sapiens. The sequence continues at coordinate 97,979,170 of NC_000007.14, read as the reverse complement.
TTGGCCAGGCTGGTCTCAAACTCCCAATCTCAGGCGATCCACCCATCTCAGCCTCCCAAAGTGCTGGGATTACAGGCATGAGCCACCGCACCTGGCCCAAAGTAGTAATAAATTCTGATTTCAAAAAAATCTTTCATGCCTAGAGTGTGTCCCACACTCAAATTAATGAAAGCTTGGCATGCTATTCTGTTCCCAAAATTTCTATTCATTGTTTGACTCATTTGTATGTATTTTCATGTATTGAAGGAGAATGTTAAATATAACATACCCAAAATGAAATCAAAACTCTAGAGAAAATTAGAACAATCCAGAAAAGGGATTGACAAACATATAACCACCTTTATCTTTGCGCTTGCCTTCTCAATTTTTACCTAATTTGTAGATGACCACAGGTCTACCTCAAGAGAGCTTATTCTTAGCACCAAAATGATGTATGTTGACTTTGTTGTTGTTGAGACAGAGTTTCGCTCTTGTTGCCCAGGCCAGAGTGCAATGGTGCAATCTCGGCTCACCGCAACCGCCACCTCCCAGTTCAAGCGATTCTCCTGCCTCAGCCTCCCGAGTAGCTGGGATTACAGGCATGCACTATCACGCCTGGCTAATTTTGTATTTTCAGTAGAGACAGGGTTTCACCATGTTGGTCAGGCTGGTCTCGAACTCCCGACCTCAGATGATCTGCCCACCTTGGCATCCCAAAGTACTGGAATTACAGGTATGAGCCACCATGCCCAGCCATATATTGACTTTGAAATGAAAGTCTACGGCCAGGTGTGGTGTCTCACACCTGTAATCCCAACACTTCAGAAGGCCAAGATTCAAGGATCACTTGAGCCCAGGAGTTTGAGACTAGCTGGGGCAACATAGCAAGATCCTATCTCGAAATTTAAAAGTTAGCTGGGTGTGATGGTGCGGCTATTGTCCCAGGTATTCAGGAGGATGCCTTGACCCATGGAGTTGGAGTCTACAGTGAGCTGTGATCGCACCACTGCACTCCAGTCTGGATGATAGACCAACAACCTAGCTAAAAAAAAAAAAAAAAAAAAAAAAAGAAAGAAATGAAGGTCTAGATTGCAACGTAGGTCACAGAGTTGAAAAATTAGGCATCCTATTATTTTCCCTAATTGCTTATAAAACAGGACTGGAAGTGTGGGCTTTCATTTTGACTATTTTTACTTAATTGTAATTTTGGCTTATAGTTTGGGAGAGTAGTTCATATTTTGGTAGAACATGATTTATTTATTTATTTATTTATTTATTTATTTATTTATTTATTGAGATGGAGTCTCACTCTGTCACCAGGCTGGAGCGCAGTGGCACGATCTCGGCTCACTGCAACCTCCGCCTCCTGGGTTGGCAATTCTCCTGCCTCAGCCTTCCAAATACCTGGGACTACAGGCGCCTGCCACCGCACCCAGGTAATTTTTGTGTTTTTAGTAGAGATGGGGTTTCACCATGTTGGCCAGACTGGTCTTGAACCCCTGACCTCAGGTGATCCACCCACCTCGGCCTCCCAAAGTGCTGAGATTACAGGCGTGAGTCACCGCGCCCGGCCAGAACATGATCTTAAAACCAGCTTTGTGTGTTTGCTTTGGCAGCACGTATACTAAAATTGGAACAATACAGAGATTAGCATAAAAAAATAAAAATTTAAAAACCAGCTTTGTGAATGTTTAGTTGTTGACTAATAAGAATTATTAAAATACTTCAAACATTATCTAGTATTTTGCTTCAGCATCTGTACATGATGAAGTATTTATAAGATTTTGTAAATACTATAAGTACCACTAATTAGTAAATACTTTAGTAATTTGTAAATACTAAGTATTTTAATATTTAGCACTACTATATAATTGCACAAAATCTAATTAATTAGTATTTTGTAATAGTTATTTGCTAAGTACTGCAACTCAGTAAATATGTTAGTATTTTGTAAGTAGTCATTTGCTAAGTACTGCTACACAGTAAATACTTTCATATTTTGTAAGCAGTCATTTGCTAAGTACGGCTATCCAGTAAATGTTTTAGTATTCTGTAGGTAGTCATTTGCTAAGTACTGATACTCAGTAAATGCTTTAGGATTTTGTAAGTAGCTATTACTAAGTAGTAGTACTTAGTAAAGACTTAGTAGCAGTATTTACAAAGTAGTTCTTTCTAGCTCATAAGCAAAGCATAGCAAAACAGTGAAGATAGGAAATACTTGTCTATTTGTACAGGTTTACAAGGTACGTAGTTAATTCTCTGTCATGACTGCAGTTTAAGTTTATGTAATGAGCACTCCAGAATCCAATTGCAAGCAAAAACCTATCTTCTATCTCTTCTGCTCATGTTAAGGTATGCGGTTACTTTGCAAACACTTAAGAAGACAGATGAAATTGGAATCACCAGGATGGTTTCCACCTGGCCTGTTAATTTATTCACTGGAAAGACTTCATTTGCATATGTTTTCACAGGTTTCAAAAAGTCAGCTTTTTTTGGTGGGGGGCGGGGATAGATTTTGACATTGTTTTCCTAGGGGCTCTACAATGAATGTAAATCTATTCACCTTAAATTATTATGTTTTTGAGACATGGTCTTGCTCTGTTGCCCAGGCTGGCATACAGGGGAGCGATCACAGCTCACTGCAGCCTCGACCTCCCCAGGCTCAAGTGATCCTCCCACCTCAGCCTCCTGAGTAGCTTGGATACAGGTGTGTGCCACCCCGCTCAGCTAAGTTTTGTATTTTTAGTAGAGACGGGGTTTCACCATGTTGGCCAGGCTGATCTCAATCTCCTGACCTCAAGTGATCTGCCCGCCTTGGCCTCCTAAAGTGCTGGGATTGCAGACGTGAGCCACTGTGCCTGGCCGGAACTGTGACTTTCTACTTGGAACTGAGCTCCCTTTCCAACACCAAAATGTGTCTTTCCCACAGCTCATTCCCTTGGAATTTTGAGTTCGCAAATTCTTTGTGCAAAACATCTAACTTCTATTTCTGTAACTGAACTTGATTTGAATTCCCATTGTGCTGGGAGTCAGAATCTTAATTATGTCAGGTAATTAAGCAACCTCTTCTCCCTTCTTACCATAGGCTGGGGGAAAGAGTCGAGGCCCCACATGGGACTGGAGTATTCTCAGTCAGAACAGTGAACACAGAGTCATCCTCAATCCTCTCTACTCTCGTGGTCTTGAGGGGCCACTGCTACCTCCTCCTGGTCCTGACCTTGAGGCTTCTCAGCACTGGCTTTCTCTGAATTCCTTCTATGCACAAGTAAATCATTCAGCTTCTTCCTGAACAATAAGGATATCTCGTCCAGATACCCCTGTTCCATGGTTACTCTACTGTTACTGAGCCATGCTGGACCCAGAGGGGAACTCTGCAAAGCTCACCACCTCCCCCAGCTTCCCCAGGGAGAAAGACACACACACCCTCTCCTCTGAGACCTCCAAACCTATGCGGGTATCTGTCATCACTACCACTCCTGCCTCGTATCCGTGCACACCCAAGGACTCTGTTTGGAGAGGCAGATGCATTGAGGTCTAAGCGTTCTTGCATCCTTAACTTTGAAACCATAAAAGCATGTTCTTTTCTTTGATCTCTGGATGTTTCATTTTGTTTTTTGGCATCTCCCTCTTTCGATGCCTCCTGCAATGAATTGTATGTGGGAGGAAGGGAGAGGCAAACATGTACAAGGACACAGAGGTATCCTGGGAGAAACTATGACTCATACTCTAAAATATTAATCTCACTCACTTGTATAGCACCTTGTGCTTTATTTTTATTTATTTATTTATTTTTTGAGGCAGAGTCTCACTCTGTCCCCCCGCTGGAGTGCAGTGGCGCAATCTCAGCTCACTGCAACCTCCGCCTCCCAGGTTCAAGCAATTATCCTGCCTCAGCCTCTGGAGTAGCTGGGACTACAGGCACCTGCCACCACGCACGGCTATTTATTTTTATTTTTTAGTAGAGACAGTGTTTCACCATGTTGGGCCTCAAACTCCTGACCTCAAGCGATCTGCCAGCCTCGGCCTCCCAAAGTGCTGGGATTACAGGCATGAGCCACCACACCCAGCCAAAACATGTATTTCTCATGGAATAATTTCATGCACTAGAGCAAGCTAATTGGGAAAGTCAATAGCAAGGGACAGTAGCAATCGTTTATGAAATAATGATTAGGTGCTGGCACTTGATGCACATTCATAGTCCCATTTAACTCTTCAAGTGAAATTCTCACTTGGCAGGAATTTACTATTAGCCATTTTCCAAATAAGAGATACAGACGAGAGAGTCTCTATCTCTTCTTTGGTGCAAGGAGATTGGTGCAGTCGGTGAATGGCAAAAGTGGATATGTACCCAGATCTGTCTCCAGTCCAAATTCCAACTCATCACTTCCCTAAATGTGATCTATTCTGCCAGGCTGGATAAGGGAAGTGGTTCTGCTTCCAAACTTAATATGTGACAGATGACGCAATCTAAACCAAAGTCTTCTTGAGTTTGGTCAAACCATATGCTGCCAAGGCTTGAATCCAAACAACCGTAACGAGCCATCCCAACTATGCCACAACCCACACACCTCAAAGGCAAGGGAATCCCAGGCGACAAGGTCCAGGAACAGCCACTCTGGTGAGTCTGCCACCTGTGATATTGCTCCCATGGCACACACAGTGCCCCATCTGCCTCCAGACCTGCGCTGAAGGAATGGGGGAAAGGGGCAAACTTTGTAGGTGTGGGTGATCCAGTGGTCACTTGAGGTCTCTCAAACAAGGACTCTGTAGATTATGCTAATGGGCCAAACAGAAATGTGTTTCTTTTCTTTCTTTTTTTTTTTTTTTTTGAGACAGGGTCTTGCTGTGTTGCCCAGGCTGGAGTGTAGTGGTGCAATCTTGGCTCACTGCAACCTCCACCTACTGGGTTCAAGTAATTCTCCTGCCTCAAGCCTCCCAAGTAGCTGGAACCACAGGCATGTGCCACCACGCCTGGCTAGTTTTTTGTATTTTAGTAGAGACGGGGCTGGTCTGGAACTCCAGGCCTCAAGTGATTCACCCACCTTGGCCTCCCAAAGTGCTGGGATTACAGGCATGAGCCACCGTGCCCAGCCTTGTTTCTTTCTAAATGAGGCTTCCTTTGTGTCTTTACATTTCCTTCTACAAAAAAACTGCCATGGCACAGGGGCTTATGCCTATAATCCCAGCACTTGGAGAGCCCAAGGCCAGTGGATCACTTGAGCCCAGGAGTTCGAGACCAGCCTGGGTTAACATAGTGAGACCCCAGCTCTACGAAAAATTTAAAAATTAGCCAGCCATGGTGGCATGCACCTGTGGTCCCAGCTATTCGGGAGGCTGAGGTGGGAGGATCACTTGAGCCCAGGAGTTCCAGGCTGCAGTGAGCTATGATCTGGCCGCTGCACTCCAGCCTGGACAACAGAGCAAAGTGCTGTCTTAGAATAAAATACTTTTTAAATAAACTAAAAACAAAACAATGGGCCAGGTGTGGGTGGCTCACATCCGTAATCCCAGCACTTTGGGAGGCCAGGTGAGGCAGAATAGGGCATGAGGGTAACCAAGGGTTAAGGCAGAAACAAAAGAACAGCAGGTGCAGCCAGTTCTAGGCAAGATTAGGCAGCATGGAGGCCACGTGTTCATTCCGTCAATCAGGCGGAGAGGGGGGCGGGGGGAGGGTGACAGCTTCTGATTGACGGCGGGGGGTGGGTGGTGGTGCGCAAGTCTCCACTTCAGCCTCTGATTGGTCACAGGCCAATCCTTCAGAGGGTGTAACCAATCGGAGGCATCTAACGGGCACCTAGGGGCGTTACCTAATTCTTCCAGCTTAATAAAAATCCTGACGGGTGCTATCGAACCGTTTGCTCTATCCCGCTCCTGCTGTGTGAATTGTACTTTCGCTTCAATAAATCTGTCTCTTCCTTACTCCGGTTTTTTCTTTTGTTTCTTTTCGTTGCTTTGTTCTTTTGCTACTTTGTGCATTTTGTTCAATTCTTTGTTCAACACGCCAAGAACCTGGGCAATCCACGGTCAAGACCTTCCATCCAGTAACAGAGGCAGGAGGATCCCTTGATGCCAAGAGTTCGAGACCAGCTGGGGCAACAAAGTGAGACCCTGTCTCTACTCTCTAACTCTCTCTCTCTCTCTCTCTCTCTCTCTCTCTCTATATATATATATATATATATATATATTTTAATTATCTGGGCATGGTGGTGCATGCATGTGGTCTCAGCTACTCAGGCTGAGGTGGGAAGATCGCTTGAGCCTGGGAGTTGAGGCTGCAGTGAGCTATGATGGCACCACTGCACTCCAACCCGGGTGACAAAGCGAGATCCTGTCTCTAAATTAAATTAAAAACAATACCACCAAAACAACAACAGGTTGGGCGGTGGTGTCTCACGCCTATAATCGGAGCACTTTGGGAGGTCGAAATGGGAGACCATGTGAAGCCAGGAGTTCGAGAGCAGCCTGGGCAACACAGACCCCACCTCTACAAAAAATAAAACTGGCCTTGATGGCGCGCCCTGTAATCCTAGCTACTTGGGAGGCTGAGGCAGGGGGATGGCTTGAGTCCCAGAGGTTGAGGCTGCAGTGAGCTGAGATCCCGCCGCTACACTCCAGACTGGATGACAAACTGAGATCCTATCAAAAAACAAACAAACAAACAAACAGTGCCCCACTCAGTTTTTCCTGAAACGCGCAACCCTCGCCCGTAGCCAGGAGAAAACTCCGCGAGCCAGCAAAACACAAACTCGGCCGGGAAACAGACAACAAGGCCACCCTGGGGTGCCAGAAGAGGACGCTGCGAGGCGGGTTCTTCTTCCTGGTCGGCGGCGAGCGCTTCCGGGGTGGTGGCGAGGGAGGCGGAAGTGCGGTGTTCTAGCAGGTGGCTGCTTTCTCTGGGCTGGCTGTGGGAGGCTCCCGAGGTGGGGACCCGGCCGGGATGGCTGCAGCGGCGGCCGGGGCTGGGAGCGGGCCCTCGGCGGCCCAGGAGAAGCAGTTCCTGCCGGCGCTGCTGAGTTTCTTCATCTACAACCCGCGCTTCTGGCCGCGGGAAGGAGAGGTATGCGGAGGGGGCGGCGCGTGAGCGGGCGGCGTCGGTGCCCCCCAGGGGCGGCGGCCCTGTGGTTCTGCCCACCTCGAGCGGCACTGACCTAGCCTGCGTTGTGCCAGGTGCTGAGCCCGGGCCGGGGGCTGCGGCGGGGACCTGACAGCAGGCAGGGACCGCTTCAGGTCCTGGGTCGATGTCTGTCTATGGAATAAAGCCCCGTCAGGTCTGTATCACTCCACACCCCAGGTTCAGTCTCTTTGCGCTTTGCGTTGCGTCAGTTCTGGGAAATTAAAATTGAACTTGGCTTTGTTAAGTGGGTAGTCCCCAACTAGAAGCGTGGAAGCAGAGTGGCAGACGCTAGCCTTCAAATGATGCAAGCCTGGAGGACCCTGTAAAAGTTTTCACCCAAATGAGGAAAATTAGTTCCGGGACACGTGTGTGTGTGTGTGTGTAAGTTAGTTACGGGACACGTGTGTGTGTGTGTAAGTTCCGGGACACGTGTGTGTGTGTGTGTGTTTTCTGAGGTGGGGACGGCGACTTTCTCAAAGGATGTCCGGAGCTGTGTTTCGTTACCAGCAAGTCAGAGTTCTTTTAAAGACTGTCCAGGCTGGGCGCTGTAACTCACGCCTGTAATCCCAGCACTTTAGGAGGCCGAGATGGGAGGATTACTTGGAGCCAGGAGTTCCAGACCAGCCTGGGCAACAAAGCAAGACCCCCGACTCTACCAAAAAAAAAAAAAAAAAAAAAAAAAAAATCGAAAAATGAGCCAGGTGTGGTGGCACGCACCTGTATTTCCAGCTACTCAGGAGGCTGAGGCCAGAGGATCGCTTGTGATTGAGGCTGCAGGTGAGCTGTAATTGGGCCACTGCACTACAGCCTGGGTGACAGAGACCCCATCTCCAGAAAAAGAAAAAAAAAAAAAACTCGTCAGTTCAAATGCTTGGGAACTGGCTGGATTTAATTTTCAGGGAGCTATGTGTCTGCAGATGTGCAAACCTTTATTTCTTACAAGCATTGGTGTATTACAGATTAGCTCTAGGAAAGAAATATGGAGACTTGAGTTTTCATAAAAATTACCTGGTGCTACTTCAGATGTGACTTATTGACTATCGAAATTGCCTTCTGACTGTTGGGCAGTATTTGCACAATGATGAGATAATTCCTGTTATTATTTTAAATAGAGACGAGGTCTCACGGTGTTGCCCAGGCTGGTCTTGAACTCCTGAGCTCAGGTGATCCTCTCACCTCGGCCTCTCAAAGTGCTAGGATTACAATTCCTGTTTTTCTAAAACCGGTTTTTCTTTGGTTTTGTCATTAGCATGTGCGACACAAGAGGTCGACACTGAACTTAGCGTTTTCAATAGCTAAGATGAAATGTTTCTATTCATGATGTGCTTCTGTTTCCTCATGTTTCAGGAGGAAAATAAGATTTTATTTTATCATCCAAATGAGGTAGAAAAGAAGAAGAGGCCGGGCTCGGTGGCTCAAGCCTGTAATCCCAGCACTTTGGGAGGCTGAGGCGGGCGGATCACGAGGTCAGGAGATCGAGACCATCCTGGCTAACACAATGAAACCCCGTCAATACTAAAAATACAAAAAAATTAGCCGGGCGTGGTGGCGGGCGCCTGTAGTCCCAGCTACTCGGGAGGCTGAGGCAGGAGAATGGCGTGAACCCGGGAGGCGGAGCTTGCAGTGAGCGGAGATCGCACCACTGCACTCCAGCCTGGGCGACAGAGCGAGACTCCGTCTCCAAAAAAAAAAAAAAAATAGAAAAGAATGAGAAGATTAGAAATGTCGGATTGTGTGAAGCTATTGTACAGTTTACAAGGTAATACCTCTAAGTGTGCCTTTAGAGTTCAGTGAATTCTTAAAACTGCTGCTGGAGAATTGTCCCAAACATATTTTTTTAACCTTTGTAGGACCTTTAGCCCATCAAAACCTGCAAAATCTTTACATACGCAGAAGAACAGACAGTTCTTTAATGAACCAGAAGAAAATTTCTGGATGGTCATGGTATTTACATACACAGTGTATCTTTCTGAAATTGTATGGTGAAGTTATGGGTGATCTTTACTATTCAGAATTTAGCAAAGTTCTCTGGCTATTGCATCCAAGTAAAATTAAAATAAAATTCGTTGCAGTTTTAAAATCAAGTTCTTCCTGTTTGCTTTATTCGTTCTTGGGGCTGCTTTAAGAAGCTGTGTTTCTGGTGCTGTAGCATGTGCAAAGTTTTTAAACTAAGGCAAAATAAACATGGTCTAATGAATTCATTGTATAATTTCAGTTTATCAAACTTTGTAGGTTGTTCGGAATCCTATAATTGAAAAACAGTAAAGATGGAAAACCAGTTATTGAATATCAAGAGGAGGAGTTGTTGGTAACGTGTCATTGTTTATTTATTTATTTATTTATTTAAATGTATTGCTGAGTATGTTGAATGCCTTCCTTGGTCAGATTTAAACTAGGTGGCTTTTGTGGAAGTTTCTCGGGGTATATAGCACAGGTTTATGTTTATCATTTACATGAGCATAATCTTTTTAAAATGTATATGCACCCTATCTCACTAATACCTTCTATTCCTCATCTGTATTGAAAGCCCTCCTAAAGTAAGGCTTACTGATTCACAAATTAGAGTTTAAACACTTCTGGCTGGGAACAGTGGCTCACACCTGTAATCCTAGTACTTTGGGAGGTCGAGGCAGGCAGATCACTTGAGGTCAGGGGTTCAAGACCAGCCTGGCCAATGTGGCGGAACCCTGTCTCTACTAAAACTACAAAAACTGGCCAGGGATGGTGGCGCACACGTGTCATCCCAGCTACTTGGGAGGCTGAGGCAGGAGAATCGCTTGAACCGGGGACGCAAAGGTTGCAGTGAGCCAAGATTGCATCACTGCACTCCAACCTGGACAACAGAGCGAGACTCCATCTCCAAAAAAAAAGAACGCAAACACTTTTTATCAGCACACGACTATGGTGGGACCAAGTTTGTAAACATTATCCTGTTTGGCCAAGAGTCAGTGTACCTTTGCCATCTATCCAGTAGACATTGTTTTTCCCTTGAACTGATATGTGTGCTATGTTTTCGTGTGTGTAGGACAAGGTTTATAGCTCGGTGCTGCAGCAGTGCTACAGCATGTACAAGGTAAGCATGGCATTCTTTCTCAACTCAGAGTCCAACCACTTACGCCTATCTCTAGGCTCAGGGTTGTTTAAAGAGAAATCTGTAAATGACTGCAAAGTGACTCTGTATTTGTCTTAGAGAAGAAAATAATGAGGCCTTTGAAACAGGTAGTGAGGTTTATGCCTACATTTATTCAGTAAGTATTGAACTCCCTTCTCTTTTCTCAGCCTTATAGTAGGAATGTGTCCCCATTGATGAAAAAGTGTGTCTATGTGCTCAAGGAATGTACAGAATGCAGATAATTTTATGATTTAAAAGTTTCAGCGAGACAGGGCACTGTGAATCACACCTGTAATTTCAGCATTCTGGGAGGCTAAGGCGGGAGGATTGCTTGAGCCCAGGAGTTCAGGACCAATCTGGGCAATATAGGAAGGCCCCATCTCTACAAAAAATTTTATAAAAGTTAGCCATGTATCATGGTGCATGCCTGTAGTCCCAGCTACCTGGGAGGCTGAGGTGGGAGGATCGCTTGAGCCTCAGAGGTCGAGGCTGCAGTGAACTGTGATTGCGCCACTGCACTCTACCCTGGGCAACAGAGCGAGATTCCATCTCAAAAAAAAAAAAGGATAAAAAGTTTGATGATTCCATTCATTGAGAGGAAACTGAAAAATAACAAAAATGTGGGTGATATTCTGTATGTAAATTGAAACTTCAGGATAAGTTGAAATTTTTGAAAGATGCCTAAAGCAATTAGGTGGTTTCATAAATGAGACAACATCACTTAATGGTAGTTTTTGTAACATATTTTTAACTTAAGTTTTCTCATGTAAATAGTCTCTGTATTGAAAAGAACTGGGAGATTTAATAAGCTGAATTAATAATTCCCTAGAGCCTATATCTTGCTTGGCACATAGGAGATAGCCAAAGTCAACATCTATGTGAATTCTTGAATTCACACTTCCTTGGTTCACAAAAATTGGCTGTCATAAGTGTAACTTTGACTTACTTGATTCCTCTTGTTTTTTTGTTTTTTGAGACGGAGTTTTGCTCTTGTTGCCCAGGCTGGAGTGCAGTGGTGTGATCTCGGCTCACTGTAGCCTCTGCGTCCCAGGTTCAAGCCATTCTCCCGCCTCAGCTTCCCGAGTAGCTGGGACTACAGGCGCGCATCACCATACCGGGCGAAGTTTTTGTATTTTCAGTAGAGGCGGGGTTTCGCCATGTTGGCCAGGATGGTCTTGATCTCCTGACCCCGTGATCCGCCCTCCTCAGCCTCCCAAAGTGCTGGGACTACAGGCGTGAGCCACCGCATCTGGCCAAACTTTCTGATGAAAACTCTAAGTCCACCTAAGCTAAGGACAGGAGTTACAGCTTCCATGAATTTTAAAACCAGACCCACCGATTTGAGTAAGCAATTACTCTCTTGAAGGAGAAAAGTCAGAAAACATAATGATGAAATCACTAGGACCTAACTGGCATGTGGAATTATTTTCTGCTTATGAACTATCAACTTTAATTTCATTTCCAGATGACATGGTCTCAGCTGTTCTACAGTGTTTATAAATGTTCTAAATCAAGGGAATTCATCAATCTAGTAGAATAAAATATTTGAGTTCTTAATTTCCTTTAATTAGGATAACCTTTTTCTTCAAGTGAAGAGAATGGTTTTATTACATAGTTTTCTTCGGAAAAGATAGGCTGTATTTTCTAGCAGTTACGAATTTGTTATGTATGATGATCTGGTTCTTGGAACATTCTTGAATCTAGTGTCTCTAAGGCAGGTGTGTACAGCAAGAAGTGAATAACACAGAAATCAATGATGAAAGCATTAGAAGACAATTGAGTCTGTCAGAACTGCAAAATATTGCTGAGTGTGGATTGCTCTGAAATCTGAAAACATTACTTGTGAATTGCTTCTATTCAAAATGCAGACACAATGCCAGGTGTTGGTTTACTTGTTTCCCATTTTTCAACCCTCGTTTCTAGGCAAAGGTGTCCAAATTATGCAGACCCACAGAATCTAACAGATGTCTCTATATTCCTCCTCCTAGAAGTCTCAGGGGATCCAGAACTGCAGCCAGTCCTTGCTGGGCTGTTCCTGTCCATGTGCCTGGTCACGGTGCTGGGGAACCTGCTCATCATCCTGGCCATCAGCCCTGACTCCCACCTCCACACCCCCATGTACTTCTTCCTCTCCAACCTGTCCTTGCCTGACATCGGTTTCACCTCCACCACGGTCCCCAAGATGATTGTGGACATCCAGTCTCACAGCAGAGTCATCTCCTATGCAGGCTGCCTGACTCAGATGTCTCTCTTTGCCATTTTTGGAGGCATGGAAGAGAGACATGCTCCTGAGTGTGATGGCCTATGACTGGTTTGTAGCCATCTGTCACCCGCTATATCATTCACCATCATGAACCCGTGTTTCTGTGCCTTTCTAGTTTTGTTGTCTTTTTTTTTCTCAGTCTTTTAGACTCCCAGCTGCACAACTTGATTGCCTTACAAGTGACCTGCTTCAAGGATGTGGAAATTCCTAATTTCTTCTGTGACCCTTCTCAACTCTCCCATCTTGCATGTTGTGACACCTTCACCATTAACATAATCATGTATTTCCCTGCTGCCATATTTGGTTTTCTTCCCATCTTGGGGACCCTTTTCTCTTTCTCTAAAATTGTTTCCTCCATTCTGAGGGTTTCTTCATCAGGTGGGAAGTATAAAGCCCTCTCCACCTGTGGGTCTCGCCTGTCAGTTGTTTGCTGAGTTTATGGAACAGGCGTTGGAGGGTACCTCAGTTCAGATGTGTCATCTTCCCCCAGAAAGGGTGCAGTGGCCTCAGTGATGTACACACTGGTCACCCCCATGCTGACCCCCTTCATCTACAGCCTGAGAAACAGGGATATGAAAGGTGTCCTGCGGCAGCCGCACGGCAGCACAGTCTAATCTCAATATCTTATCTGTTCCATTCCTTTGTAGTGTGGGTTCAAAAAGGCAGCAAGGTCAAATAATGATAACACAGGGTGAACACCTACTGTGATATTAGGAGTAATACCTCCCTAGGATATAAAGAATACTGTCACACAGTATACACAAAAGGGGTATAACCACTGTGATATTAGAAGCAATATCTCCCTATAATATGATGAAAATTATCACAGGGTATGCCCACTGTGTGATCTTAGGAGTAATCTTTACCCTGGATATTATGATTAACATCAAGGGTGTACACACCCGGGGTACACGCACTGTGATATCAGGAGTTGTATCTCCCTAGGATATTATGAATCATATCACAGGGTATACACTATGTGTGTACATCCACTGATATTTCAAGTCATATCTCTCTATGAGATTACAAATAATATCAAAAGGTGTACACCCCCGTGACCTATTAGGAGTAACGTCCTTCCAGGGTATTACAGATAACGTCACAAGGTGAACACATTTTGTGACATTTTGTACACCCTTTGTGACATTGAAAGAAACATCCCCCTAGGATATTACGAGTAATGACAGGCGGTGTACACACACGGTGTACACCGTCTGTGCCATCAGGAGTAACATTCCCCTAGGATATTATGAATAATACCACAGCAGGTGTACACACATGGTGTACACCCCATGTGACATTAGGAGGAACATGCCCCTAGGATATTAGGAATAGTATCACAGGTGTTGAATATGCATGATATACACCCCTGGTGACATTAAAAGTAACAAGCCCTTAGGATATTATGAATAATATCACAGGGAGTACACCCCATGTGACATTAAAAGTGACATCCCCCGAGGATATGATGAATAATATCAGAGGGTGTACATGCATTGTGACCTTAGTAACGTCTCTAGGATATTATAAATCGTATCACAGGGTGTACACGCATTGTGACATTGGTAGTAACATCCCGCTAGGATATGACGAGTAATGTCACAGGGTGTACACCCCCTGTGACAATAGTAACATTCCCCTAGAATATGACGAATAATATCACAGGAGGTACAGCCCCTGTGATTTACGAGTAACATTTCTATATAATATTACACGTCATAGCACTGTGTGACTCTGTGTACACCCTGTATGACATTAGGAGTAACATCCCACAAAACAATTACGAATAATATCACAAGGTGAACACCCTCTGTGACATGAGGAATAACGTAGTTTTAGGATATTATGAATGATATGACAAGGTGTACACACCCTGTAATGTTAGGAGAAATAGCCGTCTAGGATATTAGGAATAATGTCACAGGGAACACACCCCCTGTGACATTAGGATAATACGAATGATATGCCAAGATGTACACGCATTGTGACATTCGTACTAATATCCCTCTGGTATACTATGAATAATATCACAGGGTGTACATCCCTGTGACATTAGGAGTAACATCCCCCTTGAATAGGAGGAATAATATCACAGGGGGTACACACCCTGTGACTTTAGGAGTATCAGCGCCCTGGAATATGAGGAATACTGTCCCAGGGTATTAACCACCTGTGACCTGAGGAGTAACATCCTGTTGGAATATTACGACTCATATCACAGTGTGTACACCAACTGTGATATTAGGAGTCCTATTTATTTTTAGGATATTAGGAATAATATCACAGTAGGTGTACACAAATAGTATGTACGCCCACGGTGATATTAAAAGTTATATCTCCCTAGGGTATTCCGAATAACATCACAGTGGGTGTACACCCACTGTGATATTTGAAGTCATATCTCCCTAAGATGATAAAAAAATCAAAGGGTGGACCCTGTCTGTGACATCAAAAGTAACATCTCTGTGGCTATTCCGAATAGCATCACAGGGTGTACACAGCCTGTGACGTTAGGAGTAGCATCCCCATAAGATATTCCGAGTAATATCACAGGGTGTACACCCCATGTGACATTAAGAGCAACATCTTCTTAGGATATTACGAACAACCTCACAGGGTGTACGCCCCCTGTGACTTTAAAAGTAACATCCCCCTAGAATATTAGGAATAATATCATGGGTGTACACCCCGTGTGACATTAGGAGTAACATCTCCCTAGGATATTACAAAGAACATCACTGGGTGTACGCCCTCTGTCTTATTAGGAGTAACATCCTTCTAGGATATGAAGAATATCACAAGGCGTACACACACTGATATTCGGAGAGATATCTCCCTAGGATATAAGGTGTATCACAGAATGTACACGCATGGTGTACACCCACTGCGACATTAAAAGCAATATCTCCCTATGAGAGTATGAGAAATATCAAAGGGAGAACACTCTCTGTGATATTAGATGTAATGTTTACCATGGATATTACAAATAATATCACAGGGTGTACACACATGAGGTACACCCACTGTGGTATTATTTGTACTGTCTTAGATATAATTCTAATATAACACGGAGAGCTATAACTCTGTAGTATCTGAGATATTACAAATAATATCACAGTCTACACATAGTGTACATAGTGTACACCCACTGTGAGATTTACAGTAAAATCTCCCTATAAGACTACAAATATTATCGAAGTGTGTGCACCCCCGTGACCTTAGGAGTAACATCCTTCTGGATATCAGGAATCATATCATGAGGCATACACACCCTGTGACATTTTGTACACTCTTTGTGACATTCAAAGTCACAGCCCCCTAGTATATTACGAATAATATCAAAGGCGGTTGATGCACACGGTGTACACATCCTGTTACATTAGGCGTAATCTTTTTCTGTGATTTATGAATATCACAGAAGGTGTACACACATGCTGTACACTCCAGGTGACATTAGGAGCAACACCCCCCCAAGATATTAGAAATAATATTACCAGGGTTGCATACACATGGTGTACTCTCCCTGTGACATTAGCAGCAACATTCCCCTAGAATATTACGAATACCATCAGAGGGGGTGTACACACATAATGTACGCACCTTGTAAAATTAGGAGTAGCATCTCCCTACGATGTTATGAATAATATCACAGAAGGTGTACGCACATGGCCTATACCCCACGTGATGTTAGGAGTTACATCTTTCTAGTATGTTAGGAATAATACCACAAAGGTGTTCACACATGGTTAACAGCATATGGAATATTAGGATTAACATCCCTCAAGAATATTACAAATAACATCACAGGGGCTGTGCACACATGGTGCACATGCCCTGTGACATTAGGAGTACATTTCCCTGGCACATTGCAAGTAATATCACAGAGTGTACACCTTCTGTGACATTTGGAGTAACATCCCCTAGGATAGTATGAATAATATCACAGGGTGTACATCCCCTGTGACCTGAGGAGTAACATCCTTCTAGGACATTGTGAATAACATCACAAAATGAATGCACAGCCCCTGTGACACGAGGAGTAACATCCACCTAGGATATTCTGAATAATATCACAGAGAGTACACCCCATGTGACAGTAGGAGAAACCTCCCCCGAGGATATAACGAACAAATACAGAGGATGTACACGCGTCGTGTCACTAGCATTAACATCCATTTAGGATATTACGAATATTATCACAGTGTGAACGCCCCCTGTAATATTAGGAGTAACATCCCCCTACAATATTGGGCACCATATCATACGGTGTACACCCCCTGTGACATTAGAGGTAACATTTCATTAGGTTATGATGAATAATATTACAAGGTGTAAGGCCCCTGCGACATTTGGAGTAACATTTCCATAAAATATTACGAATAATATCACTGTTTGTACACCACGGGTGACATTAGGAGTCCCAGCCTCCAAAATTATTATGAATAACTTCACAGGGCGTACACCCTCTGTGACATTAGGAGTAACATCTTTCTAAAATATGACGAATAAAATCAAAAAGTGTACACCCCATGTGACATTAGAAGCAACATTGCCCGAGGATATAAGAAATAATATCAGATTGTGTACGTGCATTGTGACATCAGTAGTAACATCCCTTTAGGGTATGACGAGTATTATCAGAATGTGAATACCATCTGTAACATTAGGAGTAACATCACCCTACAACATCGGGAATAATACCACAGGGTGTACACCACCTGTGATATTAGTGGTAATATTTCTTTAAGATATTATGAATAATATCACGGGGTGTACAGCCCCTGTGAGATTAGGACTAACATATCCAAAAAAGCTTGACAAATCATATCACGGTTTATACACCAAGTGTGACATTAGGAGTAACATCCCCCAAAACTATTATGAATAACTTCACAGATTGTACACGCTCTGTGATATTAGGGGTTCACATCTTCCTAGAATGTGAAGAATAACATCACAGGAGGAACACCCCCGTGATATGAAGGGTAACATCACTCTAGGATATTACGAATAATATAACAAAGTGTACCCAATTTGTATGGTAGGAGTAACATCCCCTGGGATACTACAAATCATAGCACAGAAAGCGCAGCCCCTGTGACAACAGGAGGAACATCCCCTTAGGATATTATGAATAACATCACAAGGTGTACACACATTGTGACATTAGTAACAATAGCCAGCTAGTAGATGGTGAATAATATCACAGCGTGTACACATTTGCAACATGAGGAGTCACATCCCCCTAGAATATGAAGAAGAATATCACAGGGTGTACACACCCTGCGACTTTACGATAATCATCCCCCTGGATGACTACAAATAATTTCACAGGATGTGAAACCCCTGTGACAATAGGAATAATATACTTCTACGAT